>NC_000002.12:190822951-191125981 GCF_000001405.40 Homo sapiens
AAGATTAAAAGAAAGAGGTTTAGCCAAGACGGGTTGGACATGGAAGTAATAGATGCCAATTGGGAGGTCTATCTTACCTTTGTAGGCACAAGAGAGAAAAAGGGTCCCTGATTTCTAGGGGTGGCTGTTTTCCAAGGATGTCTGACAGTGTTTCTTTCTTTTTTTTTTTTTTTTTTTTTTTTTTTGAGACGGAGTCTCATTCTGTCACCCAGGCTGGAGTGCAATGGCCTAGTCTCAGCTCACTGCAACCTCTGCCTCCTGGGTTCAAGCGATTCTCCCGCCTTCAACCTCTTGAGTAGCTGAGACTACAGGTGCGTGCCACCACACCCAGCTAATTTTTGTATTTTTAGTAGAGACAGGGTTTCACTATGTTGGCCAGGCTGGTCTCGAACTCCTGACCTCGCGATCCACCTACCTCGGTCTCCCAAAGTGCTGGGATTACAGACGTGAACCACCGTGCCTGGCTGGACCTGACAGTGTTTCTTGACTGTGTGGCATGCTCCTCTAAAATGCCAATTTCCAAGGCCTACCCACCCAACTAGAATTTGAGGGAGTGAGACCTAGTATATCTGTTTCTAAGATGTTCCCTTAGGTGATTCTAACATCCCCCAGTTCTCCTGCTGGCTCATTTATCAGAATGATGACCAGCATACAAAGGTGCTAGTTGCAACAATTTGGAACAAGAGGAGATCATAGAGATTACCTAGGGTGCCTACTTCTATTCACACACAAGATGAAGAGTCTATAGAAGTCAAAGAATTGCCGGGTGCGGTGGCTCATGCCTGTAATCCCAGCACTTTGGGAGGCCAAGGCAGGCAGATCACGAGGTCAGGAGTTCAAGAACAGCCTGACCAACATGGTGAAACCCCATCTCTACTAAAAGTACAAAAAAAATTAGCCGGGCATGGTGGTGTGCACCTGTAATCCCAGCTACTCAGGAGGCTGAGGCAGGAGAATTGCTTGAACCTGGGAGGCGGAGGTTGCAGTGAGCCGAGATTGCGCCACTGCACTCCAGCCTCAGTGACAGAGTGAGACTGTCTCAAAAAAAAAAAAAAAAGTCAAAGAATTGGCCCAGTGTTACTCACATTGGATAATGTTAGCACTTCTCAGGGATGCCAAAAACTAAAAAAATTGCTCATTCACAAAATGTGTTTGAGGTGCAAATTGTTTCTTTTGCCAACATACGTAGCATTTTCAAAAATATCAAGGCAAGGTAATTCCTTGCTATTAATATGGTGTGAGGTAGGAGTCCAATTTCTTTCTTTTGCATTTGGATATCTAGTTGTTTCCATGCCATTTGTTGAAAAGTCTGTTCTTTCCTCCATTGGATTGTCTTGGTATGCTTGTCAAAAATGAATTGACCATGTAAGGGTTTATTTCTGGGCTCTCACTTCTATTCCACTGATCCATATTTCTATCCTTGTGCCACACTGTCTTGATTACTGAAGCTTTGTGGTATGTTTTGAAATCAAGAAGTGTGACTCCTCCAACTTTGTTCTTTTTTTTTTTTTGATGGAGTTTTCGCTCTTGTTGCCCAGCCTGGAGTGCAATGGCGCAATCTTGGCTCACTGCAACCTCCCTCCACCTCATGGGTTCAAGTGATTTTCCTGCCTCAGCCTCCCAAGTAGCTGGGATTACAGGCATGTGCCACCACACCTGGCTAATTTTTGTATTTAGTAGAGATGGGGTTTCACCATGTTGGTCTGGTTGGTCTCGAACTCCTGACCTCAGGTGATCCACCCACCTCAGCCTCCCAAAGTGCTGAAATTACAGGCATGAGCCACCATGCCTGATCCCAACTTTGTTCTTCTTAAGATTGCTTTGGCTATTCTGGGTCTCTTGAATTTCTGAATTTTAGGACAAGCTTGTCAATGTAGGCAAAAAAACCAGTTGGGATATTAATAAGAATTGCATTGAATCTGTAGAAAATTTGGAGAGTTTTGCCATTTTAACAACAATAAGTCTTCTGATCCATTAAAGTGGAGTGTCTTTACATTTATTTGGATCTTTAGTTTCTTTCAACAATATTTTGTTGTTTTCTGTGTACACGCCATACACTTAATTTTGTTAAATTTATACCTAAGTATTTTATTGTTATTGATGAAATTGTAATGAAATCGTTTCCTTAATTTTATTTTCACATCGTTCATGGCTAGTGTATAAAAATACAACTGATTTTTGTATATTGATCTTGTATCCTGCAACCCTACTAAATTTGTTTATTAATTCTAGTAGTTTTTTAATGAATTCCTTACCTGTGGTATAATACAAAAATATATTTGGTCTTTGCCCCTGGTTCCTGGTACAGAGCTCAAAAGTCCTTGGGATTTCCTGAGGTATAGGAGTTCTTTCATTATTCCTAACTATACCTGAGTTTATGCTAACAAGGTAACTCATGGTGGACACTCAGATAGTTTCAAGGAAAGGGCTGATCAGGACATGATTAGAGGGTTAGGGCTTTCAGCCCCACCCTTCAACCTCTGGGAAGGGGAGGGGCACTAGAGATTGAATTAAGTCATGTGGCCAATGATTTAATCAATCATGCCTACAAAATGAAGCCCCGGTAAAACCTTGAAAAATGAGGTTTGGGGAGCTTCTGAATTTGAGAATGCATTGGTGTACCAAGAGACTTTTGCTCCTGGAGAGGACATGAAAGCCCTATACTCCCATTCACATACCTTGTCCTGTGCATCTCTTCCATTTGGCTGTTCCTGAGTTGTATCCTTTATAATAAAACTGTAATTGTAAGTACAGCACTCCTGAATTTTGTGACTAGTTCTAGCAAATTATCAAGCATGAGGGGAGACTGGTCATAGGAACCTCCAAATTTGTAGTTGGCTGGGAAGAAATTTGGGCACCCTAGGACCCCACTTGGGGTTAATATCTAAAAATGAAGGTAGTATTATGGGATTGAGCTCTTAACTTGTAGCGTCTGCACTAATTCCAGGTAGTTGGTGTCAGAATTGAATTGAATTGTTGGATACCCAGTTTGTGATAAGGAATTACTGGAATGATGTACCTATTAAACTTCTTTGTTAATTCTCATCCTCTTTTAATAGATTCTGTAAGATTTTTTACATTTAAGAGCAAATGATTGGCCGGGCATGGTGGCTCATGCCTGTGATCCCAGCACTTTGGGAGGTGGAGGTGGGCAGATCACAAGGTCAGGAGATCAAGACCATCCTGGCTAACACAGTGAAACCCCGTCTCTACTAAAAATACAAAAAATTAGCTGGGCGTGGTGGCAGTCACCTGTAGTCCCAGCTACTCGGGAGGCTGAAGCAGGAGAATGGCATGAACCCGGGAGGTGGAGCTTGCAGTGAGCCGAGATCACGCCACTGCACTCTAGCCTGGGCGACAGAGTGAGACTCCATCTTAAAAAAAAAAAAAAGATCAAATGATCTGCAAATAGAGGTTGTTTCCCCTCTTCCTTTGCAATCCAGTTGTCTTTTTTTTTTTCTTGCCTAATTCCTTTGACTAGAACCTCCAGGACAATGTCATGTAAGTGGCAAGAGTGGACACCCTTGTATCTTTCCTAATTTTAATATGATGAGCTATGGGTTTTTGTAGATGCCTTTTAACAGATTGAAAAAATTCCCTTTTATTCCTAATTTGTTGAGTGCTTTTATAATTAAAGAATGTTGATTTTATCAAATGCTTTTTATGCATCTATTGAGATACTTGTTTGATTTTTGTCTTTCATCCTGTTGATATAGTATATTACATTAATTGATTTCAAATGTTAACCCAATCATTCCTGAAATAAAACCCACTTGGTCATGGGGTATAATCCTTCTTGTATGTCACTGGATTTTATTTGCTGGTATTTCATTGAGGATTTTTATGTTTCTATTTCTAAGTTTCACACTATTGATTTTTAAATCATTTAGAGAAGAAGAAATATGCAATTATATTGTATATTATAATTACCTAATTAGCTTTCTCACAAGGCAAGCCTGCTAGCAATGAATTCACTTGTTTATCTGGGAGTATCTTTATTTTGCCTTCATTTTTGAAAGACAGGCATGCTGGATATAAGATTCTTGATTGAATTTTTATTTTTTTATTTTTAGCACTTTAAATATGTCATTCCTTGCCTCCGGCCTCCATTGTTTATAATGGGAAGTCAGCTGGTTATCTTATTAGGATTCTCTTGCATGTGATAAGTTGTTTTCTCATAAAGCTTTCCAGAGTTTCTCTATCTTTGGCTTTTAATATTTTGATTACAATGTGTCTAGGTGTGGATTTCTTTGTATTTATCCTAATTGGAGTTTGTTGAGTTTATTGGACGTATAGATTAACATTTCTTCCAATAATTTTTCTTCTCCTCTCTCTGTCTTCTGTCATTCTAGTACTCTGAAGTGAGAACAAGCAAGATTAATGTGCTCTGAATTAGAGGTCACTATAGCTCTCTATTCTAAGTTTAAATTATTCCCAAAGTCTTGGTGCTTAGTCCCTCTGTCCGTGGCTTGCAACCCTGGCTGCATGTTAGAATCACCTGTGGAGCTCTAAAAAAATCCCAACCACAAACCAATTACAGTCAGCCCTTTGTATCTACTGGTTCTGTATCCACAGATTCAACCCACTTTGGATTAAAATATTTGGAAAAAATAGCAATACAACAATAAAAATAATACAAGTTAAAATAGTATGGTATAATTTTTATATAGCATTTATATTATATTGGGCATTGTAAGTAATTTACAGATGATTTAAAGTGTACAGGAGGATGTGTGCTGATTATATGCAAATACTATACCATCTTATGTAAGGAAATTGAGTATCTTCGGATTTTGGTATCCACACAGGGTATGGGGAGGTACATCCTGGAACCAATCCCCAGAAGACACCGAGGGACAGTAGTACTTCAGAACTTCTGAAGTGGTGCTCAGGGATTGGTAGTTTTTAAAGTTCCCCAGGTGATTCCAGTGTACAGCCACTTAAAGAACCACTACTAGAGGCAAATGTTGAAGACTCTTAGCTGTGACCAAGGGAGGATTAGAGAGGCTAGGAGCCAGGCAGGTCTTTACAGATTGTGCAAGGTTTTTTACTTTTGAAAATCTCATCTAAGGACTCTCCACCAAAGTTCCAGGATTAGACTAATAAATTTCTATACACATGTGCCGTTCTTCTATATTGTTTCTGCCATTACCTTATATCTCATTCTCTGCTTCTTTTGAACAAGTAATACCTTTCCATTAGACCACAATCTATAATTTCTAACACCATGATTTTCATTTCAAACCCAGCAAGGATCCCAGCAGAAATTTTGGCATACATGGGCACTCCCATTAAGTCATTGAGAATGATCTAAATATTCGTTCAGAGGGAATGAGACCTTCTTGAAGAGATCATATCTGCATCAAGAAAATTAAGGGTAGAGATGTATATATTAAATATTGACATATATGTTAGTATTATATATATAAATAGCCTTTATAAATCAAATAAAAACTGAATACCACAACTTAAATGGCCTATAGATACATATATATATATATATTTAATATATAGGCAAAATACAGAAGCATGAACAAATATGGAATGCTTACTATAATTTTAAAAAATTTAAATTCAAATATGAAGTATAATTTTTAAAGCTTTTAGATGGGCATAAATGAAAAAGATTGATAATATCCAGTCTAGTGAAGGTAAGGGAAAATGATTATCCTTATTCACAGCTGATGGGAGGGCCTCAGACCCTCCAACCTGTCCTCCATGCTACTACAAACTCTGTGGAAAGCATTCTCTTTTGTATTTATCAAAATTGTAACTCTATTCAACATTGATTCACCAAATCTTCTAAGAATTTATCCTAAGGAATAATAGACGTATGTGCAAGGATGTTTGTGTACAAGGAGCTTAGTTGATAATTAGGTGACGATGAGCAACATTAACTCCATTAAAAAGGATTTGGTCAAATAAATTATGGTACATCCAACAACAGAATCCTCATTCAAAAATTAGAAAGTAGATCTTTATATTTGAAAAAGTTTATAGAATATGATGATTGCATTTATTTAAAAATTACAAAGATACATGGTTATATAGACATTTAAATGCTCCAAATTGTTAGTTCACTTTCTCCGTATTACTCTGATGCTTTTACTATGTTCACATATAATCAGCAAAAGAGGAATAACAAGGGAATAGGTGATTCTAAGCCATTTATCCCTGGCCTAGCCCCTCAGATACCTATGTTAAAGCTAAAAGAGTTTTTCACTAACCTGCCATATGACTTTCTAGCACGAGCAGTTCCTTCTCATAAGAGGGACAGGCTAAGGTAAAGAGAGGTTTTCTCCCTTACTTTGTCACAGACCATAGCATAAGTGTGGCCCTTCAAGGAAGGAGACTCAGGTGCTGACTAGGAGAGGATGGTGTGATGGAGAAGCAGTGGTGCTGACTAGCGGGGAGGCAGCTATGCCTGGCAGATGATGAGGCAAGGCTAGCAGAAACAGCCTTCATGCCCAGGAAAGGACCCGGCAGGAGGAATGTCTTATAGCTGACTGGACACTCTGTAGATTCTCAGAAACACTTCAGGGCAAATGTTTCCGGAATCTAAGGTCCTACAGAGGGGTAAATCTTGGTAATATACTTTTAAAAAATACATACAATATCGTATTCAGCCATTCTTGGGTGGCTATAAATACCTGTGACTCAGTAATTTACAAGAAAAGAGGTTTAATTGGCTCACAGTTCTGCAGGCTGTACAGGAAGCATGGTGCTGGCATCTGCTTCTGGGGAAGCCTCAGGAAGCTTACAGTCATGGCAGAAGGTGAAGGGGGAGCAGGCCTGTCACAGAGTAGGAGCAGGAGCAAGAGGGTGGGGGGAGGTGCCACACACTTTTAAACAACCAGATCTCACGAATCATGACTCACTATCACAAGGACAGCACCAAACCATGAGGGACCCACCCCTGTGACCCAAACACCTCCCACCAGGCCCCATCACCAACATTGGGGATTATTATATGATTCAATATGAGATTTGACAGGGACATATATCCAAACTATACCAAATCTATATTTTTTTCAAAAAATTTTTTTTATTTGAGAGGAGTTTCATCCTGTCACCCAAGCTGTGCAGTGGTGCGATCTCAGCTGACTGCAACCTCTGCCTCAGTGATTCTCCTGTCTCAGCCTCCCAAGTAGTTGGGATTACAGGCACCCACCACCACGCCCAGCTAATTTTTGTATTTTTAGTAGAGACAGGGTTTCGCCATGTTGGCTGGGCTGGTCTCAAACTCCTGACCTCAGGTGATCCGCCTGCCTGGGCCTCCCAAAGCGCTGGGATTACAGGCGAAAATAAATTTTATTATGTACATTTAAGGTATACAATATGATGTTAAGGGCACCAATAAGGGAACATATAGATAGTAAGAACAACACTATAGTGAAGAAAATGAACATATTCATCTCACACAGTTACCTTTTTTTGTGGCAAGAACAGCTAAAATCTACTTATTTAGCATGAACCCCAAAGGCAGCACAAAAGTATGACCTATAGTCCTCATGCTATACATTCGAGCTCTAGACTTGTTCATCCTACATATTTGCTACTTTATATCCTCTGACCTACATCTCCCTAGTTCCTTCCCCTGTTATTTTGTTCTCTTTGTATATTTGTATTTATTTATTATTGGATTCCACATATAAGTGAGACCACGCAATATTTTTCTGTGTCTGATTACTTAGGATAATCTTCTCTAGATTCATTCACATTGTGGCAAATAATAAGATCTCATTCTTTATTGGGGCTAAAATATATATATATTTCATACATATATATAAAATATATATATACACACCCCCACACACACCACAGTTGCTGTTGCTCTATCCATTCATTCTTCAAGGGACACTTAGGTTGTTTCCATATCTTGACTGTTGTGAAAAATGCTGCAGCGAACACGGGGACTTGAACTCATTTATATACACTATAGGCTGGTGAGGCCTTGGGAAACTCAAGTTATGTGGCTAAAGAAATAGATTTTTTAAAATTTACACATTTGTCAACAAATTTAATATAATAATTTCCATATATCTTATAATTAATTGTAAAATGTTTTTATTTATAATACCAAAAAAGTTATCAAAGTTTATTAATCTTCCTGAGTTCTTCCATGTCTCTGTAACCTCCATCTCTGAGTCCTGACCTGGAACACAGGCTCTCAAAGGCTGGAACAGGTTGTAAAGAGATTATGATATTAAACAATGCCGGAATCAACACAGGAGCTAACCTTTAGCCCAGTCCAATTCTACTTGTATGGCCACAGATCTCCTTATTTTGAAATAAACAAAAAGCAGGAAGGATCCACCTTCTCCAATTTCCTCAATCGCTTCTCCCAGGGATGTTTAAGCTTCCATCATCTAAACTATACTTGGGGCCGGGAGTTTTGGCCACTACCCCCTACAGCCTGTGCCCTTACAAACGTGATGGCTTCAAGGCTGGGAGGGTGAATCCGGCTTCCACTGCCTGTGCTTGAAAAGAGTAACTTTTGTGAACAGTGCCAGAGACAAACTAGAATCTGATCCTGAGAACAACTGCTTTCCCTTGAGTAAAGAACACATGTCAGGGAAGAGAAGCACAGACTCTTAAAGAGGGGCCATCCAAAGAAACTGAGAAAACAAGAAGGACATGAGTTGGGCACCTGAAGATAGAAACGGGACAAAATGAAGGATGAAGAGTAGGGGGGAGGTGAAGGAGCAAAAAAAAAAAAAAAAAAAGAAGAAGAAGAAAGCCGGGCGCGGTGGCTCACACCTGTAATCCCAGCACTTTGGGAGGCCGAGGCGGGTGGATCACCAGGTCAGGAGAGCGAGACCATCCTGACCAACATGGTGAAACCCCGTCTCTACTAAAATACAAAAAATTAGCCAGGCGTGGTGGCAGGCGTCTGTAGTCCCAGCTACTCGGGAGGCTGAGGCAGGAGAATCGCTTGAACCCCGAAGGCGGAGGTTGCAGTGAGCCGAGATCGTGCCACTGCACTCCAGCCTGCCGACAGAGCGAGACTCTGTCTCAAAAAAAAAGAAAAAGAAAGAAAGAAAAACAAACAAACAAACAAAAAAACAGAAATCTAGGGACAAACAGGAAAATCTTCATGGTATACCAACACATCCATATTATTTCCACTTTCAAACCCAGCTGTTTGGAACTTCCTCCTTTTTTTTCCTCCTCCAATATTTAAGGAATAAGTCTCACGTGGTGGTTTTCAGTCTTCCTGAATTGTTTTTACTAGTTCTCTAAATTAGCTAAATGGCCTTAAGCAAATACTTATAATACACTTTTTATTATTAGAGAAGCAGTATATATGCTTGGAGGAAAATAATAAAATACTAATTAATAAAACAATTAAAATGTCTTATTCTTTCTGTCTAAGAGTACATACCTCTTAGGGTATTCTGACATATACTTGAAAGGCTAGCACAATCTGCCTTTTATGTTAGTGTCTTTTTAAAAAGACCAGTCCAGTTGTCCTATAGATTGGTCCACCTTCTGGGTTTGTCTGGTTGCTTTCACCTGGTATCATTTAACTTGTTTCCCTATTGCTTGAATCAACTGTAAAATAGAAGTCGTGTCTAAAACTGTGTATTCTTTAAAAAAAAAAAGTGTTTATTGAGATAAAATCTACATAACATAAAATTCAACATTTTAATTGTTAAAAGTGTATAATTCAGTGGTTTTTTGTGTATTCACGATGCTGTGTAACCATCACCACTGTCTAATTCCAGAATGCTTCCATCACAGCAAAAAGAAACCCTGGATCTCCCAATTCTTCCTTCTTCCATCCTTTGGCAATACTAATATACTTTCTGTTTGCATGGATGTACCTTGGTTTCTTTGCTTGACCCATACCTTACATGAACATTTCATATAAATGAAATCATATAATATGTGGTCTTTTGTGTTGGGCTTCTTTCGCTTAGCATGTTTTCAGGGTTTATTCAGTACTTTATTAGTTTTTATGGTTGAATAATTTTCCATTGTACCACATTGTGTTTATTCCTTCATCAGTTAAATACCAGCTACAAGGAGGAATCAGTGGAAGTTGGGTTGCCAACTTCCACTCTTTGACTATTATGAATAGTGCTGCAACAAATATTCCTGATTCCTGTACATGTTATTATTTGGACATAGGTTTTTATTTCTCTAGGATACATACCTAGGAGTGGAATTGTAAGGTCATATGAAAACTCTTTTTGAGAGTTCTGCCAAATTGTTCTGCACAGTAGCTGCCTTATTTTACATTCCCACCAGCCATGCATGAGGGTTCCAATTTCTCCACATCCTTACCCAGACCTGTTATTTTTCTTTTTTAAATTGTTTCTCCATATCCTCACCCATACTTGTTTTTTTTAAAATTATATTCATTCTAGTGAGTATGAAATGGTATCTCATTGTGATTTTGATTTGCATTTCCCTAATGACAAAAGATGTTGAACATATTCTTGTGTGCTTATTGGCTATTTGTGTATCTTCTTTGGAGAAATGTCTATTCAAGCCCTTTGCCCATTTTTAAATTGAGCCACTTCTTTACATATTCTGAATGCAAGGTTTTATCAGGTATATGATTTGCAAACATTTTCTCTCATTCTGTAAGTTTTCTTTTCACTTTCTTTATAGTGACCTTTCATGCAAAAAAAAATTTTTTTTTTTTTTTTTGAGACGGAGTCTTCCTTTTTCGCCCAGGCCGGAGTGCAGTGGCGCGATCTCGGCTCACTGCAAGCTCCGCCTCCCAGGTTCACGCCATTCTCCTGCCTCAGCCTCCCGAGTAGCTGGGACTACAGGCACCTGCCACCACGCCCGGCTAATTTTTTGTATTTTTAGTAGAGACGGGGTTTCACCATGTTAGCCAGGATGGTCTCGATCTCCTGACCTCATGATCTGCCCGCCTCAGCCTCCCAAAGTGCTGGAATTACAGGCGTGAGCCACTGCGCCCGGCAAAAAAATTTTTTATGAAGACCAGTTTATCTATTTATTTCTTTGGTTGCTTGTGCTTTGGGTGGTGTCATATTTAAGAAACCATTGCTTAATCCAAAGTCATGAAGATTTACACCTATGCTTCCTTCTAAAAGTTTTATAGTTTTGGCTCTTATATTTAAGTCTTTGATCTACTTTGAGTTAATGTCCGTATGTGGTGTCAGGAAGAGGTTCAAGTTCTTTTTTCTGCATGGGGGTATCCATTTGTTCCAGCACCGTTTGTCAAACTTTCTGTATTCTAATTAGATATTTCTGACCACATTACATCATAGGTGATGTTAGACACTCCACTTTGAATCCCATCAGAAGATATTACCTTGGTGAACCACCTTTAGAAATAACTGTTTATTCAGTGTCATGACCATTAGATCCCCCCATTGTTCAGTGATATTTTCCTTTGTGATTAGAAAGTAATTTATGTGGTGTTAATCTGGTGCCAAAAGATTGTCGAGTTATTAATTAACTATTTTCCTAATGGCTTTAACAAGTAATTTTACTACTTGTTTTCATCACCAAGTAATCATCTGGTTTCTGTTCTGTAAAATGAAGGATTAGATAAGATTATCTCAAACTTCACTTTTAGCTTTATATTACTTTATTATCTTAGTCTCTATGTTGGGTTTATTTGCAATGAGCTATATTTTTTTCTACAGTAACAAAATGAGATGGTTACTTCAAATGACTAAGGCAGTGGACATTTATCTCCAGGAAGAGGTGGCAATCTCTTAGTGAATGATATTTTAAGGAAACGTAATTTGTTTTCTCTTTTCCTTCCTTTCTTTCTTTCTTTATTTTCTCTTTCTTTCTCTTCTTCTTCCTCCTTCCTTCCTTCCTTCTTCCCTTCCTCTCTCCCTCCCTTCCTCCCTCCATCCCTCTCTGTCTCTTTCTCCCTTCCCTTCCTTTTTCTTTCTTTCTTTCTTTCTTTCTTTCTTTCTTTCTTTCTTTCTTTCTTTCTTTCTTTCTTTCTTTTTCTTTCTTTCTGCTGCTCCTCGTGGAGCAGGGCTAACTCACAGGCAGTGTGCCCAAAGTTGGCTGAGACATACTATTCTTTCTCCCATGTTTGTTTTGTCCTTTTATTATTTTACTGTGGCTACTCAAGAGGCTGATATGATAACAGCCTCAGTCACTGAGTTTCATATTTTAAGGCAATGACACTAAACATTAGTGACACCAAATCCAACCTCTGGAGAAATGTGAGTAGCTGAGATGATAGATGATAGATAGATAGATAGATAGATAGATAGATAGATAGATAGATAGATAGTGATAGAAATTTCCTGAATCCTTGGGAATGTTTTGAGTAAAGAAGACTGGAAAAGACCAAGGAGAGACAAAAATGACCATTTGTAAGTATCTTGATGTCTCAGATCTACATCTAAGAAAACAGACCTAGTCTTTGTTGAATAAAGAAATAAGATGGGGTGGAATTTAAAGGCAGGCAGATATCAGATCAATATAAAGAAGCTCTCTCTAAAATCCAGTCTGTCTGGACTAGAACAGGCTGCTGTACTGTGAGGCAGACAGCTACTACTCCTGGAAGGGTCCCAACAGAGCCTGGTGAGCCACCATTCAGGAATGCTAGGGCCAGACTTCTGCATCAGGCCAGAAGTGGGCAAAATAACATCTTCTCCCTCTTCATTCATATTATTAAACTCTAACTCTCATTTTACCTCCTCAACATTTCACACATTTATCCACTATCATTTTTAGCTCCACTGCCTAGGGCTAAAATCTCCTACCAATTTTCTACATGAACTTGATGCTCAAGGCAAATTTTACTAGTCACTCGTCCTGCTTCCCCTATCATTGTAAATTATTTCCCAACGCTCAGCTCGAAATCTTTTCCTAAGGGAAGTGTTTTTCTAGTCCAACCCAGCAGAGTCCTTGACTACCTCAACTGAACAAAATGATACCTTGTGGCTACTTCCATTATGCACTTATCACTCTCTATTGTAATTTTTTGCTTACACATCTGGCTCCCCTACTAGATGATAACCTCCTCCAGGGCAAGGAGCATGCCTTAACTTTGTATCACCAGAACCTGGAAGAGTATTTCCTATAATAGTTGCTCAAAAAATATTTGGTGAATAAATGAATCAATTTATGAATCATTGAGATTCTATAATTCTATTCAGTTCTTATAATCATATGACAGCTTTGGGGGTGAGAATGGAGTGTTTGGCGACTGACGACAGTATTTTTGTATCTAAAGTAGTACTTCTCAGCTTTCAATTTGCTATGATCTTCATCTGTCCCCTTGAGAGGATGAGTTTGCTATGGATGACTAAAAAGAAGTATTGACTACTGACTACAACAGTAAAGAGAAAAGTAAAACGTTATTGCAATGAGCTTTTGGCTCTCACAATGCCCTATCTGAAGACTTAGTTAATACTGATGAAAAGAGGAGACATAGGGAAGTGGAAAGGATATCATTTGATTATTGGAGGGGAGGAAGAAGAGAGAAGTAGTGGAGAACATGGGTATGAGAATGTAAACATCAGAAGACAGAATGGATGAGTCATATATAAACGGCATTATACATATCTTGATATATATATCATATATAATGATATATATATCATGCCATCACAAAATAACATCATATATATATACATATATACACATAGACCTATATATGTATGATGTTTGTGATGCACTGATAAGAGAGTCATGCTTAGAGGACCCTAGGAGTTATCAATCTGTGGTCAAGAAGAGAGCACCAAGAGCCTCCTGGGAGGTTTTATGGCATCCTAGCAGATGAAGATCAGCCTACAGATGTGCTGAAGAAGGATGCTCAGCCGTTGACACTAGGCCTTTTCTCCCTGCTGAAATAAGCAGCACCTTTTCATGCCATGACAAGTAATTTTTGGCTCTCTTGGCTATGGCCATCCTGAAGGAAATTTGGGAATTAGGCAAAATTTAACATGTATCTATATCGTCTTTTTACAGCCTCTGCTGCCATCTCTAGTTCTCTAATTTCCCCATTGCCCCTTAATTTTCCCCATTACCCCAACCCTCTCTGCAGCTGTGGCACCCCATCAAGGCATCCTGGCATTCCATTCTCTGGGACTTATTCTCGCCTAACCCTCCCTAGTAGCCATGACACCATGTTTATTCTCTCTGGAAAATATGCTTGACCAGTCTGAGAAAAATTGTTAGTGACTGACAATGGCTGTGATTCCTAGTGGGTTATTCTTCCTACATTTGCATTCCGCCAGGGATTTTCAATGGCTTAATCAAAAGGTAGAGAAAATATTAAATACAAAAAAAGGGAAACCATTTGAAAAGGTAACCCAAACTTCACCTTCTTTTAAAAGAGGTCTCGACCTTAAGAAGCTTTGAGATTCTTAAGATATAGATTTCATATTTCATTAAAATAAACAGAACATGTAGTTCTAGAGATTTTTGTTTTACTCTAATGATTTTGATAGCAGTTGTTATTTGGGGAGGAGTATATTTGTCAAAGCAACTAATCATCTTTGTATTTAAAAAAAAATCCCAGAATGTAATGGGAATTTGGAAATCTGCCCAGTGTGCTTTCTGAGAAATAGACAGTGATTGTTGGCATCTCTTTTTTTTGTGCCTCTTCCTAACACTCCCTCACAGGGGCACACCCTGCCCATTGTCAGGGTGAATCTAAAGACACATTGTTGTCTCATACTTTAATGAGACAGAAATGTATTGTCTCCAAACTACACTGAAAGAAAATCAAATGGGGCAACCACTGAAAGAAAATTAAATGGCAAAACCACAAGTTTTAACTGCTGCTCTATGAACCTACTCTTCAGGAATGTAATACTGGTTTTCAATGGTGCCTGGAAATTTTTTCCTCTGGGTTGAGAAAGGAAAAAAAGGAAAGGATGAGGAAGACAGAAAAGGAGGAAGAAAAAAAATGAGGGAAGGAATATTCCAACTCCTTACTGCTAAGCAGTAATGTTGAGATATCAACATTTTGAAATGAAACCTTCTTAGAATATTTATTTTTTCCAAATTTGGCCCAGGGCCTTGACTGGCAGTACTTGTGCACTTTATTACTCATATACATTTTAAATAATTATGTACAATTTTCCATATTTCATTCTATCCCTCTATCTCCATGTTGGGGCATCTGAAACAACTATTTCAGGCATTTGGTTTTCTGGTCTCTAAGGAAAGATATCTCCAATTCTGTTTTTGCTCTTGCCTACATTCTTTTGACATTATTATAAAAGCAGACACGATAATGAGCTTTGACGGGATGAGCTGCTGAAATGGCTTAGGATTCAGGATTCAGCATGCTATGGCCCACAAACCAAAACCAGACTGCTGTCTGCTTCTTAGTTTCATTGAAGCATAGCCATGCCCATTCATTTATTTGTTGCCTATGGCTGCTTCTGTGCTATACTGACAAAGTTGACAGGGACTGTACGGTATACAAAGCCTAAAATTGTGACAACTACTGTATGGCCTGAAAAGCCTAAATTCTTACTATCTGAGTATTTTCAGTTTGCACAAGAATATAAACCAAATATGTCAACTATGCACACCATTTAATTCAGCTGACACGATTTTTGCAGCAAGACTTTGTTGATGAGGGAAGAAGTGTACAGATTGACATTCTGGTGCAAGCTCTTTGTCTCTCTGGATCAGCACTTTTAGTAGCACTGATTTAAGTGACTCTATAAAACTTTTACTTTGAGGAAAATACTTACTTGATAACATTTCTAGGCTGTGTGACTCATAGATGTGGTTAGAGCTATCAGACTTTGCTATTTCATAAAGTTGCCCCCAAACTTTGTGACTCAAAACAAATTGCAGTTTGGCATTTTGGACTGGGCTCAGCTTGGTGGTTTGGCTTTGTACAGGCTAAGATGATCTTACAGCTGGACTTGTTCATGTATCCGTGGGCAGCTGGTGGGTTAGCTAGGGCTGGTTAGTCTAGGACTGTTCAACTATTGCAGCTTTCTGCCCCTCTCGGTCTCCCTTGATGCCCAAGATATGTTGGGCAGGAGTCTGAGATCAGAAGGAATGAAAGCTCTGAGGTCTCTTGACACCTGGATTCAAAACACACGCAACCATAAAAAATGACGAGTTCATGTCTTTTGTAGGGACATGGATGAAGCTGGAAACCATCATTCTCAGCAAACTATCACAAGGACAAAAAACCAAACACCGCATGTTCCCACTCATAGGTGGGAATTGAACAATGAGAACACATGGACACAGGAAGGGGAACATCACACACCGGGCCTGTTGTGGGGTGGGGGGAGGGGGAGGGATAGCATTAGGAGATATACCTAATGTTAAATGACGAGTTAATGGGTGCAGCACACTGACATGGCACATGTATACATATGTAACAAACCTGCATGTTGTGCACATGTACCGTAAAACTTAAAGTATAATAAAAAAATAAAATAAAAAACACACAAACTATCACTTCCATCACATTCTTGGCCCAAGCAAGTTTCAAGAGCAGCCCACCTGATCTTGGGGGTGGGGAAATAGACTCCACTTCTTGCTGGAAGGAGCTGCAAAGTATTGCAGCCATTTTTGCAATCAACCACAGGAAGGGAGAAGGGAGAAAGAAGATGACCGCTTCTCTTCAGTCCTTTCTTTTCCAAACTTTGGTCGAATTTCACTATTCTAGCGCCTATCATAATACTCCCCAACTGGCCTGATCCAATTTCAGAGTTTTATGTAACTTCTAGGAAAGACTCTGACATCAAAAACAATAAATTTGAATTATAGTAAAAGCAACAGAAATTATAGTAATTATAGTAAGAATTATAGAAAGAGCAATAGAAACAGAGCTGAAGTCTAGGAGTCCAGGTCCCTCTGCTGCAGAATTTAGGTTTTATAATATGTGAGATTATAGCATTGTAAATTTTGTGCTAAACATTTCAATAGTTGTATCGCCTTCAGCAGTTTGGCAGTGCTTATTGATCCATATAGGCTCTAATATAGCACAAAACTTTAATGAGATAAATGTAAAATGCTAAATACTAAATAACACACCTTAGGAGATTCTGAGCATTTCCTACTCCTATCACCTGGGTGACACAGTTTGTTTAATGTATATGACTACATGTTTGGTATATTTGTTTCTGTGGCAATACATATGTGGATATGTTATTATTCTCACAAACCTCTATTTGGGAGGTAAGAAAGAATGGATGAAGGTCAGAGACTGCATAACTTACCAATGATCACTTTTCATACCTGCAAATTTCTCTTAAGGTCTGTGCATTTTTTCAGAGAAATTAGCTTTCCAGAGGGTGTATTATTTCACCCCATCTTATCCTTAAAGTGATCTGAAATGTTAGATGTGCTTTTGCTATGAAGTTTCAGAAAAAAAGACAATAGAAATAATGACTAACACAGAGATCAATTATTGACAAGAATATGTATAGATGAATTTAGACACAGAATTATTCTTGAGTGGCCTTAATGTAAAACCCTACTTAACATATCCTTGTTGAAAACTTTGATTCACATTTTACTCCATGATTCAGGCTCTGACCTTAGAACTTAGAACCTGCACACAAATCCTATCTTTCGTGCTTCCTGAAGCCCTCAGGTGCTATGTAACCCAGAAGTCCTAGCTTTTCCAGCCTAGAAGTCACACTTGGCTTTAGGATTTTGACAATAGTCCAAACTTAACTTCAGGTAGTCCAATTTTTACCAGGATCTACTTCCCAAGTATTTCAGGAAATTCCCAGGAAGGGCTCCCTTGTTTGATAAAGGCACAATGACTTGCCACCTCAGCCCATCAGCTGATTCGGGACTGCTGCTCTGTTCTGAGGGTCAGATTTCATTACTGCCAGACACTGGAACGGCCTTTCATACCACTTCACCCCCATGGAGGTCAAAGGCATTCAAATCCCCACAGTGGTAGCTAAGATCAGGCTGTATTCCTTAACAAGACTTCCCTGAAGGGTTGGTAGGTAACAGAAGGGAACTTCCCTGATAGTTTAAAACCTTATGCCAGATATAGTAGTTCTCAGAGTCCACAAGCCAAGGACCCTCCACAGCAGTCCTCAGTTGGATGTCTCTCACTTTGGCTGCCAGCCAGCCAACATGTTACAGGGCTGGCTCACTTCTTCCACTGAGCGCTTTCTTGAGCACATTGTCCTTTCCCAGAACGGAGGCCCTAATGCCCAAGGCCAAGACAGAAGAAATTACTTCTCCTTGTCCCATTTCCAACCCAAGACTAACTTTTCCAGTGATAGAACATCCAAGGGATAAGAAATAAGCTTCACAGGGCAGGGGCTTTTTGTGTTTGTCACTGACATACTCCAAGTGACTAAAATAGTGCCTGAGCCTAGAAGGACTTCAATAATAATTGAGCAATTGAATAAAATGGTTTATTTTTCTAAAACAAACTAATAAAGACTGAGTAGGTGTTTAGTTACATAATTCAGAACAACATCAGAAAAGCTTGGTCCAACATGGGAATTTGCAAACCCAGTCCACTCCCTTTAGGGTCTCTTCTCCAGCATAATATAAATGCATACCTCCATATCGCTTCTGCCCAAGTGGCTCTCCACTCCTTACCTCCTCTTTCTGAAGGCTCACCCAGGATGACACAAAAGCACCACTCAAGAATAGTTTCAGACACAATGAAATTTAACTCCTTGTTCAGAAAAGAAACATTCTCCTAAAGGACACAATCCACAGAAATATATCTCCATCCTCAATGGAGACAAATTTTCATAGTTTAACTCCTCAAAGTCTTAATTGTCTGAATTCCAAATTGGGTCCTGCTCAATTTCTCTTAAGTGTCCAACACAGTGATTATTTTTCGAAATAGTAATTTTCTCAAAAACTAAACCATAAACTCTACATTTAGAGACACGAAAACACTCTTCTCACTTCAAATTGGCAGTTTTCCCTCCTCATGGGCATCAAAGTTTCCAAAAATATCTCGGGGCCCAATTTCAGCAGAGCACCAACTTTCTAGCATATGTTGCTCAGTCACTGTCTAGATTCTAGAATGTAAGCCAAACCTTTGTGATGGGTGGAAAATTCCCTCTAGTCTGAATCAGCAGAGCTTCTCTCTCTGCCTCCACCCCCTTGTCACTCAAGGACATTGCAATGATCTACATTTGCTCTTTCTGGGTATTCGTACTGTGTGTAGACCTTTGCTGCTTAATCAGCTTTCAACCAATAGATTCATGTCAGTGAACTGACAGGTCAACCCAAAGGAGGAGAGAATGTACCTTGTTTCACGAAAGATCATCTTTTCTTCTTGCATACCGGTTATCTATTATTATTTGCCTACAAAAATAATTATTGCTCTTCTTCACGATCCTCCAACTGTTCTGATCTGTGGTAACTATGAAAATGCACCTTTCAGATTTCTGCCTGTGGGCACCCTTGGCTGCTGTGCTCTGAAATCATCATTGTATTTGAGCCAAATTCGTGCTTCCTACAGGCTGCTTTTAGCCAATGACTGAGCAATATAGGGATACTAAGGCAGACCTGCTTCTGAGAGTCACAGAGCTCCTCTGATAGGCAACTTTGACTCTAAGATTTCCCAATATTTGCCAAACTTTCTTAGAGCTAAACTGAAGTCTAGGGTGATTCTCCCAATTCTCTTCCTTTTTTTCACTCATCCAACCAGGTCAGGCCTGGGTTGTGCAGTCTGACGGTTCTCCTGGCCTTCATTTTCTACCCCCTACCTACCTTATTTTTCTCTCACAGACATTGCCCCTAACAAACCTCTTTTTCCTCTATCCTATCTTGAAGCCTGACTCTTGGAGGACCCAAGTCAACACCAATGGTACTGATGTTGAGAAATGGGCTGAGAAAACAGGTGACAAAGTAGGAATTTGGGACTGGCTCACTCACCACCTGGCAGGTGAAGGGTTGTCATCCTGGTTGGCAGGCAGGGCACAGATAGTATTTGGCACAAGGTGGTAGTGGCTCAGTGGCTCAAGACTTCACTCATGATGACCTGGAAAAATATCCTGGTGAAGTAAAATGCTGTAGCAAATATGATGATGCAGGCATTTAAAATGCATGGGGAGGGTGGATGGTGCCTACAAATAAACATTTTTAGGATTATTAGTCAGAAGCAGAGATAATACTGATATCTAGAGATTCAAAGCATGGTTATGGTCCCCTCCACCTCCACTAGTGTGGTGGTCTACAGGGCCAGGTAATAAACGAGTTGGCTAAAATTTCACCCACTGGATTCAGGAATCGACTCAGTGGTCATTTCCCAAGTTCCTGAGAATATCATTGGAATTGGCTTAGCATTTGGAATAACTCCCACATTCGGTCCTTGGGCTATCATAGGGGAAGAGGTTAAGTGGAAACCTCTGAAACTGTCCCCAAACCCTAGCCAAGATAATAAATTAAAAAAACAGTATCGCCAGGCACAGTGTCCCATGCCTGTAATCCCAGCAGTTTGGGAGGCCGAGGCAGGCGGATCACCTGAGGTCGGGAGTTCAAGACCAGCCTGACCAACATGGAGAAACCTCTTCTCTACTAAAAATACAAAAATTAGCCAGGCGTGGTGGCACGTGCCTGTAATCCCAGGTACTCAGGAGGCTGAGGCAGGAGAACTGCTTGAACCCGGGAGGCAGAGGTTGCAGTGAGCTGAGATGGCGCCACTGCACACCAGCCTGGGTGACAGAACGAGACTCTGTCTCAAAACAAACAAACAAGCAAGCAAACAAACAAACAAATACTATCATATCCCATGAGATGGTAGAAATGATTGCTACAATTAAAAACTTAAATGATGCAGGAGTAGTAATCACTCCATTTCTGTTTAACTCACCAATGTGGTCCGTGCAGAAACCAGCTGGGTCCTGGAGAATAACTGTGTACTATTACAGACTTAATCAAGTAGTAAACCTGATGATTATAGTTACTGTGCCAGATGTGATACTGTGCTAAGCAGATTAATAAAACTTCAGGTACCTAGTTTTTAGCCATTGATTTGGACAACATATTCTTTTCCATTCCAATTAGGAAAGAAGATCAGAAAAGGTTTGAATTCAGATGAAATAGACAATAATATTGATCTCCGATTTTGTCTTGGGGCTATGGTAACACTCTTACCCTTTGCCATAATTTTGTCTGAAAAGGTCTGAATCACCTATGAGTCCCTCAGAACACCACCCTGATTCATCACATCAATAAAATCATGATGACTGGACAAAAGAGGAAGAGGTGGCCAGTATGCTAGAAGCCTTGGTTAGATACATGCTCCAAAGGGTGGAAGATGAACTCTACAAAGACTCAGGACCTGCTAGTACAGTGAAATATTTAGGAGTCCACTGGCCATTACCTCCAAAGTAAAAGACAAATTGCTGAATCTGTGAACAAACATGGGAGGGGGCATGAAGTGTGAAGATTTTTTGTATTGTCCCTTAATGTTCAGCAAATAGCAACTACCATGAAAAAAGTACTCAACAGATAAGTAGACAAAATGACTCACCCAGTTGATTTTAGTCATCCCAGAACTGACACAGTGGGTACGTGAATGAAGTAGCCCCAGTGGCAGGCATGGAGGCTATATATATATGGGCCCAACAGCATGGTCTACCACATACTGAGACAGACATAGCTACTGCTGTCTCTGAGTGGCCAGCTTGTCAGAACCAAAATCAGTGCTAAGCCCCCAATAACATACTTCTGACCTGTTTTCTCCTTGCCTTCTGTGAAGTATCTGTCACACCCTTTATGAGATGGGAGTGGAACAGAGGTGAGCTCATGGAAAGGTACCTACTCTTGTGACTCCTCTACCGGCTGTCTCAAGTTACCAGACAAATGGATGATTCAACATGCTGGTGGGAAAAGAAAAATACCAATTTTTCCATTCAAGGTTAGTTACTTCAAGAAAAAGAAATGACATAAAATGTGGAGATTGTCCATGAGAAAAGTGAAAAAATTAAAATAATAGACCATTAAAAGAATCCTAACCCGCAGGGGGAAAAAAAAACTAATAAAAAGATCAGATCAGTTTCTTCCAAAAAAAAAAGGCTAAATGAGACTGGTAATATAAAGAACAATGCTATACAAGGAAAGGCAATTTTCAAAAAGTAAGAAGGTATCACAGAAGCACATGTGTTAAATGTATCAACTAAAATTTAGACATGTCAAAAAAAAACTCAAGAAGTATACTTGAGTATCTTGAGGGACTCAAAAATGAATACTAGAAGACTCTAAAATCACTAAATGGTAGAGTCCAGTTGAAATATAATAAGCCCAAATTTAATGTCTTGCTTTAGGAGGATCAGGGGATTCCCAAGCCACATTTTGCTTCTGCAAAAACAAATTAGAGGAATTAGATCAAATTGTGATCATGCTTAGGTCATCTACAACGAATTAGCTAACCATTTATAGAACGACTCCTTAGAAACAGATATTTTTCCAATATTTCGCCACTTTTATTAATATTAAAGTTCTTACCAAAGGCCATAGCTACTCCTTATGGTGCCTTTGTAAGAAATAGAAAAAGATGTTCCCTTGGGAATTTCAGCTTCCACTCTCCCTTGTGAAGGGGCAACCTTATTCCACTCACATACCCACTCAGCAAATAAAACTACCACCTACCCCACATAGAAAACTGAGACCAAGAGTGGCAAACTCCTTCAGCTTCTGTCTTCCCCTTTGATTTACCTCTATCTTTGCGTGTTTTCTGCTGTGTGATTCTTTCCACACATACCCCATCCTCCTCTCCTTTTCTATCCTCCAGGTTCCAGCCATACCCCATTTACACGCTCACCCCTTTAGTCCTGCACTTTCTATGTTTTGTCTTCCTCAGCCTTCAAGGAGACATAAGTCTCCTTACTTTAAAAACACAAAAGTTTTCCCTCCACAAACTTGTTGAAAAAGCACTGCTCCTCTTTATCCTCCCTTGCTCACCTGTCATTTACTCCTCCACGCTCTGCACTATTGTATTACATCTCACCCCTCGATTCAAAGACACAAAAAGGTCACTTTGACTCACTAAATCACAATAATTTCTGTTTCTATCCTTGACATCTCTGCATCATTTGACTCTATTGACCTTCTTTCTTTAAACTTCCCCTGGCTTTTTGGAGAGTTCTACCTCTCTGACTTCTCTTTCTCAGCTTATTATTCTGTCTTTTATTGATTTTTTAAAAGGGCAGGGGAGCGGCGCAGTCTCATCTCTTTCTAAGGTTTAATGATGGCATCTACTGTGGAATAAAAGATCATTGAAAACTTGTACACACTTAATGTTGGTAGAAAATATATTTTATTTTATCGGGGGAAATCCTGTCTAAATAACATTTTAGACTTCTTAGAGAACAAAAAAAACTAAATGTCTTGCTAAGCATAGCAATAGATATAATGTTTTTGGAAGTGTTTGATAGGATTCTGTACTAAAAACAATTTAATAAAACAGAAATCACCACGAAAAATACTTAATGGATAAAAACTGCCCTAAAAACACTAACCATAAGGTCATAGGCTAAATGGTGCTTGCATGTGTAGTCAGTGAACTGAACAAGCACTAACATGTGCAATGTAATCAGAAAAACAACTTTCTTTTTTCTCTTCCCTCACTAACTTAAATTTATTCAGTGGGTCTTGCTTTCCCCTTCCTCTCTGTAGAAACTTGACTTTTCTTCTTACCCTTATATACTAAGAGTTCACTTTGTTGGTTCACTTTAAGATTCTCCCTTGACTTGAGATAAAAGTGGAGGTGATACTCCCTTCACAGTGAGTTCGAGATTCTGTGAAGTGGGTGTCCCCTTTTAAAAAATATATCACTTCTACAAATGCCTAGTAAAAACACCCTTTCATGCCATTGATGTGAGTAAGGACTCTAAGAGTACTGTAACTTTTACTAGTATCACTCTAAAATTCATAAATTCACAATTTTCTTGGGTACCCGTTACGTTTCACATTAGGACATCAGCCAAAACTTCCACTTGAACATTCCATTACGCTTGAATGAAGAGGTTTAAACAGCGAGGCATATCAGAGATTGGCTCTAAAGCATCCTTATGAAACAGGTTGGTAAATGATTCACAGGTGAACATATGCGTGAAATCTCCAAAGTGGCATATGACACGAAACTTCCAGTTAGTAAAATGCCAAGTCAATAGAATAAACTGCAGGAAGATTTCACCAGGCTGGGTGAGTGGGCAGAAGAGTGGCAGATGAGTGTTCAAGGACAAGAGAGCAGATGCTTTCAGGACAAATAATCCAAACGTAATTCTCAGGGAAGTGGTCTCCTGGGTATCAGTCATGATCCTCTGGAAAGATGGGCTTCAGAAAGGTACAAACTTGCATACAAAACAAGGCTCCTATTTACAGTTCATATGTTACTGGAATTTTTTAAATTAATGCATGTTTGAACTAAAGTTCTTTATCTTCATTAAAGTCATTCTGTTTTTCAGTGAAGGACAGGGTACATGAATTTCAAAACCAAATTTCAGGACCATGTTTTATAGCAGGAATTTACCTTCAGCCAACATTTTCATGTCTATTTGTAAATAAAGTAAGTTTTTCAAACATAAATTTATTATTCTTCGTACAGAACTACTTAGAAGGTCTTTAGTATGAATATGCAAATATATTTTCCTTTTTGTTTCTATTAAGATGTGTGTATATCTTTATCTACGTATTTTCTCTCAATCGGGTGTGTGTGTGTACAGTTGATAATACAAATATGGAATTATTTGAGGTGTAATTAAAAGTCCTCAAAGGACTTTCTCAAGATTTTTTTTCCCATTGAAGAGGGGAGGCATTGGATAGCTGGTGCAATTTCTGCTAATAAAAATAAATGTCCTTCAGACAGGAATTAGATAAGCAGCTTGTTTCTGCAAAACTTGAACTGCAGCCAGTCTTGTACAAACTCATTTCATAAATATTTCCCTCTTCAAAAAAAAAAATTGAGAAGATGGATGTATTCAAAATTTTCCAGGAAGGTACTAAGAATTCTGCTCATGATTATCTCAGGAGGAAGCTTCCATCTGTTCTCTCTAATAGTTTAACTTGCTCTACTTTGTTCCATATTTCTCAACGAGGACTTTGGAGTTTCTGCATAAGATCAACTATTTTTCTCATTTCCCTCTTTTATTAAAATACCACACTTATATGAAGGATGAGCCCTCTGCTATATTGCTTACAGTGCTATTTTAGGATAGAGAAAATATTTTGTCACAAAGAAAGACTTCCTGACATCTCTATGGCTATATAAATATTTATAATTTATATATCTTTTTAAATGCTATGATTTTTTTTTTTTTTGAGACCGAGTTTCGCTCTTGTTGCCCAGGCTGGAGTGCAATGGCGCAATCTTGGCTCACCACAACCTCCGCCTCCCGGGTTCAAGCGATTCTCCTGCCTCGGCCTCCCGAGTAGCTGGGATTACATGCATCCACCACCACGTCCAGCTAATTTTTTTTTATTTTTAGTAGAGACGGGGTTTCTCCATGTTGGTCAGGCTGGTCTCGAACTCCCGGCCTCAGGTGATCCGCCTGCCTTGGCCTCCCAAAGTGCTGGGATTACAGGCATGAGCTACCATGCCCGGCCCCTTAAACGCTATGATTCGTTGATTTTGAAGAGTCTCAGTCTCCATCTGATTTCTCTGCTTCCCTGATAAACCTTCTTCAATCCCTACATTAGTTTGTATAATGATCAGACCCAAAGCCTAACCATTACCCAAGTGATTTGAATATGAAGCATGACTATAAACCAATGTGAGTAATTTTCAAAGTGAACAGGATTTGAAGATAGTTCAAAGAAAGGAACTCCAAAAGCCTTTTGAACCATGGCAGTAGCATTGAAACAAGCACATAACTTTTTCTGCTGAATCCTTTGAATATATATGCTGTAGTATTCACTTACACAACCATGCACACTTTTTATCATCTCCTTCATTCTTGGTATTAATATGCTATACTGTGTCTTCTCTGAAATAAAACTTTCTCACTTTAATATTCATAATTCTCATGACAAAAGTAAGTACATTTTAACTTTCAGCAGCAACTTTTTCTTCATTACGTTCTCACATTTAAATATGAAAAATATGGAAGTTAACGTCTAAAAGTTTTTTTTTAATTAGAGGAAGTTCTGGTTATATATATATATATATATATATATATATATATATATATATATATTTTTTTTTTTTTTTTTTTTTTTTTTTTGAGACGGAGTTTCGCTCTGTCGCCCAGGCTGGAGTGCAGTGGCGCGATCTCGACTCACTGCAAGCTCCGCCTCCCGGGTTCACGCCATTCTCCTGCCTCAGCCTCCTGTGTAGCTGGGACTACAGGCACGCGCCACCATGCCCGGCTAATTTTTGTATTTTTAGTAGAGACGGGGTTTCACCGTGTTAGCCAGGATGGTCTCGATCTCCTGACCTCGTGATCCGCCCGTCTCGGCCTCCCAAAGTGCTGGGATTACAGGTGTGAGCCACCGCGCCCGGCCTGGTATTATATTTAAAAAAGAAAAAACTCCTGGGCCCATTAATTCATGGCTTTAAGTTACTTGTTTGGAAACTTAGAGGCTTTTCTGCTGCCTCAGTGTTCCAATTTTTTAAAAATGCAAACGAAGTCCATATGAAGGCATTCTTAACTCCCATGTGAAAGGTGGTGCTTTATAATAATCCCCTTCTGATGGGCTCCTGTAATTTTCCGCCACAAATTACTATTCAAGTTACTTTCAAGCAGACACATCTTTCATATGCTCTAAATACAGGATAGACCTTGGCGTGAGAGTGGAAGACAGTCCAAATCATGCTGTAATCTACCATTTTCTGCTTCAAACATGTTTATATGGGAACATCAGTTTAAAAGAAATCAACCTTAAAGGAGAGAATGAGGAAGTCCCAAAAGAACCACACCCAGTATGGGCCAAGGGTGTGCATAGAAGACAAGAGAGTCCTACCTGCCTGTCTTGATGACCAAGGGTAGTAGGTTGAGCTTACTGCATATATTAATATATCTGTAGGAATTTTCCCCCTAACACATATTGAGGACAGTGAGTCTTATAACCCCACGAGCCAGGTAGGATTATTATCCTCATATTTTACAGATGAGAAAAGTGTATTTCAGGTCTCCTTTAGCACCAGTTGGGGAACTGGCCAACTGCCTGAGTGAGTCACAGTCCAGATGCTCAGTCCTGCAGCCACAGAGCCCAAGACAATGATCCAATGTTTTTTGGCACCCCTAGCTTTAACTGTGCCCAGAAAGCATCCTGAATATATGATAATATATGCTTTTCAAAAACTACATATTGGGGCCAGGTGCGGTGGCTCATACCTGTAATCCCAGAGCTTTGGGAGGCTGAGGCGGGCAGATCACGAAATCAGGAGATCGAGACCATCCTGGCCAACCTGGTGAAACCCCATCTCTACTAAAAATACAAAAATTATCTGGGCGTGGTGGCGCGTGCCTGTAATCCCAGCTACTTGAGAGGCTGAGGCAGGAGAATATCTTGTACCAGGGAGTTGGAGGTTGTAGTGAGCGGAGATCGCACCACTACACTCTAGCCTGGCGACAGAGCGAGACTCTGTCTCAAAACAAACAAACAAAACAAAAACAAACAAACAAACAAAAACCTCCATATTGTACTTATTATCATACAATATCTGTATTAGTGAATATTTCTTTTTGGTATTTGACTCATGAACTATCATTTGAGAGCTTATTTTCACTTTGCCTTTTGTGCCAATCTAAGAAAGCATTGGCACGGATGTTGGAAGTGGGCAACTCGCCCACCCAGCAGGACTATGCCCCTTCACAAATTAGCCAAACACCAAAATTCGTTGTCACATCTCTTAAAATTAAAGCTAGAATTGAGGAAAGCCACCACCAGGGGGCAATAAATATCACATGGTCAGACCAGAAATAAATGAGTGGCCAGCAGCCATATTTGGTTTGATTCAAATGGTTTGTTGGCTTGCTTTATTTATTTATTTATTTATTTATTTATTTATTTATATTTTTTAAGACGGAGTCTCGCTCTGTTGCCCAGGCTGGAGTGCAGTGGTGCGATTTCGGCTCACTGCAAGCTGTGCCTCCCGGGTTCACGCCGTTCTTCTGCCTCAGCCTCTCGAGTAGCTGGGACTACAGGCGCCTGCCACCACGCCCGGCTAATTTTTTTGTATTTTGTTTAGTAGAGGCGGGGTTTCACCGTGTTAGCCAGGATGGTCTTGCTCATTTTAAATTTAAGCCAACAGCTAATAATCAGGAGTGCCCACATAACAATATGGATTTTCAGTCTTTCTTGAAAAATCAGAAGATCTAGCAATTACTAGCTCTTCATTCCCTCAAGATAACCATTAGCTATAGCTGAACCCAGCTGCCCCACTTAAATAGCCAGGCACTTTCCAGCACTCAATGTACATCTATGCTCGTGTGCTTACATCCAGCCTCCTTCAGTTTACCTACCTGGCCTCTGTGGCATTTTGAGTGGATGAACCTCTTATCCAATCAGGCTATGGCAAGAAGTATGGTTACAAGGTAGATTATATTGCATTAACCTTCTAGACTTCTTTAAAAATGTTAACTTGGTTATTTAAAAATGGGGCCAGGTGTGGTGACTCATGCCTTTAATCCCAGCACTTGGGGAGGCTGAGGCAGGCAGATCACGAGGTCAAGAGATGGAGACCATCCTGGCCAACATGGTGAAACCCCATCTCTACTAAAAATACAAAAATTAGCTGGGTGGGGTGGCATGCACCTGCAGTCCCAGCTACTTGGGAGGTTGAGGCAGGAGAATCGCTTGAACTGAGGAGGCAGAGGTTGCAGTGAGCCGAGATCCTGCCACTACATTCCAGCCTGACAACAGAGCAAGACTCCGTCACAAAAACAAAACAAAACAAAAGGACATTGCACCATCAAGTAATACAAACATTAAACATTAAGATGAGATTAAGGTATTTTAAAATGATCGAACTTTTGATACTGATATATATTTTCACTAATGCTTAATTACTTTAAATCAACTTATTCTATCTCTGTTCTTATCCTCTGACTGAAACAGAAATTTCTGTATTCATCCTGGATCCACATTCTGGAGGCGTCAGGACCCTCCTAAAGATGCTGTATATTTTGTTAACTCAAACCAGTTAGGTATCTGGTCATTGCTTTAGTTGCAGGTAAAAGCAAGAATGGCACAGTTGCCATAACAAATTTACTTAGATGCTGTTTCTCAACTTCTTACCTATTTCATTCTCTCTCGAGCGTGAACCTTAGAAACATTGCTTTTTGAATACAATCTCTATCAGCTCAACCATAATGAAACTTAAAATTTGGGTGTTATAATGTGAGAGAGAATGGTTCAGGATTATAAAAATAGAATAATCAGTCTTTCAGATTCAGAATATTTCTTAGTTAAAATGTCAACTAATATAGACCCAATATAACTTTTCTTACATTGTATTTACTATGTAATCATAAATCTATGGATTTCAAAATAAAACCATAGCAAAACATATTTTGTTGCATTGCTGGGAAGCACTAAGCACAGATAATCTATCAGAACAATAGTATAGAAATTACTTTTTTTCAAGGTTTTGATATCAAATTTGCCCCTAATCAAATGACATAAAGTTGGATGGCTTAACCAGTGAGATAGTCACACATAGTTCTAAAATGTACTCATTCATTTACATAGTTCTTCTACATGCCGGCTACTGACTAGATGCTGGGAAGACCACTGTGAAATGCCATGGTTCCTGCTAACAAGTGCCTGTCAGTCCCCTCTGGCTCTAAGGAGGTCTCTCTCTAAGAAAGCAGGATGGGGTGAAGGTGAGAGTGTAGAAAGTGAGTAAAAGAGGGCAGGACAAGAACGCTAGCTAGCGAGTCCAGAGTTTAGCAAATATATGGATTAGTAGAAATCGCAGGTCCACCTTAGAGGTGAGAAGATTTCGACTATGAGATGCCAGTGGGGCTGCCACAGGCAGGTTTTTAGTGAGAGCATTACACAGACACCTACTGGAGCAGCCAAGGTACCGAAGCCCAGACCCAACTTCGCTCGTCAAACCTCATGCCCTGGAGCAGGAGGGAGGCTTAATCTGCCTCTACAAATGACCACCTTCTTCCAATTAGCAAAAAAACACTGCATAGGATATCTGTGTCCCTGGATCCAAAAGTACATTATTTTTGACAATTCTTAAATATGTTTACAGAAAAAATTGTCCCTATTACATTTTGAGGCATGAATTTTTAGGCAACATGGACATGAGACTGTCTTTTATTTAGACATTTTTGAAAGTCAATGGAAAATGTATTTTCTCAAGGCCTAGAACCAAGATTTCTGAGACATCTATATTTTGCATAATGTGACACATCCATTTTATTTATTTATTTATTTATTTATTTATTTATTTATTTGAGATGGAGTCTTGCTCTATCGCCCAGGCTGGAGTGCAATGGCGCGATCTTGGCTTACTGCAACCTCTGCCTCCCAGGTTCAAGCAGTTCTCTTGCCTCAGCCTCCCAAGTAGCTGGACTACAGGTGCGTGCCACCATGCCTGGATAATTTTTTGTATTTTTAGTGAGATGGGATTTCACTGTGTTAGCTAGGATGGTCTCGATCTCCTGACCTTGTGATCTGCCTGCTGCGGCCTCCCAAAGTGCTGGGATTATAGGTGTGAGCCACCGTGCCCAGCCGACTATTATCATATTATGCAAGAAAAACATCAAGTTTCAGTGTGATCCATAATCATTTATTATTTGAACAAGATTATTCTCATGTACTTGTTTCAAGTCTTAAAATTTATGGCTCTACATAAAATAGAAGAAAGCTGCCTAATCTTTTCTAATACAGAGTGCTGATGTGGAGTTTAAAGTCCACTTCATCTTTACCCAGGTTAAATTTCCTGTAAAACACCTGGAAGAATCCCTCATGCTAAAAGAAAGCAACTTATTCCTGCAGATCATATGGGGCAGAGAAAAAAAATGAAATAAAGCAGTTTATGTACTCATGTTCATAAAAACTGTACTGTGAACCTAAAACACAAAACAAACCATTGTACGGGTGTGTCTTTCATTGAACCTAGAGTCTGACAGCTTTCCAGCAAGGCAATCTAAGATACAGTATTTTTGTGATTCCTTAACTGTCAAAATTTGAGTATTCATTGTGCAAAGCATTGTGGAATTAAGCAGATAAAAGAAAAGATACAGTTTCTGCCTTCATAAGGATAAGGTTACTTTGGTATTGAAATCTTTCTTTTCAGAAAGCTTACAGCAGAGACAAAATGGGTAGAATATGAGCAAATTTGTGTAGCTGCTTTCTCTGTTTTCGTCTGTTTTTGGCACCCAGTAGCCTCTCCTGGTCTCTCAGAGTCCCTCATGACTCACTTCCAAAAGTCCTCCTCCTTTCACTTCCTTCTTTTATTATGCTTATATCAAAATTACTTGCTTAAATCTATTTTCTTAAAGACCTGTTGCCAAAGTGATAGCTAGCTATTCTGGTAAACTAATCCATGCTAAGGTACATTCTACTTTTATCCCTTCAAGTAACATATTACACTTTAACTGTCTTTTTAGAGACAATGTCTTAATGCATAGAAGTCTAATGGTGGGGATTTCTGCATACATGATGGGCCTTTCAGTGTTCCCCAAATACATCATCTGAAGGGCTGCCAACATTATCTCCCTGTCCTGAGGGTGGGGAAGAAAATAAATGGGCTAAATCTTCATTGCTTGGAGGAGTTCCTAATATCATGCTTGCCAAAACCCAGGAGAGGTAGGTAGGTCCGTCCACACCTTTGCAGGGTCCTTTGCTTCAACAAGCCCAGCCCGGTTTTCCACAACTCCTAACAGGGAAAAAAACGTTTCTCAAAAAAGATGTGCAAGTGACATATGGAGCAGGACAATTCTTTGTTTCTCATAATGGTATTATACATGGCAGGACATTTTAGCATCCCTGGTTGCAACCCACTAAATTCCAATAGCATCTCCCTTCCCTCATTGCTGTCTGTCTGGTCACTGTGACAACCAACATGACTCCCGCACATTTCCAAATATGTGGAACAACCCTGGTGAGAACTATTGGACATTCCTTTTAGAGCCAGTTAGAACCTTTTCTCTGCAGGAAGCACCATATGTTCCATCAGCCTCACTTGAAAGAGGTTGAGTGGCCTTGGATCTCCACTGACCAGGTTCAGGAATACAGTGCATGTGTGGAAAAAGGCAGACATAAACTCTCCCCTTTAACATCCATAAACCAATTCTAGCCTACAATCTTACCATGATTCAGAAGTGCAGACTAAAAGAATGGGGCTTTTTTTCTGAAAGTAAAGGCTTTCTTCAGATGGCAGCTGACTGAAAACGTTTGGTGGTTTGACATTGATCTTCCTAATATTGTGACAGCATCCCTTAAAGAAGCTATTCCCTTTGAGGATAGCACGACTTCAGATTTTCATCTAACTAAAGTTAGAGTCACATTATATCGCATGATCAAAGATCATTTTAAAAGAATCACACATAAGGAAAAATTGGAATGGTACCACTACCAGCTATTTATTGAGTGCCTATTATGAGCGAGGCACTGACTAGGAGGTAGGGTTAGAGATTTCCATAAGATAACCTTCTGCCCTCTAGTGAGAGAGATGGCCATGTAAACATTCCATCCAAACATTCATTATTAAGTAGCCTATAATAGAGAAAGTAACAAGGCAGCCACCAGTAGAACTTGAGGAGGAAGGAACAATTACCTGAATTTGGAGATCATGTGAATCCAATGGTGATAGGAACGTGATAGAATTTATATGTTGCCTTCTCTGGATTCCCAGATGCAGACAAATTATACAAGGTGAGCAAAACAATCCCTTCTAGATGTCAAACAATCCTGTCTCCTCTCATGCCATGGTAACACACTAAAATATTTATTTTTTAAAAAAATTTTTCTTGCTTGACACAAATTTTAGTGAGTCCATTTGCATTAATCTCATTAATTTTTCATGAACCTGAGATTAAACGTGTTTAAGATACTGGTGAGAAGAAAAACTACATGTCATTATAACAGAATGTATTGCTAGTTTATAATGAGTAAATCACAGTTTCAGGGGCCATAAAGAGTTTCATCCAGGGAGTAAAGTCCTTTTGTTTTCCTTTAGATAAGATATTTGTGGGGCCGGGCGCGGTGGCTCATGCCTGTAATCCCAGCACTTTGGGAAGCCGAGGCGGGTGGATCACAAGGTCAGGAGATTGAGACCATCCTGGCTAACACTGTGAAACCCCGTCTCTACTAAAAAAATACAAAAAAAAATTAGCCGGGCGTGGTGGCAGGTGCCTGTAATCCCAGCTACTCGGGAGGCTGAGGCAGGAGAATGGCGTGAACCTAAGAGGCAGAGCTTGCAGTGAGCTGAGAGCGTGCCACTGCACTCCAGCCTGGGCAACAGAGCGAGACTCCGTCTCAAAAAAACAAAAAAAAGATATTTGTGTAGAAGAATGAATGTCAACAGTGCTAGTCTATTAAATAATGCTCAAAGAACATGATTAACAGGAAAATAATATGGAGAAAACTTTTAAAGCAATGTATTTAAAAAGTAAAATGTACAGTATCTGTGGAAGCTTTGAGTAAATAAAGGTAAGGTCATGGCTTTTGAGAGTATCAGTATGTTTTAGCAATATCAAAGGTTTATTCCCAAAGTAAGAATTAAGATCAGCTTTCATTTTAAATATTGAATATTTGGTACATAATGATGCTGACTAGGTATGCTGTAGGTGGTTAAATTTTTAGTTATGTTGGTAAGAAAGTCAATTATATTTCTTCCCAATGACCTATGAGTTGGTCAGATGTCAATTCAGGAAAATAAACTTACTCTACTGGGAGTTCCAGGAATGCAGGAGCCATATAGAAATGGCTCTCTCTAGCCCCCATTTCTGAGCACAATGTGTAGCATGTAGGAGGTCCTTGAAAGGGTAGGTAAGTTGGAAAGTATTCACTCCTTTCTGCTAATGCAACAGCCACAGTCCTTAGTGATTCTCTCCATGAACCATGTTTGACATAACACACTGTGGTCATTAACAATAACAACTCTCATCATTATGCATTTATTGTATGTAAGGCACATTATGGCCATTATTTCATTTACGTATTAAACCAACTTCATAAATATTATTATTTGTAGCTTCACAAGTATTAGTATCAACATTTTCAGATGAAGAAACTGAGCCTTAGAGGGGTGAGCAATTTGCTCCAGATGAGGCGGTACTGAAATGAAAATCCAGGTCTCTAAGAACTGGGTCTATTTGTTGAATGCCTATTGTGAGTGAGACACTGTGCTAGGAGGTAGGGTTAGAGACTTCCATAAGATAAGCTTCTGCCCTCTAGTGAGGGAGAGGGCTGTGTATACACTATTCCAATCACTATTAAATGGTAAATGGGCTATAATAGAGGAAGTACCAAGGCAGGAACTGGTAGAACTTAAGGAAGCAGGAACAGTTATCTGAATTTGGAGATCTTGTTAATCCTATGATGATAGGAGAATGATAGAATTTATATATTGGTGTTTTTGGATTCCCAGAGGCAGGCAAGTTATAAAAGGTGAGCAAAACCATCCCATCTGGATGTCAAACAATTGTGTCCCCAGGTCCTAGTTATTTTTGGGCAACTCCACACTGCTCATGACTGTTCAGGGGGCCAGCAAGGGTATATTGAGCAGTGTTGCTGAGCCTACACATTTTTTACCTTGACTGTCCCAAATACAATTCCTGTATGATAAGTGTACTTCACACAGCACTCCCACTGACTGGGAAAGCTTCTCCCTGTTATTTCTGAGAGTGACAGAAGGGGCGTCTCACATGTAGAGGCCAATCAAGTCTCTCCTCTCTTACTTGGATTCCCTCTTGCCAATGTCTAATGCAATTAAAATGGAAGCTCCCTCAAAGAACCTACTGCCACCACTGTTAAAAATAAGTCTGGCAAGCAGTTCATCCATTCATGCCAAGAATGTCCACCCCTAATTCTGCCTAAGTTGCCTTCACCTCGCTGAGTTTCTGGAGATGGGTAGAAAGCCCCCCTCTGCAGCCACCTTGGCTCCACTCCAAGACCCCATTGCTACCACTTAGTGTTCTCACAAGATTTTCCTTTCCTCTTTGTCATCTATAAGCAAAAACTTGTCCCAACAGTAATAAGAAACAACAGTTCTCTGTGTGTTCTACCTCCTGTTTATATACATCTAAGAAAAAATGTTTTCTTTGTTTACTATTAAAATACAAGCAAGCACTCACACACACACACTCACACACACACAGGGAACTTGGAGATAGATGGTCTGGCCCAAAACTACACAGATATTCATTTCCATTGCTAAACCACAAAAATACCCCATTTATATTAATGGTACTTGCCTTATATTTGTGTAAATAACAGAAACTATTCTGGTAGGTTTTTTGTTTTTTTGGTTTTTTTTTCCTAAAATGAAGTAACAATTTACATTAAAGATGAATAAACTAGGCATAGGGGCTCATGCTTGTAATCCCAACACTTTGGGAGGCCGAGGCGAGCAAATCACTTGAGGTCAGGAGTTTGAGACCAGCCTGGCCAACATGGTGAAATCCCATCTCTACTAAAAAAATAAAAATAAAAATTAGCTGAGCACTGTGGCAGGCGCCTGTGACCCTAGCTACTCAGGAGGCTGAGGCGCGAGAATCACTTGAACCCCGGAGGCAGAGGTTGCAGTGAGCCAAGATGGTGCCAGTGCACTCCAGGCTGGGGGACAGAGTGAGACTCTGTCTCAAACAAACAAACAAACAAACAATAAATAAATAAAGATAAATAAATATTCACTTGAAGAGACCAAAAACAGAAAAAAAATTCACAAGTTTTAAAGTTCAACCTCAGGCAAGATACCCTATTACATATAGGTGAAGAAATCTAGTCAGAATATTAAGCTTGTTTGGTAATTAAAATCACATAGGTCATAGCAGAGCCAGGGTTAGAAATCTAGATTTTCTGATTCCCAGTGTAAAGCTCTTTCTTCGGGGGAAAGACGGGGAAGGAGGTCGAGAGAGGTGTACTGTAGTTGGATACTTTTTCCTCTGTAGGAGAAAGAAGAATGGATTTCTCTGTCCTGCCTTTGGTTAGTTTTTGGTCATTTTCTAGGTATGTGTCATTTCTGGCTCTTGCATTTTCAACACAGTCGACTCTTGTACACTGAGCTCAGTGTCTCCGTGGTTTTCTGGAATGCTTAACGTGAGCCTCTTTTAAAAGGAGAGTTACACAGGCTGCCTAAACATTGCACAGACCTCCTGATTCTAAAAATATGCTGTCTGTTTGGTTAAAATGGTTAAATTATTATTAAGTCTCATTTCATTGTAGCTTGAATTGTACCTGAATTCTTTTCATTGTTTTCCTTTTCAACTTCCTATGTTCTGGTCCATCTTTCCACCGTCAGTTTTTTATCTTTTAACAAATTATTATATGCTCCTTATAGTCTAGAATTATTTATTTAGGCTTCCACATAAATCAGTTTCTCCAGATTTTCATTAATGTTCAAACTTTTTCCCTTAGTGTAGTTGCCTAGATATACTGCCTGAGGGCCTGGATCATGATTTCACCAGTATTAAGTGCAATATTAATATTCAGCTCATCTCCCTCTCCCTGATCCAGGAAGGCACTTCTTTTCCTCATCTTCATCAGGAAGCAGAGAGTTATGCATCTGCCAGCTTCAGTAATGCTGTTGGCTGCTCTGGGTATGGTGTGGCCAAAAAAAATGTTGGGGGTAGGTTTGTAGCAGCTGTTTTACCACATTCCTGTAAAAATACCGGCAAGCGTAGACTGCTCCTCTCAAGGCACGAATGGCCTTCTCCTGCTCTGTTAAATATGGGGAGGAAGTCTGTCCACGTACAGCTGTGGCTGATCCCTGTTAGAATACAGGGTCGCAGACTTTAGTATATGCAAGCACTACCTGGAGGTGCAGAGTCTTGGACTGCACCCCTAGGCTCTAGGATTCTGTCTATCTAGGGTAGATCCCAGGGACCCTTTGGCAGCATGCCGGGTGATTCTGATGCAGGTCATCTGCAGAACATTCTTTAAGAAATACTGATTAAGTCTTTGGAATTAGGCTCATTATTCTTTAAACAATATTTTTTAAAGAGAAATAAAAAAAAAACTGTGGCTGGATGGCCAGTTTTGAGGAATGTTATAGAGGAAATTAATAAACAGATTGAGGAAATGGACTGGATTTCTAAAGTCCATTCCTTTCCACCTCTGCAACTCTATGATTCAGCACTTTTTAAAGATTAAATATAGTATATCTGAATCCATGGAATTTAGGAGAGATTTCTTGGCATCTTTCTATCTCTACTGAAGATCCTCCAAGATGAAAGATTATGCTAAAATGTAGAAAATGTGAGTATAGCAGCTTTGGTACCTTCCTGGAGCTATTCTTTGCTCACTAAACCTACACTCTAGTGTATGGTCCCTCCTCATTGTCACCTTCTGGGAGTAGTTTGCTTGGTTTTACAAGATTAGGACTGAAGTGGGTAGTTTCTGAAAATAGGAGAAGAGAAGGAATGTGCCCTGAGGATTGAGGTGAGCCTTAAAAATGGAAGGGGAAGATTTGGAACATCAGAACAGGGCAGGGCTCACTATGGGTGGAGATGGCAGATTTTATGTGAACAAGACATTTCTGTATGAAACTATTGTGCAGAGGTTAAGGGACAGGAGCAGTGACGAAGCCTCAAATTCTGTAAAGAAAAAAACTTAAGATGCCTGGAAGATGCTTCCTTAAATTCACAATATCATATATAAAGGATTTCCATAAAAATTTCCAGAAAGCTGTTTTTAATGTGGACAGGAAAAATTGCCATAGAAAGTTGGAGGGGGGAATGCAAATGAACTAGGGAATATAAAAATAGGTCCTTGGCACCACGACTGTCTTATTCTGTTTATCTTATTCAAGAGGCAACACACACAATAGAATTCTAGAGAAAAAGACCTGATTATGTGGCAGCTTCAACTAAGGGAAGGATAGAAATTCTGAATAAACCTAAAGGACAACAGCCCCCTAACAAAGCAGATGCCACTTCGTTCTCCTACTTCAGAGGGATGGCCACAGACCCCCCCCCCCCGCCCCTCAGAGGCAGCTTCCATTTGACTGTCAAGTAGCAAATAAATGTTTAAACACACATGGAAATTTCTCCGAGAACTTCCCTGTGAGTTATCTTTCACATGCAAATAGAAGTTGTGAATTTCTGAACAGGGATATTCTAAAGGAGGATGAGAAGCCCGGCTAGGGAGAGGACCCTTTAAGAAAAATCAAAGCCAAGTAGAAAGGGAGAGTCAAAGTAGACAAAAAAATTCAAGAGAAACCCTCAATCCAGATGGTCTACCGAAGCGGAGAATGCAGAAGGGGTGGAACCTAGCACAGTGCCTGGTACTTAGGAACATTCTATAAATATTTGTGGAAGAAAGACTGGGATTCCTAGTAAAAGCTTCCTAAATTGTTGAAAGGTGATTAAAAAGCTAGCCCTGTTACAACTAAAAGACAAATGGGACCAAACTGAGGATCCAAACAGAAAAGGATCTTTTATCAGAGATCAATGCAGAAACATGATTCAGGACAGGAAAGTAAAGCAGGCAGCTTAGGCCACTGGTAAATGATCCAGAGGAATGTAAGACAGACTAGAAGTGTGGTACAAAGATATGCCTGGCAGGAACTTCCCTGCTGAGAGCCCAGGAGAAAGAATGCCTTGAGGCTGTACTTGCATTTTATTTCTTCTGTTCATAGTCCTGCCACTCGCTTTTCCCTTTCTCAAACCCCTCTTTCTATGTAAAATTTAGTTCTGCTTCAGATTGATTTGTGTATGTTGAAATGCAGTGGTCAGGGTAGTAGAAAGGAAGTGAGTTAAAGAAGTAGGAAAAGGATGCTGGGCACGGTGGCTCACACCTGTAATCCCAGCACTTTGGGAGGCTGAGGCCGGCAAATCACAAGGTCAGGAGTTTGAGACCAGCCTGGCCAACATGGAGAAACCCCGTCTCTACTAAAAATACAAAAAATTACCGGGCGTAGTGGTGGGCGCCTGTAATCTCAGCTACTTGGGAGGCTGGGGCAGGAGAATAGCTTGAACCTGGGATGCGGAGGTTGCAGTGAGCCAAGATCACTCCAGTGCACTCCAGCCTGGGCAACAGAGCGAGACTCTGTCTAAAAGAAATAAAAATTAAAAAAAGACGTAGGAAAAGGCCAGGATACAAAGGCACAGTCTTTGATGGAGGCATTTTCTTTCTCTTTGACTCCTAAATGTTGGCTTAAGACAGACTCAAAATTTGTCATCAGATTTAGCTGGTGTAACATGCTCTAGTTTTTCATGGGTGCAGGGGCAGATCTTTCACTATATATATATTCAGGTAAACTTTATTGGTTAGTGATACAGTTTGGCTGTGTCACCAACCCAAATCTCATTTTGAATTGTAGTTCCCATAATCCCCATGTGTCATGGGAGAGACCCAGTGGGATGTAATTTAGTCATAGGAGTGGTTACCCTCATGCTGTTCTCATGACAGTGAGTGAGTTCTCACAAGATCTAATGGTTTTATAAGAGGCTTTTCCCACTTTTGCTTGGCACTTCTCCTTGCTGCTGCCATGTGAAGAAGGACATGTTTGCTTTCCCTTCCATCATGATTGTAAGTTTCAATCTGAGGCCTCACCAGTCATGCTGAACAGTGAGTCAATTAAATCTCTTTCCTTTATAAATTACCCAGTCTCAGGTATGTCTTTATTAGCAGTGTGAGAACAGACTAATACAATTAGTAAACCTTGAGCTCTGAACCTGGGAGGCAGATGTTGCAGTGAGCCAAGATTGCGCCACTGCACTGACCCAGTCTCAAAAAAAAGAAAAAAAAATCTAGTAAACCTTGAGTTCCAACAACAAGCATTTCCTGCCTCCCTTTATGTTAGACCACAGCATTAAGAGAAGCAGCCACACTATCCTTGCCCTTCTCTACCTTAATAGACACACAGGATTATTCAAGCTCAGACTTGATGAGTCAGTAAGATTTCACCAGTAGCAAAGAGAAAAGATAAGGGCTTTTTTGAGCAGAACGAATGGCATGTGCAAGAACAGTGACAGTTTCCAAATGACAATTTAGGAGGGCCTTAGAGGTAGCAATTTGACTCAGTGGTGGGCTAGAAGCTGTTTGTGCATAGCATTCTATATAAGATTCATAATATATCAATTTTGCATATCAAATAAAGGATGGACTTCATGCATATCATAAGGAATAAAGACACCCAAATCTCCCCTTGTGCTGCTACCATGCAGGGGCCATGATATAGTTCTGGCATATTTAAAGATCCAAAAGAAGGTAATTTTAGCTGGAGCATAGAATGTTAGTGGTAGACTGGCTGAAGATGTACCTAAAATTTAGGCAGAGCCAGAGAGGTATTGTAGGAATATTACAAATTTTTAATTTTATCCTAAATGTAATGGGAAGCCATTATGGGTTTTAAGCTGGAGAGTAGCATGATCCGATTTATGTGTAAGAAGATCACTATAGCTCCTGGATAGAAATGGATTGCAAGGGACAAGGAGCTAACATCTGTTGAGTTTCTGTGTGTGCCTATCCCTGAACAATATGCATGCATTACTTCATTTAATTCTCACAATAGTTGTGAGAAGTGTGAACCATTATCTTCACTTTATAAGTGAGGAAACGAAGACCTTTGAGGCTATATAAATTGTCCAGAGGAACATAAGGAGGAGCAAGAAAATGAGTACAATTCCTTCTATTAATGTGAAATTAATGCATGGGGCATACCATACACCCAGTAAAATCTCAGTGATGGTTTTGTTGTAAAATTCTGTAGGTAGATGATTGTCATATCCAGAATGCAGTGATCAGGGAAGGGTTAATACATGATTTTGCAACAAGGAAGTTCATGATCCTGGCTGCTCATCTGAGAGATACTGGATATAGCCATTTATGATTGAAGCTATTATGGGATTTCACTCTTAAAAATCCCTCTTATCATTGTTAAATGTGCAAAAGACCTCTTTTCACTGTTTTCATCTTTTTGTCAGGTTGTTTTCCAGGAAGTGGTTGCTAGGAGTGAAAGAGTTTTATTATTTAGAGATAAGTGGAGCCTAGATATTCCATCTACTTAAAAAGAACATAAAAAGAGAACCTTATAGTAATTGAGTTGAAAATTATGTTTGCGACACTGTTTGTACAGTCCACCTGCTTTCTGTTTACTTGTGGTTATCTCCTTTCTCTAATGACTCTGAAAGCACATACTCAGGTTTGCACCAAAACACTATCCTGGAGGCTGTTGGAGGAGTCTGACTGCCAGGGCTCTTCAGGGCCAACAGCTGACTCTAATGACAGTGAGCACGTGCACTCGCAGTGGCTGAAGAGTCTCTTGCCATAAGCATGAGTGCTAGCTGGCTGCACAGTGTATGAATTACTCTTGGATACAGTTGTCTTTATATTCTGATAATGCCTACCACTGAGGGAAAACCTACTGAGATTAAAGTTTTGCCAACCAGACTACAGAGACACTGTTCCACAACCTGGGACAAGTTCCTGCCCAGGACCTCAGGTTATCAAGATAGTGTTGGGCCCCTGGTCTGTGTATCCCCCTGCCCTTTCTCACATATCCCTTAACATTATCTATGATTATTAATCTAAAAATGTGTACTCTTTATTGCTCTTGCAAAACTGCCATGTGCTAAGCTGTTTATAGCTTTTGTCTAGTCACTGCATTTAAAACATTCTTTAACCTTGTTTGGTATTTCCAGTATTCCAAATTCACTTAGAATTCCCATGGTATCTGTTGGAAAAAAATAGACATGAGATTTCATCAGTAAGTGTTTAATAACCTCCAAATAAAAGCCACAACTGTAGCCAGTGCTTGGAATCACAGTTGAGACCCAGGAGGCACCTTTGAGGTCACTCAGGCCAAACTTCCACTTAAAAATGTGGAAAGGGAGACATTGACAAGTCAGGGGATTTGCCCACGTCAACCAGTTCTAGGTGATAGCCAGGCCAGAGCTAGAACTCCAGTCTCCTAACTCTCTATTCAGAAAAGTTTTAAAGAACTACATATAGTATTAAACTTTTAAATAAATAAACATAAGTTTACTCTTTTGAATTGGACTTAAAAGTTATGGCTGGGCGCGGTGGCTCACGCCTGTAATCCCAGCACTTTGGGAGGCTGAGGCGGGTGGATCATCTGAGGTTGGGAGTTTGAGACCAGCCTGAATTAGCTGGGCATGGTGGCACATGCCTGTAATCCCAGCTACTCGGGAGGCTGAGGCAGGAGGATTGCTTGAACCCAGGAGGTGGAGGTTGTGGTGAGCCGAGATCGCACCATTGTACTCCAGACTGGGCAACAAGACTGAAACTCCGTCTCAAAAAAAAAAAGATATGCATCCCAGTCTGTTCATGGGCCTTTGGCCTTACATGCTTATAATTTATTACTACCCTCATGTCTAGGCTTTCCCTGCCTCATTTCCTCCTCTGCCTACATGAACTTACCTATACTGTCTATACTATTCTCTTAGGTCCTTCTCTCAGGAGAATATTAACACAGCTCAGGTGCTAATCAACAAAAATGTCTCCTGTTTTTGCCTAGTACCAGATATCAACTCCTCCCTGTTTCAGTCACTTTCTGGGATTAAGACTTTTTATTCTTGAAAACCCTGTTAAAATGCAATCAGTATTACCTGTGAGGTAAAATTTAGGAAGGCACTACTGTCTGCTGCAATTCAAATCTAAATTTGCCTGACTCCGAATTGTATTCTCCTTTGTATCATGCCTCTTGCATGAGAAATGTCATAGTATCTGGTGCTCAATACTAAGTCTAGCCAATATCTACTGAGGCTGCAGATGCCTCTGGATACTTTTTTTCCCATCTGGAACACATGGGTCAGTGACTATGCCACCATCAGATTAAAGAAAGGATGGGTTGTGAAGATGTCTTCTTTTTCTTGACTCAAATTACATTTCTTAACTTTGGAGTTAGTTGTGGAAATAAAAACAGCTAGTCAGAAATGACATTCAATAGAAAAAGCATAGAATATGTTTACTTGAGTTCACTGATTGGGAAAGAGAAGGTACATCCAAATGAGAATGGTAAGTGGGTGATGGTAAAGGCATAAGCCAGAGTCAAGAAATATGTGATACTTTTAAGGCAAGTAACTGAAATATTGAGCAGATTAATGCTTCTGTCAATTTCCTCACCTAAAAATGAGATTGCACCTACCTGCCCATCTCAAGTGACTGTTATGAAGATGATATGAAATGGGAGAGCATCATGAAGACATAAGATAGAGATCTTAAATGATCTGTGGAATTTTGAAGGGTGGAGAAGAGGTTTAGGTCACACAAGTGATTAAAATGGCATAAGCAAAGAGGAAAGTTGGAAAGGAGGAATGTTGGTTAGGTAAAGGAAAATTGATCATTCTGGCAAAAATGAAGGAAAGCAAATTAAGGTTCAAACACTAATATATTAGGCACAAGCATAGAGGTCTGCTTTATAGCAGAAGGGCAAAGCTTGTTGTCTCAGGATGGATGGATCTGTCTATTATCTCTATCTATCTATCTATCTGTCTGTCTGTCTGTCTATATTTTGTGAGACAGGGTCTCACTCTGTTGCCCACACTGGAGTGCAATGATACAATCACAGATCACTGCAGTCTCAAACTCCTGAGCTCAAGCTATTCTCCTGCCTCACCCTCCTAAAGTTCTGGGATTAGAGGTGTGAGCCACTGTGCCAAACCAATATTTTTTGTTAGGAGAGAAAGGAAGCAATCTGGAGTTATAGAAATCATTCAGAGTCCAAACTGAAGGTTAGAGGTAAGCTTCTTTTTTTTTTTTTTTTTTTTTTTTTTTTTAGACGGAGTTTCACTCTGTCGCCCAGGCTGGAATGCAGTGGCACGATGTTGGCTCACTGCAACTCCACCCTCAGGATTCAGATGATTCTCCTTCCTCAGCCTCCTGAGTAGCTGGGACTACAGGTGCCTGCCACCGCGCCCAGCTAATTTTTTGTATTTTTAGTAGAGATGGGGTTTCACCATCTTGGCCAAGCTGGTCTTGAATTGCTGACCTCGTGATCCACCCGCCTCGGCCTCCCAAAGTGCTGGGATTACAGGAGTGAGCCACCGCACCCGGCCTAGAGGTAAGCTTCTTAGTGCTTACTATCTCCAACTCTAAGTCCAACTCCATCCTTTTATTTTTAAATGATGCAAAGCTATCATACACGGCCCTTCCAACAATTGGGAAGTCATATAATGTATAAATAGGTTAAAACATAGCTATCCAATTTAGTGATGTTAAAACAATGAGAGAAAAAGGATACAATAAATTGTACTTGGGGCAAATAAAAAGATACAGACACAGAAAGAAACTTCTATAGTGTGGCTTTGAATCAGTTAAGACGTCTTAATGGAAACAAGAACTTGAAATGATTTAAATGATAAAGAAATGTTTAATGTGTAACAAGGAGCACCAGAATAGAGCAGGCATCAGAACTGATTGAGTCAGTAGTTCAAGAATGTCATGGAGTTTCCAGGGTTTATTTTTTTCTCTCTCCACTCTGTTGGCCTTGGTGTGTTATGTTTGCCTTAAGGCTGGCTCCCCTCCTAGCAGCAAGAGGGTTGAAGCAGTTTCAAGGAGAATGAACTTTTCATGGCTGGCTAGGACTAGTTATCTGGAGTAGAATCAGCTCTGGGGAATAAATCTCAAATAACATTATATTACTTTCATCATCTGATCGTTTAGGGGAAAGTAGGAAATGTAATTGTTCTTGCAGATGCTTTGATTGGTATAGTATTTTTTAAAAATTGAATGAGATGCTTACATTGAAAGTTCATAAGATTTATTTTTAAAAATCATATTTCTGGGTCATCTTGAAGAATTCAAAGTCTAGCCAACTGCCTGCATTCTCACTTAGCTAAAATTGGCTGGAATGGATTAGTTACTGCCCCTTCAGATGGTGCATTCCAATTCCAATGTGCTGGAGTCTCATAATTCCCTAATGTATTACACCTGGTCTGTTTTACTCGGGTTACTTACCTAGTCCCACATTTGAGGAAATTACTCTAAAAGAATAATTTTTAAGAGCCTATGTTAGCAGTTTTCTGCTGCTATAACAGAATATTACAGACAGGTTAATTAATAAAGAAGAGATTTATTTGGCTCACGGTTCTGGAGGCTGGGAAGTCCAAGAGCATGGCACTGGCATCTGGTGGACGTCATCTCATGGTGGAAGGCATCACATGGAAAATGAGTGCAAGACAGAGTGAACAAATGGGGGCTGAACTTATCTTTATATCAGAAACCCACTCTTGTGATAACTAACCCATTCCTGTGATAATGGTATTAATCCATTTATGAAGGCAAAGCGCTCATGACCTAATCACCTCTTAAAGGCCCCACCTCTTAATACTGTTACAATGGCAATTAAATTTCAACATGAGTTTTGATGAGGGCGCTCAAACCATAACATTCTGCCCCTGGCCCCCTAAAACTCATATTCTTCTCACAAACAACATTCATTCATTCCATTTCAATAGCCCAAAAGTCTTAACTTGTTCCAGCATCAACTCAAAAGCCCAAAGTCCAGAGTTGCATCTGAATCAGATATGGGTGAGACTGAAGGCATGATTTATCCTGAGGCAAATTCCCTATAGCCATGAGACTGTAAAATCAAACAAGTTATCTACTTCCAAAATACAATGGCAGGGCTGGCATAGGATAGACATTCCCTTTCCAAAAAGGTAAAATAGGCAAGAAGAAAAGGGTAACTGGCCCCAAATAAGTAAAAAAAAATCCAACAGGCTAATCAACATTAAGTCTTAAAGCTGAAGAATAATCTCCTTTGACTCCATGTCCCCAATTTTGGGCACACTGGGGTGGAAGATGGGCTCCTAAAAACCCAGCAGCCCTTGCCCCATGGCTTTGCTGGAGTCAGTCCACCCAGAAGCTCTCACAAGTTAGGATCACATGCCTGTAGCTCTCCTAGGCTGAAATTGCATGCTGGTGGCCTTACAGTTCTTGGGTTTTGGGATTAGCCCCAATCTCATGGCTCTACTAGGCATTGCCCTAGTGGGGACTCTCTGTGGTAGTTTTGATCCCACATTTCTACTTGGCATTGCCCCAGTAGAGGTTCTCTGCAGTGGCTCCACCCCTGTGATTAAGTCTTTGCCTGGGTGCCCAGGCTGTCTGCGACATCCTTTGAAATCTAGGTGGAGGAAGCCACACCAACGCAGCTCTTTGCATTCTGCACACCTGCACAATTAGTGCCACATGGATGCTACCAAAGTTTATGGATTGAACCTTCCAGAATGGTAGGTTGAGCCACACCTGAGCCTGCTTGAGTCACGGCTAGGATAGCTGAGGAGCACTGGACCAGAATGCAGGGAATAGAGTCCCAAAGTGGCCCTGGGCTGTGAGCCTGTGGAGGGCACCCTGAGCCCATCCCCAGAAACCATTCTGTCCTCCTAGAGCTCTGAGCCTGCAATGGAAGGGGCAGCCTCAGAAGAGCTCTGAAATGACTTTTGAGTCTTTCATTGTCTTGATGAACAGCATCTGGCTCTCATCTATACTAATACCTTTAGCATGTGGCCACTTTGTTCTCCTAAATATGACTTTTCACTCTTCATATGGCCAGACTGCAAATTTTTCAAATCTTTCCATGTAGTCTTTCTTTTAATTTTAATGTTGACCAAAAAAAAAGGCCAAACTCTGTAAAATATTTGAAGAAGTTTATTTTCAGCCAAATATGAGGACCATCACCCATGATACAGCCTGAGAAGGTCCTGAGAACAAATGTTCAGGGTGGTTGGGTTACAGTTGATTTTATACATTTTTAGGGAGATAGAAGTTACAGGCAAAGACATAAATCAATACATGTAAGACGTACATTAGTTTGGACCAGAAAGGTGGGACATCTTGAAATGGGGGCTTCCAAGTCATAGTGGATGCAAAGATTTTCTTATTGGCAAGTGGTTAAAAGAGTTAAGCTTTGCCTAAAGCGTTGAAGTCAGCGGGAATAAATTAGCAGTTTCTTGGGTTTAAGATACGGTGTTTGTGGAAGCCAAGGTTCTTGTTATGTAGATGAAGCCCCCAGGTAGCAAGCTTCAGAGAGAATAGATGATAAATGTCTCTTATGAGACTTTAAGAGGTGTCAGACTCTTAGTTAAATTGCCCCTGAATCAGGAACGGGAAGGGGAATCTCTACAGAGTGTAAATTTTCCCTACAAGAGACACCTTTGTAGGATCATTCCAAAATATGTCAAAGAAATATATTTTGGGGTAAAATACTTTGATTTCCTTTAGGGCCCAATCTGTCATATGATGTTAACCAAAGTCAGTTTGGAGTTGGTATCTTAGTGCTACAAAAACTCTGTTTGGTCAGTCTTAGTATCTCTATTTTAATGTGTTTTTGTTTTGTTTTGATTTTTTGAGATGGAGTCTCACTCTATTGCCAGGCTGGAGTGCAGTGATGCAATCTCGGCTCACTGCAACCTCTGCTTCCCAGGTTCAAGTGATTCTCCTGCCTCAGCCTCCCGAGTAGCTGGGATTACAGGCACATGCCACTACGCCCAGCTAATTTTTCTATTTTTAGTAGAGACAGGGTTTCACCATGTTGGCCAGGATGGTCTCAATCTCTTGACCGCAGGTGATCCCCTCAGCCTCAGCTGCCCAAAGTGCTGGGATTACAGGCATAAGTTACTGCACCCAGCTGTATCTCTACTTTATTGTTAATGCTGATTAGTTGTATCTAAACTTAAAATGGAAGGGAGTATAATGAAGCATGGTCTGAACTAGTTTTTCAGGTTTCTTTGAAATCTCCTTGGTCAAGAAAGAGGTCTGTTCAGTCGGTTTGGGGCTAGAATTTTATTTTTGTTTTCCAATAAATTCTGTTTTTAAGTCATTTATTTCCTCTTGCATCTCACTGTATGCAGTTAAAGGTAGCTCCAGCAGCCTGGAAGTATTGCTGCTTAGATATTTTTTCCACCAGATATCCTAGTTCATTGCTCTTAAGTTCTGCATACCATAAAGCCTAGGGCATGGACACAATTCAACTAAGGTCTTTGCTACTTTATAACAAGGATGGTCTTTACTCCAGTTTCTAATACCTTCTTCATTTCCATCTGAGACCTCATTAGAATGGCCTTTACTGTTCATATTTCTACCAACATTGTGGCTGTGAGCACTTAAGTAATCTCTAAGAAGTGCCAGATTGTATTAATCTGTTCTTGCATTGCTATAAAGACCTACCTGAGACTGGGTACTTTATAAAGAAAAGAGGTTTAATTGACTCACAGTTCCCCAGGCTGTACAGGAAGCATGGATGGGAAGAATTCAGGAAACTTACAATCATGACGGAAAGCAAAGAGGAAGGACGCATGTCTTACATGGCCGGAGGAGGAGGAAGAGAGAGCAGGGGGAGGTGCTACACACTTTTAAACAATGAGATCTCATGAGAACTCACCATCACAAGAACAGCAAGGAGGTAGTCTGTCCCCATGATCCAATCCCCTCCACCAGGCTCCTCCTCCAATACTGGGGATTAAAATTCAGACATGAAATTTGGGCGGGGACACAAATCTAAACCGTATCACCTACTTTCCCTGCATTTCTTCTTTTCTGAACCCTCACCAGAATCACCCTTAATGCTCTGTTTAGGACAATCTAGGCCTTTGCTAGCTTGCTCCTCAAATTCTTCCAGCCTCTACCCATTACCCTGTTTCAAAGCCATATCCATATTTTCAGGTATTTGTTATAGCAACAGCTCCACTTCTCAATAACAATGTTCTCTCTCAGGCCATTTTCTGCTGCTGGGACAAAATACCACAGATTGGGTAATTTATGAAGAAAAGAGATTTATTTGGCTCATGGTCTGGAGGCCAAGATGTCCAAGAATATGGTGTCAGCAATTGATGAGAGTCATCTCATGGAGGAAGGCATCACATGGCAAATGAGTGTGAGTCAGAGAGAACAAATGGGAGTTGAACTTAATCTTTTATCAGGAGCCCACTCCTGCAATAACTAACCCATTTCTATGATAATGGCATTAATCCATTCATGAGGGCAGAGCCCTCATGACCTAATCGCCTCCTAAAGGCCCTACCTCTTAATATTGTTAAAATGGCAATTAATTTTTTTTTTTTTTTTTGAGACAGAGTCTTGCTCTGTCACCCAGGCTGGAGTGTAATGGTGCAATCTCAGCTCACTGCAACCTCCGCCTCCTGGGTTCAAGCCTCCTGGGTCTCAGGAGGCATGTGCCACCATACCTGGCATATACCACCATGCTACAGGCCACCATACCACATGCTACCGGCATGTGCCACCATACCACCATGCTACAGGCATGTGCCACCACACCACATGCCACAGGCATGTGCCACCATACCTGGCTAATTTTTTTTTTTTTAGTAGAGACTAGGTTTCACCATGTTGCCCAGGCTGGTCCAAACTCCTGACCTCAAATGATCTGCCTTCCTCAGTCTCCCAAAGTGCTGAGATTACAGGTGTGAGCCACCACGCCTGGCCAATTAAATTGCAATGTGAGTTTTGTCAAGGACATTCAAGCCACAGCAGAGTCTTTGGGTGGGCATTTCACTGATGGTTCAAAAGAAATGAGGATAAGTGCCAGATCTAGCTGAAGGGTATGTTTTCAGCAACTCTATTATTAATTAGCCATGTGACCTTATTAACTTATAATATCTCTAGCCATAACATTTAGCAATTGATACCTGTATTAGTCCATTTTCATGTTGCTGATAAAGACATACCTGAGACTGGGCAATTTACAAAAGAAAGAAGTTTAATGGACTTACAGTTCCACGCGGCTGGGGAGGCCCCACAATCATGGCGGAAGGTAAAAGGCACATCTCACATGGTAGCAGACAAGAGAAGAGAGCTTGTGTGGGGAAATTCCCCTTTTTAAAACCATCAGATCTCATGAGACGGATTCACTATCAGGAGAACAGCACAGGAAAAACCTGCCCCCATGATTCAATTACTTGCCACCAGGTCCCTCCCACAACACATGGGAATTCAAGATGAGATTTGAGTGGGGACACAGCCAAACCATATCAACACCTGTCTCCAACAGAAATGTTACAAACATAAATAGCCTCTTTAACATCAAAGGAAGGAAGAATATATTTCTTATTCATATGTTATTAGTAAAGTAATTGCTTTCATATTTATCTCTGAGATAGTAAAAAAATATAATTTTAATGTTTTTCTGTCAAATATGTCATTCTTATCTTTAATAAAACCTTTATTTCAGGGGTAGTAACTCTTGATTGTCCTTTTGAAAAATAATTTACAGGGTAGCTGTATTGCTTACTAGTTATATCAGTCAGCATTGGTTAGGCGAAATTAAGTTTAAAAGGAGCCATTAAAATGTATCATAGAATTTGTAATATTTTCTACACATATAATAATTGTTAGAGGGCTGTAATGGGTTTCAACATTGAAATAAAGCTTATTTTCTTTTTTTGAGACAGAGTCTCGCTCTGTTGCCCAGGCTGGAGTACAACGGCGCAATCTCGGCTCACTGCAACCTCCGCCTTCCGGATTCAAGCAATTCTCCTCCCTCAGCCTCCCAAGTACCTGGGACTACAGGCGCACACCACCACACCCAACTAATTTTTGTATTTTTAGTAGAGACGGGATTTCACCATGTTGGTCAGGCTGATCTCAAACTCCTGACCTCGTGATCTGCCCGCTTTGGCATCCTGAAGTGTTGGGATGACAGGCGTCAGCCACTGTGCCCGGCCAAGCTTATTTTCTTTTATCACAAAATATTTCAAATACACAGAAAAGGGAACATAACAAACCATATTTGCCTGTTTGCTTCAGATTTTTAAAATTATTAAGAAATTAATCATGCCGGGCGCAGTGGCTCATGCCTGTAATCCCAGCACTTTGGGAAGCTGAGGTGGGTGGATCACAAGGTCAGGAATTTGAGATCAGCCTGGCCAACATGGTGAAATCCCATCTCTACTAAAATACAAAAATTAGTGGGGCATGGTGGCATGCGCCTGTAATCCCAGCTGCTTGGGAGGCTGAGGCAGGAGAATCACTTGAACCCAGGAAGCGGAGGTTGTGGTGAGCCGAGATCATGCCATTGCACTCCAGCCTGGGCAACAACAGTGAAACTCTATCAAACAAAAAAACAAACAAAATGAAGTTAATCATTACAGATACAGTTTTCACTCTCTGTGTACAACTCTTCAATGCCATTCTCCATTACATATTTAGAAACAATAATCACTATACTGAATTTGATGTTTGCCATTCCTGTGCATGTTTTAAACATTTAAACAAAATCTGTATAAATCTATAAATAATATATTGTTTTGCATGTTTTAACATCATAGTATTATAAGGCCGGGCACAGTGGCTCATGCCTGTAATCTCAGCACTTTGGGAGGCCAAGGCAGGTGGATCACGAGGTCAAGAGATCGAGACCAGCCCGGCCAACATGGTGAAACACTGTCTCTACTAAAAATACAAAAATTAGCCAGGCATGGTGGCAGGCACCTGTAGTTCCAGCTACTTGGGAGACTGAGGCAGGAGAATTGCTTGAACTTGGGAGGCGGAGGTTGCAGTGAGCCGAGATTGCACCATTGCCCTCCAGACTGGGTGACAGAGCAAGACTCCGTCTCAAAAAAAAAAAAAAAAAAATCAAGGTAGTATAATATATATACACCCATATGTAACTTTTACCCCTTCGACATTGTTTTTGAGACTTATTCACTTAATATAGGAAACTAGGGATCATTAGTTTTAAATAATGTGCATTACATAATGTGTGCCATGTTATGTTAATCCATTCTTCTACTGATAAACATTTAGGTTGTTTCTACAGAGTTTTCAAAATACATTGTACTGGCTGGGCGCGGTGGCTCCTGCCTGTAATCCCAACACTTTGGGAGGCCAAGGTGGGCGGATCATGAGGTCAGGAGATCGAGACCATTCTGCCCAACATGGTGAAACCCTGTCTCTACCAAAAATACAAAAATTAGCTGGGTGTGGTGGCATGTGCCTGTAATCCCAACTACTTGGGAGGCTGAGGCACGAGAATCGCTTGAACCCAGCAGGCAGAGGTTGCAGTGAGCTGAGATCGCACCACTGCACTCCAGCCTGGCCACAGAGTGAGACTCTGTCTCAAAAAAAAAAAAAAAAAAAAAAAAAAATATATATATATATAGTACTGTTTGTACTGTTTGTTGTACTATCTAGGGTACATGTGAATAAAGCTCTGCCTCAGAACACACATTGGTGCTATCTCTATGAGAAGCAGCTCGGTCACAAACCAACCCTTGGATTTGTAGCATTGTTTCTAATACCTTCTAAATGGATAGAGGGAACCAGATGCTTACTGTAAATGTCAGATGCTTGAAAAGTGAAAATATAGTTTGAAGGAACCCGTGCTTTCCAGAGGATGAATACTGATTCCTCTTTAACCTGGTACATCAAAATACATTATTGTAGACTCTGAATTTTATATTTAGCTCCATAAATAATGATTTCAGTGGAGTTCAGTAATTGGTTTCTGAATTGGTAATATGATTTTACCATTGGATGAGCATAAATAGATAAAAGCCCTGGCTCGTTTTTCTTTTTCAGGGCTTGTAAAATGTGACAAATGTTAGCTGCTGAACCACCATTAGATTTCACAGCATAAAACCAACCACAGCATAATTGTATAGGGCTCATACTTCAAATCACTGCTAATTTTCTCCACTTAACATGTCCAAATGCATATGACATACTAAACTATCAATTAAATGTCTCCTACCTGAGCTTTGGTTTTAATTGTACCTGGAAAAGAATGCCTATTGACAGGCAGTCCCACTTAGTGGTACTCTTTCAACTGCTCTGTAGGTTGACTGACTATCTTTTAGAGTTCGCCAATGTTCTTCTTCATGATACAGATTTGTATCCTGGCTACCACGTCTTCTTCATTCAAATTGGACGATATATCAGTCAGCTTAAGCTAAGTCATTCTATGGTAATAACCCTCAAGTTTAAATGACTTAAAATAAGGCTTATTTCTCTTGATGTTATTTGTCAGCCAAAGCCATTGTCAGCTTTGTTCCATAATTCTGGGACCCAGGTAAAGAAGCATCCCCTCATGGACTGGACTAGAACCAATGAACTGTGGTGGGGTGTGGGGGGAAAGAAGCGTCCCCTCTCTGGGACATGCCATTCTTGTTTAAAAGGGAAAAGAGAGATGACAGAACCAAGTGAGTTTATGCTCGGCAGTGGCATACCACTTCCTGTCACATATCATTGAACAAATCAAGGCCAAGACTGCCATCCAAGGTGAGGAGGTAAAGTCTGCCCAGTGGGAGGGACAAAAATATTTGGGAATAGTAGTATAATCTACCACAGAGGTTGTTTTCATTCTCAAGCAGGTATCCTTTTGACTGACTTTTGGACTATATACAAAATCAGTTTTTTTTAGGTTTTGCTAATATACAAGAAAGACTTTCTTAACTCTGGGCTGGGGTTTAGCCTGATTTATTTTTAATATGAATCCACAGAAAAATAAGCATTAAAATCACTTTAAAAAATTAATATTTGGAGGCCCCATAAATATAATGGTGGTGTAAATATAAACAATATTACCTTACAAACTCCACTAATTGAAATCTTTATCATATTACTCTAAGTGGAGAAAAATAACTGATTCCCACCCAACCCCCACTCCGGCCATCAGGAAACTCTCAAAAAGAACTTCATATAGTTAGTATTTTAAGGCAGATCATTCAGATATGCTGCTCAAATTTGATGAATATCTCTTGTCATTTTATATGATGTCACAATGAACAGAGGTATACTTTCATTTACATAGATGGCAAATGATATATTTTTAGATTTAATTGCTATATGTTAAGGTATTTGTATATGACATGTATATTCAAGGACTGCTTTCTTAGCGATTCTTCCTTCTCTGGAATTTTTTTTTTTTTTTAGCTATTTGTGAATAGCTGTTACTTTGGGCACTGAGCCCAGCTTTTCTTAATCTGACTGTCTTTATCTTTTTCTATTTTAAGATACTTTGAAAATTATTGGTTTATTTTCTAAAAATGAAGTAAGTAAATTATCTCTAGGTTCCCCTTAAATGGTATTTTATTATTAGATGGTTTAAAACAATTGTTTGGCTTTTCAACAATAAGTGTAAAAACTGATCACATTGCATGTCAAAATTTATTCACCTATGGTTTGATAATAACAGCTATAACACTTACAGAGTGCTACTGTCATTATTCTGGGTGCTTTATATGTGTTGTTTATTTATTCCACACAACAACCCTATAAGTACCAATATTATCCGCCCCCCTTTGTTTTTTTGAGATGGAGTCTTGCTCTCTCATAGCCCAGGCTGGAGTGCAATGGCTAGATCTCGGCTCACTGCAACCTCTGCCTCCCAGGTTCAAGCAATTCTCCTGCCTCAGCCTCCCGAGTAGCTGGGATTACAGGCATGCACCACCATGCCTGGCTAATTTTTTGAATTTCTAGTAGAGATGGGGTTTCACCATGTTGGCCAGGCTGGTCTTGAACTCCTGACCTCAGGTGATCCACCTGCTTCGGCCTCCCAAAGTGCTGGGATTACAGGCGTGAGCCACCTTGCCTGGCCATATTATCCCCTTTTTATAGATGAGGGATTTACCATACTTACTTTGGTACACATCTATATTCAGTATTGGAAAAATAAGCCATGTTTGGCAGGGCTTATCAGTGAGGCTAGGAATTTGGCCAGTTAAAGCAGGAAACCAACAGAAGAAAGGGAAGTAGTAGCAGAAGCTTGTTTAGAGGCTTCCTGAACCTTACTCTATTCTCCAAACAGAAGAATTTCAAAAAAAGGCTTAGGCAATTCTTTTAAGCTGTTAGTCAAAGGAAAATTACTTTCTTTTTAGTTCTAGGTCAACAAATAATCTACTAGTTTTTGTGAAGGCGCAATCTGGAATTTCTATATATATATATTATTTTATCTTATTTTATTTTATTTTTTGAGATGTAGTATCGCTCTGTTGCCAGGCTGGAGTGCAGTGGTGCGATCTTGGCTCACTGTAACCTCGGCCTCCCAGGTTTGAGTGATTCTCCTGCCTCAGCCTCCCAAGTAGCTGGGATTACAGGTGTGTGCCACCACGCCCAGCTAATCGTTGTATTTTTAGTAGAGATGGGGTTTAACCGTGTTAGCCAGGATGGTCTCAATCTCCTGACCTTGTGATCTGCTCGCCTCAGCCTCCCAAAGTGCTGGGATTACAGGTGTGAGTCCACCGCGCCCGGCCTATATATGGATTTTATTATGATCTTGAAACATTAGCCTTTTGTAATCTTCGACAGAACAAAGAAGCTCAGGAACATAGAAGCACAGGAACCTTTCTTCAAGTTAGAACAGACACAAAGTGCACAAATTCCAATTATTCCTTTTGATGGCTGATTACCTGATGATGGCTATGGGACAGCAACTCTTTGTAGTGTAGCTGCACTTAGGAGCAAAAAGGAAGTCGAAGAGTAGATCTGACAACCCAACCATAGTTAATGTGGAGAGCATTTTTCTATTTGTAGATATTTTGGTGGACTACTTATTGTATGTATACAAATGTTTTTATACTTTTTACATGATGATTACATGAGTTTATGTAATGATATAATTCAATTTAACATAACTGAAACTTCAAAGTTGTGTAATGGTTACAAAGTTGTAGATAAAAATATCTTTAAAGATTAAAAAATTATATAAGATGAAGAAAAGAATCAAATGAAAGTATTGAGTCACATTTTTATTCTATTTATAATAGTTTCTTTGCTGTCTATAACCTTTTCATTAGCCTTCTCAAACAAGGGGTTAAATTTCAGTGGACTCAATTCTTCCAAATTTTGGGAGTAATATCTATCCATTCTCACCAAAAGCAGAAAGTCTGGAAACTACCAGAAAATAAAACTCTAGAAACTAGAAACTCTAGAAAATAATCTGTTACTAGGTTAGCTTTCTTATTTGTTAAGTGAACTATAAAGCCTTTAAACCTTTAAATATCTAAAACAATTTTCATAAGAAACTCAGAGAAATTAAGGGAGAAACTGAGAGGAAAACAGTAACTGGATTGTCAGTTGCTTTGTGTTGTTGAGAAAAAAGAGGCAGTTAAAATTGATAACTAATTGCAGCTAATATATTGGACAATATTAAAGTCTGCAAGTCATTAACAAGTCAGGGTTAGGCAGGGGTAATATTTGTTACCTTTCCTCTGAAACTTGATGTCTCTATTCCTGAATATATCATTACTTTGATTCATCAACATTTTTGGACAAGTAACATTAGTAATAAAAGCTATCTAAGTACTTTCCCATTGTCCTGCTTTTTTTTTTTTAAATAAAAAAGGTGACTATGTTTTACACATGATAGTTTTTTCCATGTTCTTCTGGTTAAAGAGCAGATAGAAAAAAAAAACTTAAAACACGGCAAGGCTGTAACATGCCAAAGGTCACATAACCTGTAGGTACAGCCAGATTTCCTAATTATTAATCTATTGAAATATTTTACAGTTCACTAGATTACTAAATCCGGTTATCAATTAATGATGCACCTGACATACACCCTTCTAGTTTCATAAAAATCACCTCATTAGGCCGGGCGTGGTGGCTCACGCCTGTAATCCCAGCAATTTGGGAGGCCCAGGGGGTGCAGATCCCTCGAAACCAGCCTGGGCAACCTGGCGAAACCCCGTCTCTACCAAAAATACAAAAAAAAAAAAAAAAAAAAGCAGGTGCTGGCTGAGGTGGGAGGATCACCGGGGCCCCTGAGTTCAAGGCTGCAGTAAGCCGTGATCGCGCCACTGCACTTCAGCCTGGGCGACAGAGTGAGACCCTTTCTCAAAACGAACACACACAACAACACAGTAACAACACACCAACCCCCAAAACATCTTATTAAACTCTGTGGATCTACTCCATTTAAACCTAATTGTTTCAGGAAATAGTCTAAAAACATTTTTTTGTCCTGGAATGTAATGTGTATGTAGCCTCAGGGAATAACTCAGTTTATCAGGTTCTTGGCTGTTTTTCCACAGGTCCAAAAGGATAAATGGATAAAGTGATGCTGAAATAACTTAGAGAACCCGTATTCCAACGCTTCTATTTTAAAACAGTGAAGCAGTTTTTAAAATAGAAAAGTATCTACAGTTTTGCTTTCAAGCAAATAGCGTTAACGGAATCATTGCTATTCAAAACTATTTTTGAAGTATCGGTGTACATTTAAAAAAAATAATTTTTAAAAAAGAAAGCTGTCGTATTCTGGATTCCGCAACCCCCCCACCCCGCCTCGCCACTCGTCGCCCTCCCTCCACCTCCACCCTCCCATGGCTTAAGTCGCATAGCTGAAAGGATTTTGCTCATTTTTTCCAAAACACTTCACGTCTGGGTAGTAGCCAATCATGGAAAGTTTCAAGCAAATGTTACATTTGGGAGAGGGATGAAGCTTGTCCGGGGCTGCTCTCGGAGGAGTCGCCAGACGCCCTGACCTGGGGGCCAGATGCGAGCTGGGATCGGCTGAGTTCCGACAGCTCGGCCAGACTCAGCCCTGCCAAACCTGCTGACCTCACTGCCCTCGGCTGCGGGGGATCTCGCCCATGAGTCTCCCCAACAGCTCGAATTCCCAGAGTGGAGGAGCCCACTGCTTCATAAATGCGAGAACCCAGAGCCCCTAGTACCCAACTAGGCTAGCCTCGGAGTTGGCACGGCGTGCAGAAAGTGGCTACTGAGCAGCCGGGCCTGGCTCACCCGCTTCACACGTCAGTTTGACTCCTCTCCCCGCCCCCCACCAATCCCCCGCCCTACTCTCCGCGCACCCAGAGCCGAGAGAAATTTGACTGCCCTAATCGCCAATCAAAAGAGAGGTCGAGGATTTGAGCCAATCGCAGCGGGCGAAAGGGGCGGGCCGTCGGCGAGCGCTGAAGGTCTCTAGCCCTCCCCTGCGCTTTAGCCTCAGTGCGGAGCCTTAGGCGGAGCGAAGAGAACCGGTCGCGGCAATCCTAGCGCGCAGCAGCAGCAGCAGCAGCAGCAGCAGCAGCAGCAGCAGCAGCAGCACCCGCATCCGCTGCGGGAGTCCGAGCCGGAACCACACCCAAGTAGCTGCCCTTTCCTCTTCTGTCATCTCACCGCCCCACCACAGACCGCGTTCCCCGAGGAAACCGGCCGCCCACGCCCGGAGCATCCTCCCCTGTTGAGCGGGCGCTGACGGACCCGGCGGCATGATGCGGCTGCGAGGCTCGGGGATGCTGCGGGACCTGCTCCTGCGGTCGCCCGCCGGCGTGAGCGCGACTCTGCGGCGGGCACAGCCCTTGGTCACCCTGTGCCGGCGTCCCCGAGGCGGGGGACGGCCGGCCGCGGGCCCGGCTGCCGCCGCGCGACTCCACCCGTGGTGGGGCGGGGGCGGCTGGCCGGCGGAGCCCCTCGCGCGGGGCCTGTCCAGCTCTCCTTCGGAGATCTTGCAGGAGCTGGGCAAGGGGAGCACGCATCCGCAGCCCGGGGTGTCGCCACCCGCTGCCCCGGCGGCGCCCGGCCCCAAGGACGGCCCCGGGGAGACGGACGCGTTTGGCAACAGCGAGGGCAAAGAGCTGGTGGCCTCAGGTGAAAAGTGAGTGTCTCCGCGAGGCGCAGGAGGCCTCGTTCCTTTCGGGGCCCGGGCTCAGGCTGTGTGGGGCCCTGCGGTGGGGCGGGATAGGAGCCGAGGGTCTAGAAAAGAGAAAGAAAGAGGTGCCGGGCGGCCTGCGCCGTCTGCGCCATGTGATTAGGCCCGGCCCCGCCCGCGCCTTCCCCGCCCGCAACCCTCCGCCAGGCACCCACTTCCCTTCTCCGCCCCCGGCGGGGGTCGCCCTGGTGGGGCCGCGGTGGGGCCTGATGGGCTCGCCTGGCGTCCCCAGCGCCAGAGAGGCCGCTCCCCTGCCCGCGCTGCGTGCTCAGCTCCCTGGCTTGCGGCTGCAGCGCCTGGCCGCCCGCCCCAGCCATTCGTGGGCGATGCTGCACGAACATCTCCACCGAGTGACATTTAGGAGTTGGGCGTTCAGCAGAGCCTTTACCTTCCTGACTTGTCGCTTTTCCTGGCTCGTTTCCGCTCTGCCTGCCCTCCCTTGGTTTCTGCCATCATCCGGTTGGAAGCCAGATGTGACAGAGAGCTCTTTATATTTCGGGAGTGGCTACCTCAGGCACGTGTAGAGCCATCTGGGGCACCGGAAACAATGTTTCAGAAGTGAGATTAGGAGGAATCCGGTCATGTGGCCGAGAAGATGGGGCACGCAGTATAGACCACCTGTTTGCATAAGGGACCAGCTTTGGCTTGTCAGGTCTTCCGTGAGATGGGGAGATTTTTAGAAATAAAAGTTAAATAGCCAAGATGAAATGTGACGTAATACACTAACTCAGTGAAAAATCTGAGTTGAGTAGGTTTTGTGACTTCATTGTGATAGGATGTTGACTCATCCTGTATGTGTACGGCACAGTAGTTTAGTCTTAAAGCAAAACTGGTTTTTCTTAAACAATATGCAAAGCAGTCTCCTATATATTTTTGTCTTGTGTAATACAAATGGACCACTTTGTTTTCCCAAAATGGGTAAAAATTTACGGATCTGCTTTCATTATACCTTACTCTTTTTCTGGCTTTGTACGCTGACACTCTAACCTGTTTTGCTTCCCTTTTATTTCTGCTGCTATTTCCAGCTCTAGAGTTCCTTAAGTCAAACTGAAAGTGAGAACATTGTTATAATTTCAATCTCACGCCTGCTTGATGTTTTCCTGTAATTGAAGTTGGGACCTTCCAGAAACTTTTCTAAAGTTCTTCTCCCAGACTGAAAAAGATTATTTGAAAAAAATCACTTGATGATGGGCGAAATTTGTGGTATTTTGTGATGTTGGTTTTGTGCCACAAAATAGCGTCCTGACCATGGACAGGTTATTTAATATCTTGGGTTAGATGACTTAAATCCTTTCAAGTTCTAAAAAGCTATACTTCTGTTAAATTTGTACTTCTCTCATGTTTTAGGGACTAGAATGATAATTTAATCTCATCTGGGACTCACTTTTACTTTAACATCATCCGGTTTACCAAGGAAGTAACGAGTTTACATGCAAGTGCCCAAGGTACAGAATTGCAAAATGCAGTCACAACCGTTTAAAAGTTCATCTTAAAGGCTACAAGATGGGAACTGCATTCTAGTAAAATTATGTCTTCAGGTCTGTGTCTCTGCAGTGGCTCTAGTGCCTCTCTTTTTTTTCCTCTTTTGTCAAACAGGAAATTGAGCTTCTTCTGTGATTCACTTGTCCAGAAGTTTCTGGTTTCATTGCCTTTTTAATAAAAAATCACCTTTTAGCAAGGGCCTCAAGGTTGTGAAGAAAGTTTTTTAATTTGGTTAAAGTTTCTATTTCCTTAATGATCTGGTTTCCAAATGTAGCTTTCCCTCTTTGGCTCCTTTCATTTTGCCTTTATGTGACAAACATTTCTCTTATCCTGGGAGGTAAGCTCCCAGTTGATCCTGTTATCCTTTCTAATGCTTAGCCTGCAAAGCATAGGTCATCCCTCAGTCAGCAGTCCACCTGGTATGCTAGCACTCACTCAGGACTGTGCCAGATTTTATGTAGTATTATTAAAAGAAATAACCATGAGAAAATTAAATTAACATTTTGTAAAAGGCTTAGAACAATATTTGGCGTGTGTTAAATGACACATAACTATTTATTAAATAAATGAGAAAACATTGCTTCTTCATTATTGTAAAGCCTGTTAAAGAGATTGGCCTTGGAATTTCAGGCTTGCACATGAAGGTTTTTAATTTTTTTAGTTTCCACAAAAATGTTTATCTTGAGAAATTGCTATACATCTGTCTTATATGAAACTATGTGAGTTGCACTGTTTACCTTTTGCTCTGCTGATAAATAAGTTCAGAGTAAATTTAATGCTTAACCACACCAATTTCATCAGTTCACATGGCTGGGATATCTGCGTTTCCTCCTTTCCTTGGTCCTGAGTTTATATTTTATTTACTTTATATTCTGGAAGGAGGCGTGATATAAGCAAGTTACTTTACCTTTTTTTCACAAACTCTTTGAACTAATGTCACTTTAGACTATGCTGTTTCCATCACGCAACTTTAGTGTGGTTTAGGATACGAACGTCTTAATATCACATAGAAAAATTTAATGATCTTTGCTCAGTTTTGTCTTTAGTGATCTTATTTAATTTTGTTATGGTTCATTCTGTTATCTTGAAAACCAACTTTGCTTGCCTCTCTTCGTTTTCAAAATTGTTCTCTCTTCTTTCCTAGTTCTTTTTGAATTTCCTCACTGGGTAAAAACCCTGAGGCTGAGGCCTTTGTCCCTTTCCCACTTGTCTGCCTTCTCAACAGCGTATCCCTTCTTTCAGCTTTGACTCTCATCTTTGTGTAGGTAATACTTCACCTCTTAATCCAAAGCTCTGTTCTTAAATTTGTCGCCACATATTCAATGACTTCAAATTTTAAGTCTGTACCCTGATATTCATTCTTTTCTCCAATTCAACCTATTTTGCGTACTGTTATGAGAGTAATTTTAGAGTTTTAATTTGAAAATAGCACTCTCTTCCAGAAAACCAGCAGGATCTGGAATGAGCATTATATTAAAGTCACAAACTATGTTATGGTTTATGCCAGCACTTGCCCATATGGACATTTTTATCATACTTTTCTCTGTTAAGCTGGTTATACTTATTTCCATAAAGTCCAGAAGTATGTATCCTATCTTAGTGAATGGTCCCTAGGAAGAGTCAGAGGGATAGAGGTAAGGGGCATTATTAAGTTTTTTTATTTGGACATTTATTTTTTAATGAGAAAGGAAAAGAGATACATAACAGAAATTGGGCTGGAAAAATACCAGCATATGTATGTTGTTAGAAAATAGATAATTCATACAGGATGCAATATTGAAAGTATTCTGTTAAAACAACAATGAGGTCACTTTCCCCTTCTCAGATTGGCAGATGTTAAATCAAGTAATTGGGAAAATAGGAACTCTAGCATTGCTAGTAGAAGTATAAATTATTAGTTCAGTTACTTTAGGCAGTTTGGTAGTTTCTGTTAAAAACTGCATAGCTGTGATGTGGTAGTTGGATGTTTGCATATCTACATGAAGTCGTGGCATTCAGAAATATTTGTAATTACACAAATAAGCATGCTTTAAAATATATTTATATTTAAAAGTAAAAATGCAAGCAAAAATGATTTCAGCTAGCTTTAGTTAGTATGGATTTATGTTTTGATAGTTCAGCTTTATGTTTTGATAGTTATGGACAATGAAGGGCAAAGAAAATCATCGAGGTGTATACTCTGAAAATTGAATTTTTTTTTTTTGAGATGGAGTCTCGCTCTGTCACACAGGCTGGAGTGCAGTGGTGTGATCTCGGTTCACTGCAACCTCTGCCTCCCGGGTTCAAGCCATTCTCCTGCCTCAGCCTCCCGAGTAGCTGGGATTACAGGCACCCGCCACCATGCGTGGCTAATTTTTGTTTTTAGTAGAGATGGGGTTTCACCATGTTGGCTGGGCTGGTCTTGAACTCCTGACCTCAGATGATCTGCCCGCTGTGGCCACCCAAAGTGCTGGGATTACAGGCGTGAGCCACCGCACCTGGTCTGAACATTGAATTTCAAAGTAAGATGAAATGCTTATGAATTTCAGCGAACATTGAATTGGGTAGATTGAACAATACTAGTAAGGAAGTTGAGTTAGTATTTGGCAGATATAAATATTAAGTTTTAGAACTGAATGACAAAACCTCTGTTAAAATGGGGGCACATGTTTTTATGATCCTTCAGTATTGCATTTGGTTTTAATTTTAAAAGCTAACATATTTACAATTCACTTAAGCTAAAATCAAGGTGGAAAGTATGTTTAATTTTTTCCTTTGGGCTTCTCAGGCAGCCCCTTAGTTATTTTTGATTTCTTCATTATTAAAAATTTTTTTCTAGGTGATGATTATCAGTGAGTTTTAGTTTTTTTTTTTAAATTTTATTTTTATTTATTTATTTATTTTTGAGGTGGAGTCTCACTCTGTCACCCAGGTTGGAGTGCAGTGGTGTGATCTCAGCTCAATGCAACCTCTGCCTCCTGGGTTCAAGTCGTTCTCCTGCCTCAGCCCCCCATGTAGCTGGGACTTACAGGCACGTGCCACCACACCTGGCTAATTTTTGTATTTTTAGTAAGATGGGAATTTACCATGTCAGCCAGGATGGTCTCGACCTCCTGACCTTGTGATACGCCTGCTTCGGCCTCCCAAATTGCTGGGATTACAGGCGTGAGCCACTGCACCCAGCCCAGTTTTGTTTTTTTAAAAGCAAGTGAAAAAGGTACCAATAACTATATGTCATAACATTTTTGTGACCTAATATTTATATTGAAATGTGCATCAGTCATTGATAACTTTGTCCATGATCTGTAATTAACAAACTCATGCTGTTAATTTATAGTTTTATTAATATTTGGATGAAATTCACTGAAAGAACAAGAATTAGATTCTGAGGGGTTTAGTCTCCTGGACTTTTAGCTGCATATTTCCAGACCTTACTCTTTTATAGAGAAGTCTACCTACCTCAAAGTCAGCTAATCCATGAAATGACTACCAAATAGAATTCAGCCTTTTTTATGAGGCAATATGTAGGCCAGCTAAAAGGGAGGGGGGGCACTATTTTAGTCCAAAGATAAATGTCACTTTGAAAGAAATTTGCTGAAGATATTTGTGGGTTTCTTTGAGTTTTAAAAAGTTATTTAAAAGAAATCAGGCTGGGCGTGGTGGCTCATGCCCGTAATCCCAGCACTTTGGGAGGCCAAAGCAGGTGGATCAGTTGAGGTCAGGAGCTTGAGACCAGCCTGGCCAACATGGTGAAACACTGTCTCTACTAAAAATACAAAAATTAGCCAGGAGTGGTGGCGGGCACCTGTAATCCCAGCTACTCGGGAGGCTGAGGCAGGAGAATCGCTTGAACCCAGGAGGTGGAGGTTGCAGTGAGCCGAGATCATGCCGCTGCACTCCAGCCTGGGTGACAGAGCGAGACTCTTGTCTCAAAAAAAAAAAAAAAAAGAAAGTAATAGTAAAAGGCTGTACTACTTCCTTCTTGTGATATTTGAAATGAAGAAAAATTATGACCATATAAGCTGAAAGCCTAATTATAGAATTTGTGTGAGGGAGCTCAATCATGTTAAATCCTATATAAATTAAGGTTATATTTTATAGTTGCCTGTCTGTGCCTTTTCACCTTTAAGTCATTTGCTAGTAAGAGAAATGCTTAAGAAAGGTGAGTAAACAGATGTATTTATAAAAATAGTTATTAATTACTGATATCTCTCAGTGAGGTACATAGCTTTCACATAGAGATACTGTTAGTACAGTTTTACCCTGAAATCTACTCAGGTGCAAAATTGCTTTGGTTATGAAACACATTACTTGTGAGTCATCACTGCACTTAGTGATTTTCTGACCCCCTACAACGTAGTAGAAGCAAAATGTTAATGTACCTTGACTTCCATTTGGGAGTGTCCTCTGCTTGATATGTTAAATTCATTATAAAGAAATGTTTATAGTAAAAGCATTACTTTCGAAACATAGAACTGTAGATGTTGCATAATGAATAAAACTGATAGCTTTCAGGATTAAGAAATATATTTTTGCCTATTTATTTCTGGTACAGGCTTCTAAAAAAGATTTTTAAAATTGTCTTCTTGATGAGGATATTTTGAGTGACATAGACCCGTCCTTCAATTCTTGATGGTAAACTTTCTGAAGAGCAATTTTTAAGCTCTATGAGGAACTTACAAAGTATTCATACCTTTTTAGGAATCTAAGTTCACAAAATAAACTGAAGTGTTAGAAAGATTTATTTCCTATTATTTTTGGTACAGTGTTATGCATACTAGAGAAAAATGGAGAAAAACGCATGTTCAACATTAGTGGGATAGTTAAGTAAATTGTGGTACATTCATATGAGGGTCTCTTATTTAGTCATTTAAAATGTTTGCAGGTACTTTTTAGGATATAAGGTAATGTTATAACGGCCAAAAGTTAGAATACAGAATTTTCTATGCAGTATGATCTCAAGCTATTTAAAAAGCTCAGAAAAAGTAATAGAAGGAAATAAGCCAAAATGACATTAGCAGTTGTGGTTTATGAGAACGAGCATTGTTTTTCCTGCCTCCTTTTGTTACTTTTAAGATTTCCCCCCCATTATAAGTGGGAAACGTCTAAAACAGTAAAAAACATTCCATAGTTTTGAAAATCAAAGGAACCACATCTGTTAAGTTTTGAACTTGTAAATCTCTACTGTCTACTCTTCTAATATCCTGATTCTGGTTGTATAAGAACAGTAAGCACCATTACATTGAAAGAAAAGTATGAAAATAGGTTATGTATGAATTTGCACAGCTCCTGTTTATCAGCATTGTCTAATCATATTCACTGGTACCCTTAAACATCAAACTTTAAAAATTTAAAACTATGCTTGATATATCTCCCTAGTAAATGTTACATATTTCTCTGCCATATTAAAACATTGTAATCAATAGAGTTTAACATTTCTTGTTCAACTTATGTGTATTTTAAGGATGCATTATTATACTGCACTGTAATACAGTGATGCTGTAAGACAAGTGCTGGCACACTTTCCCTGAAAGGCCAAATAGTAAATATTTTCAGCTTTTGGGGTTCTCTAGTCACTACTACAACTTCTCAGTTCAGTGGTGGTAGCAAAATAGCTGCAAACAATAGGTAAATAGATGTGGCAGTCTTCCAATAAAACTTTATTTACAAAAAGAGGAGGTCCCTGCTGTAGTTTGCGTAGCCCTACACTAAAATATATTTATTGGTAAGTTCTCTCATGCCTTGATTGGTTCTGCTTTAACCAGTACTCTTAAGGGTGGGTTTGTTCTTTTGTGGATTTTTGTATCTTGTATCAGTTGACTGTTCTTCATGTCTCTACTTTAGCTATCCTCCTTCACTCTTACCTTCTGTATCCAGTTCTGCTTAGCTTTTTCAAAAAATTGTGGTTAAATATACATAACATAAAAATTACCACTTTAACCATTTTTAAGTTCCCTAGTTCAGTGGCATTAAATACTTCTGTTAGTTTTAGAACCCAGATGAATATGCTAATGTGTAAAATAAAAGTATGTAAGTTGTGAGTGAATAAAGTTTATGATCTCACTTTAGTGTAGTGATTTGGAGGACATCTATTTTTAGCAACTCAAAAACTGAGAATTAAGCTTGGAAGTAACTTTAAAGAACATTTAATTCCAGCTCATTTTACGTATTATATAAGCTGCCCGCAGATATTAAATGACCTAAACAAGTTCAGACAGTATTAGGACTTGTTTTGATTTTTTATTTTTCATCTATTAGCAGCAAACTAATTCAATTTATAGAGTTAATTTTTTTAGATTGAGGATTATAAGAGATCTTACAAACCCTTCTCCCCAGCTGCTGCTTTCTTCTCTTCTGTTACATACTCCCTATAGGTTGTTGTTATTCATCTCTACCTGAATACTGCCTTCACAAGGGAGTTCACTCCCTTAGAAGGCAGCCCATTCCGTTTTCATAGCTGTTTCATTTTTCCTTATGTGTGGCTGAAGTTTTTCATTAACTTCTACCTATATATGTTAGTTATTCTGAACAAGTTGTCTATAGTGGTATCAGAGTGATTGCAGTGACAGAATTCATATAGTATCTGTATTATTCCATCTAGACTGATATATTAAAGGATACTTGGCTGAAGAAATGAGTTATTGGAAAAACTAACAGAGTTGGATGTTATAGACTTGATCTCCCCAGATCCTAGTCTTCCCACCCGAGACAGCCAGACTGCCTTTTGGGTCAAACTTCTGAAGTTGTGCAAACGTATGGACAAATTACCATGAGCTGACAGGGGCAGCCTGACCATTTCCTCACATAAAGTGGCTTTTGTGCTTTTTACTTTGGTGTGCTATTAAATGAATTTGTGCTATAAAGTCCAGTCAAAACAGCAGCACTAATTGAATATAATCTCATCTTTGCTTTGACAGGATGCAGTTTTATCAAGGCAGACCAGTTTAGTTCTCTTATGTGCATTTTGGTTAGAAATTTATTATTGTTTAAGAATTACAGATATTATTCCTAAAATAGAGTGCTAACCACTGAGAGCATGAGGTGGCAGAGCAGGAAGAGTCTGGAACTGGGAACAAAGGATGAGCTTTGTAGGACTAATTCTGGTCCAGCCACTTAAGATTTATGTGACATTGGACATTCTGCTTGACTTGGATACTCTTAAAACAAAATTTTTTTTAAATTTAAAATTTAAATTAACATTTTCTTTCTTTTTTTAGAAATGGAATCTTGCTGTGTCACCCAGGCTGGAGTACATTGGTGCCATTATAGCTCACTGCAGCCTTGAACTCCTGGGCTCAAGCAGTCCTCTTGCCTCAGTCTCCCAAGTAGCTGGGACTGTAGGTGCATGCCACCACACTCTTCTAGGACTCTCTTTTATCTGTACACTGGGGACAATTAACCCACCTTAATTTACCTCATAGGGTTTTAATATGATAGAAAGTGAGAGTCCTTTTTTAGCAGTAAAGCCTTAAAAGATGTAAGTTTTTATTTTTAAATTCAACCAATGATTAGCCTTGGGGCAAAATCACTTGGATGATAACTAGAATTTGTCAATTTGTTAGACTTAACATTCATTCTCATATGCTATTTTACTATATGGTCAGCCACCATCAATTCAACTTTCTATCTAACAGGTTTATTAATCTGCCAGTTTGCTGGTGTTGATAGACGGTTGTTATCAGTCAGCTCACTATAAATTCAAAATGATACACTGATTTTAAAACAACCCTGAATTATCATCTGAAGGATCATTATTCTTAAATGAAGGCATAAAGACTAGCAAATCCTTTTGTATTGTGTTATTATTAGGCCTCATTTTTTTTAATCCCACTTGAAAAGACAGTTTTTCATTGTCTCATAGGTTTACCATACTATACTATGTGTTTTAAGAGTTATGCGAAAAAAAAAATAAGAAAGACTTGACCCCAGCCTTGAAGCTTTATAGTTTGGGGAGGTTAGGTAATATGAAATGTTATTTAACAAAATAAGACCATACAGTTGGTTTCAATTATTTTCCTCTGTTCATTTTGTAGTTCTTAGTAAGGATTTTTTTTTTATTTTCTTCCTTTCATTTGATAGTTTTTTATTTATAAGATTTTTGAACTGATGAAGATGAGTTTGCCTTGTTGCTCCTAATTACAGATTAGAAACTTTCTTGATTTCCCCTACCGATTAAGGCAAAATTAAATACTTCATCTGTACTTGCTAATAAAATACTTTTTGAAAAACACTTCTACCATAGTATTTGTCTCATGGCTTTAGTCATATTTCTCCTAGACCACAACCTTACTTTAGGGATCTTTATTGCTATTGCTTGGCATATAATAAGTGGTACAAGAAAAGGACAAAACTTAGTGATACCAGAGAATGCTAAAGAGTATAGAGAATCTGGTGGGGGCAAAGTCCTGTGAAACAATTGAAATGATCATTGATAGCTTAAGATTTAGGGAGAGGAAGGTTTTACACAGAAGGCATGATAGGTTAAAAAAAAAAAAGATGAGATAGCACTTATTTACAGGTCATTGAGTCTAGTCAATTACATTGGGGAATTATAAGGATTAAGTTAGGAATAAATAGTGTAAAACTAATTTATAGAGAACTGCATACCAGACTGAGGAGTATGAATTCCCCCTTTGGTATGGGGAAACTAATTTGGTCAGTGGGGTAAGCAAAGACAGTTCCTCTTTTCATGTTGCAGAAGTTGGCCCTGCATTTAAACTTAATGTAGATTTTGGAAGGTAGTCTCCTCATTTACCTCAGATATATATATTCAGAATATATATATTCTCAACACTAAAAAATTAAGTATTCATATAATAGCCTATAGGTAGAAACAGGCACCTTAATTCACACATTCTGTGCTCTAGCTGTTTTTTGTTCTTTATAAACACTAAGTGAATGCTTACTTTCATCCCTTTGGTCTGTTTGCCAGAAATCTTTTTCTGTTGCCATGCTTCCAGCTCTTACCCATCTTTCAGGTTTAGCTCAGATTCCACCTCATCTAAAAAAAAGCTTGACCTTATTAGACCACAGTGAAGTAGTTTTCCAAAGTCTGGATGTCATAGATCTATTCTTGTAATTCCTCATTTTATGTACATGTCTCCTACTTCTTCTAGACTGTAAATGATGTCTAACATGATGTCATACATGGCATGGGATTTTTCTTCTTTTTCATTAAGAAATTATTTTTTAAGACAGTTAAAGGCTAAAGTAGGGGAAGGAATGGGTAAAAGAAGAAACAATATGATGGTAAGATGATCTTAAAGGCAGCATTTAGAAAGGAAACGAGAGAGACAGTATAAGTTGGAGAAGAAGTAAAAAGGTGAGAAATAAGGATTTTCCTTCAGATTATCTTCTGTTATATCCTATTTGAATTGCTGAATATCATAACCATTTTATGTTTTTCTCTTCAGGGGAATCTGGAGGATTCATTTGGGTTATTAATAATTGTTGATGATAAGATTTGAAAGATTGCTATAATCCTATTTGTCATTAAAACTTAAATACTTCTCTCAAGGATTTCCTAGTTACTATATAGTTACCAAAAGCTATAGTTTTTAGCTTTTGAATTTTAATGAAAAATACATTATTGTGAAGAATTACCAGAAAGAATTAATTTAGGGAGAGAAAAGGGGGGTTAAGGCATGAATGATCTTGAGTAGTTTCTGCCTTGTGGAAAGTTTGAGGAGAATATTTGAGTATGTTTGTTCGCCAGACTGTTGAAGCGAATTCATTCTCAGATCAAAATCTGAGGTTTCAAATGCTGAAATAGGTAGTAATTTCTTTTTATCAGTTTTGACAGCTTATTTTGTGAGCTTATTTTTTAGGGCTGGCTTAAATTCTTTCCCCTATAGATAAAAATTAATTTCTTGTTTAAAAGCAAGTAAACATTTGTCTTTTTTTGCTAGCTTTGGCAATAACGTGGTCATTTTAATTTTTTTTCACTATGTGCCATAAGCTAAAAAAGTGTATATTTTACGTTATTTACATAGCTTTTAGGCAAAGCAAATACCATTTACTTGTGTGATAAATACATAGAAAGCTTATTCTGCAGTTTTTTAAAGTGACAAACTACCACTATCTGAAGTTTATTTGACCAACCATTTGCTGTAAATAATTGGTATGTTATTATCCACTGATTTTTTGACAGCTGGTTCAGTTTTTTCTTTGAATATTAGGTGGTGAGTATTGTTAAGCTGTGTTTAATGGTATTAGGTCAGGATAAGACCTAGAAAACTTGTTTGTACCTTATAAAAGTAATAACAAGCTAGTAAGTTAGAGAGCCAGTATAATGTAGCAGTAGTTTGGATTCAGAAAAATCCATCTTTGCCATTGTGTAACCTTGGAAAGCTTCTTAACCTCTGAGCCTCTGTTTCCTAATCTGTGAAATGGGGACAGAGGTAGTCATTTTTTTGAACAAATAACAAATTTGTTGAGCTTCTAAGTATGTACCAGAAATCATACTATGTTTTGGATAACAGTAGTACCTCTGTCATAAAATCCTTGGAGGATTAAGTTAGAATGCATGTAAAACACTTAGCACAGTGTGTAGAATATAAGTAAGTGATCAATATATTGTAGTTATTATTACTAAAACATCCCAAATGTATTTTTTTTGGAGACAGAGTCTCGCTCTGTTACCCACTCTGGAGTGTGGTGGCACGATCTTGGCTCACTGCAACCTCCACCTCCCGGGTTCAAGCTATTCTCCTGCCTCAGCCTCCCAAGTAGCCGGGATTCAGGCGCCTGCCACAACGTCTGGCTAGTTTTTCTATTTTTAGTAGAGATGGGGTTTCACCGTGTTGGCCAGGCTGATCTCGAACTCCTGACCTCAAGTGATCCTCCTGCCTCAGCCTCCCAAAGTGCTGGGATTATAGGCGTGAGCTGCCACGCCCAGCTTCAAATGCATTTTTAGAAGTTGTCTAAGAGCAAAAACAGTTTCAGGGAATAATTATGTATCAGGATATGTCATTAAATATTTTAATGATAAAGCTATGTGTTTTTAAAAAACATTTGTGTGACATTCAGTATTTAAAAGTTTGGTTAATCATAGCATTTTAGTGTTACACTAGTTTAGTTAATTAAGATTTTTAATGCATACTTATTGGTAACGTTTTTCTTTTAATAGTCTTTATGATTTGTAGAATTTGATGTATACAGTCTTGCCTTGTCCTTCTGTATATGTTAAGAGATTGGTTCCAGGTCCCCCACAGCTCAAGTCTCTTATGTAAAATGGCATAATATTTGCCTATAACCTACATATATCCTCCCATATATTTTAAATCATCTCTAGATTACTTATAATACCTAATAAAATGTAAATGCTATGTAAATAAGTCTTATACTATCTTTTGAATGTACGTTTTTTTATTTTTTTTCTGAATATTTTTTATCCGTGTTGGTTGAATCTATGGATGCAAAGGGCTGACTAGGATATGTAAACCTAGATCACTTTAGAAATAATAACTACAACTACTGTCAGTGGAGTCTTACTCTCTGCCAGACATGTTCTAAAGATATTGAATGTATTGAGTCAACTGATCCTCACCACAACCCTATGAGGGAGGCACTGTTTTATTCCCTTTCTCAGATGAGGAAACTGGATCACAGAAAGGTTAATTAATTTACCCAAGGTTACACAACTATAGTATTACAGCCAGGATTCAAGAACTTGTGCACTTGATCTTAACTACTGTGTAGTAGTTAATTGCTATCTCTCCCAGATTTTATAATCAGGTTAACTATTTGAATAATATGTAAATATAGTCATCATATTTAGAAAATCCCCAAAACAACTGAACAGAGTGTTGAGTCTTATCGGAACGTTTGCTGAACTCTATAATTTGTATTGGGTGATTGTACTGGGGTGTATAGGAAGGCATCACCATAACGGATGGCTGGGCATTAGCACAACTAGAGTTGATGATCAGGGTTTCAAAACCTGGGATTAAAAAATGTGTTAATGATTTTTTTTCTACTTGTTTTTCAGTGTGGTTTATAGTGGTACTGATTTGATTTTGGTAAATCAACATTTATTATGACTGTAGTCTTGAGTATATGAGCTCAGCTGTAGTCTAGTTTAGTGGTTATTTAACAATGGATTTAGTTAAAAATCCAGTAGAATGTTCATACAAGGATTAATTTTGTGTTCTTTCTACCTCTTTAGTAAAATAAAACAGGGTCTGTTACCTAGCTTGGAAGATTTGCTGTTCTATACAATTGCTGAAGGACAAGAGAAAATACCTGTTCATAAATTTATTACAGTAAGTTTTTATATTTTTCTATCTTAACTTAAAAAAATCAATAATAATAAATATATACAGTATTATTGAAATATAGTCTTAAAGGTCGTCTGACATGTAGATTCTGACTGACAATATTTCTCTTATTATGTTTTCAAATTTTTGTCATGCTCATTTCAAGGTAATCAGTGAAAGAAAAAGAAAGAAACAATGAGAAACTTGTCCAGAAAGTGGGTAATAGTGACACTAAGATGCCATATTCATGTTCAAGTGTTGGGTAGAAGTTTTTATATACAGGAATAAAATCTTATAGTTGGTATAAGCATATACATTATTTGCACTATATATTTACAAACTCTTATTTTTTTAAAAACAGGCACTCAAATCTACAGGATTGCGAACGTCTGATCCCAGGTTGAAAGAGTGTATGGATATGTTAAGATTAACTCTTCAAACAACATCAGATGGTGTCATGCTAGACAAAGATCTTTTTAAAAAGTAAAAGTTTCTGCCAAACCTTTAATGGTGATTTGCTATGCTATACGGTGATTCTGCTTTTAAAACAAAATTGCATCTTTGAAGGCCACTGCTTCCTGTGTAATGGAAAAAGGGGATTTATAAACATCATTTGTTTGAAGAACTTGGTACATATTAGGTTCTATAATACACCGGGCTAAGAGTATTCTTTCTTTAAATCTGTTCTAAGCAAATTTAGCCACCGATGTTTCCAGTTTACAGTACTTGGAGATTGCATTCAGTTTGAGTAGAGCACATCCTTTGTCCTGTCATTGCTTATATTGATCCCCAATTCATCTGCATGACTTGCACGCTTTCTCAGCATGGTCTCTAGTTCTTTTCCACAAGGTGATTTAGGTGACATCATAAAATGAGAGGGCTTCAGACAGACCTGTGTTCCTCACATTTACATACCTGCATTGTCTGCTCCTCTCCTCTCTTCAGACATATTGATACATAGGCTTTTGGCTATTTTCATTTTCTTCAAAACAGTAAAGAACTAAAGGCAACTTTGGCGATTAAAGCCTTGATTTGGTTGAATGAGAATTTTTACTTTGATGTTCCTGTATTTGCATATATTTATTATTTATCTTCATTAATGTGTTTCTATTAGTTTGATTACTTAAAGATTTAATGGACATGTGTGTAATGGATCCCAAAGAATCAAATAGTATTTTAAACTACTACTATTTAAGTAGAAACTAGTATAAAACTGTAAATACTACTATAAGACATTGGCTTTTTCCAGACATGGATCCAAAAAATTTCTGCATCTACTTTGAAAGTTTGTTATGTATGGTTGTATTTACTTTTGTTTTATCTTCTTTTGGGGGTTGGGTGATTTGTTCTAGATGTCTCCTGGAGTATGAAGTCATCTGAAGGTATAAGTATTTAACTGTGGTTCTCTGAAGTTTCCTGGCATGCTGTGAAGCACTGCTGACAGCTTGGGTTTCTTATCTTTTCACGAGGAGGTTCTTGTTTCTGTTAACTTAGCTGACCTTAAAGTGTAGACTTTAGGTCCGTGTTGCAGTTGGTATTAGGAATTTTGACTTCCAGAACCTGCTTTTTAAGAGACAGAAAAACATCATTTCTAAATTTATTTGTGTCTTTGCGGTAAGGATTATTTTTCGTGTTCATGAACTGTCTGCACAATATTCTGATTAAAGTGCTTTCTGTGGGCATTATTTTGTTGTATCTGTGAATGAAGTTGTTAGAGTAATGGTTGGTAGATCTGTTGATAATCAGTAGGGGAACTGCTTTGGAATTTTAAGTGGAAGCAGTATTTTACACTTTTTTTTTTTAAGAGACAGAGTCTCATTCTGTCGCCCAGGCTGGAGTGTAGTGACATGATCTTGGCTCACTACAACCTCTGCCTCCCGGGTTCAAGTGATTCTCCCACCTAAATTCCCAAGTATCTGGGATTAAGGGCGCCTGCCACCATGCCTGGCTTTTTTGTATTTTTAGTGAGACGGGGTTTCACCACGTTGTCCAGGCTGGTCTCGAACTCCTGACCTCAGGTAATCCATCCGCCTCGGCCTCCTAAAGTTACACGGTTTTAATACTTGAAAAAATATTTATGTTTTGTAAACATGTTGTTATGTTTAAATATGAAATTAAAAACAATTTAAATCCTCTGATTATTAAGCCAGGGAACTGCAAACATTAAATTTTCTGCCTGCAATTAAGAGATAGTAATTATTGTTTTAAACACTAATCCAATTTTTAAAAATCTATGCTTGTAATACAGGCAGTTTCCAACTTGACAAATGTTTTATGGTCTATATGAGCAACCAGTAGAAAAGTACAAGTCTCTAGGGCATAATTATTTCTCTTTATTCTTAGAATGAGGTGGTTCAAAACCTCCAACTGTTAACCTTTTAATAGCTTTCAGTCACCTGGAAAGGTGATTGCTTCAGAGATGTTCTTTTCTCTGTTTTCAAATATAAGAAGTTACCTAGTTAGTGTTGCCAGAAATAAACTTCTCCCTTTCATGCAGCTAGGGAGGAGATGTTAAAACATGGGATTCATTTTTCCCCAGAGAAATAATTTATAAAGGTGGGTAGGTTTGGTTGAAGCAGTGTGTTAATATTTTACCTAAAATACATTGTAGATTAATATTTTTAGACTTTTTCGGTAATCTGAGAAAACTATTATGTGTGACTTTTTTTAACTTGGGAAAATACGTTCTAAGCATACTTTTTGGAGTAAAACCTGTTCGAAAGTTGGAGACTGCCTGTACCCAGGTTGATAGTCAATTGTTTTTAATGCTAGTAAATCTTAACACTAATACAAGTAAAAATATTTGTGTGGAAAACTAATCCTTTCTTTATTCGTGCATTTTTAACTTTATAGGTATTAAAACTTTCTTTGTATGATCATAATTTTTTGATCTTTTTGTTTTGCAAGAAAGTGAATGGTAGCCTTTCATTTGTATGTTTGATTTTCTTAAAAATTTCATATTTATTATGTTATTTTACAAATGAAAAATTATTTGTGAGAAATGTTTTGTCAATCATTGTGCATTAGTTTTTAGTTATAAACACTTAAGGAAAGAAAATGATTATTCCCGGCTTACAGATAAGAAAACTGAACAAAGGACAGAGATATATATAACTTGCTGAAAAGCATAAGCACCTCCTCAGAGTTCATTTTATATGACTTCTCATTTCCTAGTTAGACTCATGGTATCTATATTAAAATAACTCCCAAGAAAAACCTTACTGTTTGGAATGGTGATCGGTATGCAGTTAGATACTCTCCTGAGAGGCAAAATTGGCTTTGTCAGCCTGTTAATATTACCAGTGAAGGCTGTTGGAACAGCTTTACCAGCACCTTCTGCTAGAGCAGAACATTTGTAAAGTTTCACTGAGTGTATAATTTTGTTAATTATAAATCCTTTTTTTTTGAGATGGAGTTTTGCTCTTGTTGCCCAGGCTGGAGTGCAATGGCGCGATCTTGGCTCACCGCAACCTCCGCCTCCCAGGTTCAAGCAATTCTCCTGCCTCAGCCTCCCGAGTAGCTGGGATTACAGGCATGCACCACCACGCCCGGCTAATTTTGTATTTTTAGTAGAGACAGGGTTTCTCCATGTTGAGGCTGGTCTCGAACTCCTGACCTCAGGTGATCTGCCTGCCTCAGCCTCCCAAAGTGCTGGGATTATAGGCGTGAGCCACCGTGCCTGGCTAATTATAAATTCTTTTAAAGGTACTGATTAAAATAGTTAAATGGTAGTAGGTTAATAATTTAAATTTGTTCAGCAGCTCTCATTTTTGCATTTATAACTTCTTGAAAAATGAGGAAGTGCATTTGATTTGTTGTAGATATAAATACTGGTTTAAGATCAGGAATTCTATTTTTCTTTCCTCTGAGAAAGGTGTTCTTTGATGTACATCTCTTGCAACTCTGATACTTGGAAGTTGGATTTTAGAAGCTATTTGAAACATTAAAAATATTAAAATAATGGTAATACTTTTGAGATTAATATTGAAACTATCTGAAAATGATTGCTTATTGAAGTAAATATTTCTTAGCTCTGGGGTGTCAATACTATATAAGTTATGGAAATTAGGACTGTAATTTTTTTAATGTTGTAATAGGGGGATCCTTATGACTGAAACAATAGTCATTTCTATTAGGATTTTATTTTTAAACTGTTAATTTTATATTGAACAAATGAGTATATATTATTCTGAATTCTTATTAATAGTTAAACTGTGAAACCTGGCTTTTAGCTTTAATTTGGTTTCATCTAGAACAACTTGAATTAAAATATTGACATTTAAAAATTTCTCATTTATTACAGACTAAACAAGAAATACTGAGAGTATCTTACTCTTAAGATTTATTATCGTTGGTATTATGGCTTAACACCGTGTTTAGCAAGTCTTCCTTTGTTAATTAAATATTAATTAAATATTCTATTACTGCATTACAGAGACTTAAGAAGCTCAGAATATACAATTGGCTGTAATCCATTTGCAAAACGTTTTAAAGGCTACGTTAATATACTGATTTTCTGGCTTAAATTCTTTTTAGCAAAAAGCAGAATACAGTTCAAATTATTAGATTTCAGAATATCATGCTCTCCCATCCACTTGGTTTACTATATTTTTAAAATACTTTTTTAACAGTGAAACATTTTTATTCTGCATTATATTTACATATCTTACATTAAATAGCATATTGTAATATAACATTTTTGGTGACTCAAATAATATAAAATTAATTATTACACTACTTCATATGAAATTTTATTTCAAATTAGAGATTATTTTTACAAGCATATCAACAGACATTTCATTTAAGACATAAATTAATCTGACTAAACAAAGTTGATATAATTAAGGAAAATATGTTATAATGCAAAATGTTTAATTTTTGAATGAAATGCTAGTAATAGTTATATAAGAACTAAGAGATGTATTTCTGAGATTACTTGGTAAATAAACAAGATCTCAACCTTGGCAGTCTGAATTTTGTTAACCAGATGTCGTCATGCTGAATGTTACCAACTCTGATTGAGTAAGAAGCTTGTTTCAGATGGTCTTAATACTTAAACCTGGTGGAACGCCTTGTCTTAATTTGTGACACAATTTTAGGCACATCCAGATTAATCTCTTACACGTTCAACAGCTTACAAGCAACTACTTGAAAGACTGCTAGAAGGAAAGATAATGTAGAAAGCATAATTTATAGAATTTAGTTGTATAAAATGATAAATTTATCTATTATTTAAATAGTGTCCTAATTATTACTGTTATTACCAAGTTCTGATATTTGAAATGTACCCAGTTTATTAATTATCTTTTTACATTCTACAGATGTGTTCAGAGCAACATTGTTTTGTTGACACAAGCATTTAGAAGAAAGTTTGTGATTCCTGACTTTATGTCTTTTACCTCACACATTGATGAGTTATATGAAAGTGCTAAAAAGCAGTCTGGAGGAAAGGTAATGCTTTTGATGTACATATTTTCATAACCGAATCACTTAATAAATTCAGCTTAATTTGAGGTCTAGAGAGTAAATTGTGTAGTTGTGTTTTGCTAAAGAAAACACTTTAGCTTCGCTTAAGAAATTTAAGTGAAGCCACTGGATTTAGTGTTTTTACGGTATTTTAAATATTTAACTTTGTTATTCTGGTTAAAGAGAAATCTAAGGGTAAGAATTTTTTATTTTCAGATGATGGTGATGGATTTTAAATTTTTAAGTTAAAAAATCTTATTCAGAATTTCTGCAGATCTGATATCCTTCAGTATTAAACGAAATGTTTCTAGTTTTTAAAATCCTGTAAATAATACTAGGAACTATTTGATTTTCATATAGAAAGTTTTCATTTTCTTTTGTTTTAACTTTGGGTAGCTTTAGTATAATCCAGTTGGCCCTTGAACAAAGCAGGGGTTAGGGATGCCAAACCCACACGCAGTCAAAAATCTGAGTATAACTTTTGACTCCCTTAAAACTTAACTACTTATAACTACTGTTATAAGCGTTACCGATAACATAAATAGTCTATTAACACATTTTGTATATTTATTATATACCGAATTCTTACAATAAAGAGGATAAAAAATGGTATTGAGATCATAAGGAAAATATATTTACTGTTTATTAAGTGGAAGTGGATCACCATGAAAGTTTTCATTGTCATCATCTTCATGTTTAGACTGAAGAAGAAGAGGAGGGATTGGTCTTGTGTCTTGGGGGTGGCGGAAGCAGAAAAGAATCTGCATATAATTGCACTGTTTGAAGTTTAAATCCATGTTCAAGATTCAAGTGTATAACAACTTCAGTGTAAATACTTACTACTTACTTTTAAATACTTGATTCCTAATGTTTTAGTGAAACCCTACTAGCACCCATGACCCTGATTAAATAAATTTACTTTTTTCCTGCTTAAAAAAAAAAAAAGTTCAAGTTCCTCTGCTAGACTCTCCTGCTAAACATGAGAAAGAAAGAATGCATTGGAAAATAAGAAATAATAGAGACTGAGAAAAGTCACTTTAGATCTCATAATTCTCAAGTCTGTTTTGCCTTTAGTTTTCATGAGCATTGTTACAGAAGATAGACTATGAAGCCACTGAGTGTTGTAGAATAACTAGTCATTGGTAGAAGGTAAAATGAGATAAGAAATTTGTTGGTGGAAGAAAATACATTATTTGTCAATATTATATCTATTCATTTCTTTCCAATCTTTTGGATAGGTTGCAGATTATATTCCTCAACTGGCCAAATTCAGTCCCGATTTGTGGGGTGTGTCTGTTTGTACAGTAGATGGACAGAGGTAAGTTTATTTCAAATTCATGAAAACCAACTCTAAGCCTTAACTTTTGTATAATGGTGAGAATGACATGGAGAAGATCATCTTTTATAATGGAAATTAGTCCTAACAGGATATAATTTCAAAAGGTAAATAAATTTAAATTTTAATGTAATTTTTAAAAACTCAAACAGTAACATTATATTAAGTTTTATGAGACATCTATTTTATTCACAGTTGTAGTCTTGTTTTTTGAGTATTATTCAAATACCTGCAGTTACCAATTTGTTTCAGAAAAGCAGGCTTGTCAAAACATGACACTATTCTCTAATGAACTGACTACTAATAAAATTAGTCCCTATTTCTCAACTTAACATTGGTAACCCATCTGTCGTTGTCTTTGTTCCTTGTGTTCCTGATAAAATTAGCATGAGAATTAAGACAGTGCAACATAACGTATCCCAAAGTTAAAAGTCAGTTGCAAAACATGTAGGATTTCATGAAGTCCATGAAAGCAGCATTTGGGAATTGCTTACATTGCAGGCACAGCTGCTGACAGATGAGGAACTTGCAGAATTATAAAAAGGATAGTGATGTGAGGGCGCTTTAGAAAGAATGATTTGATTTAAAAATCAAAGAATTAAGAGAGGCCCTTGGAAAATGGTAAAGTTCTAGAATATTTTTTCAAGAATGACCGTGTTCATTGTGCTGGGAATTAGACATAAAGATTGTTATCATCTTATAATTTGGTTTTATTAGAAAATTACGCCAAAGAGAAAAATCAATATTCTTTTTTCACTCATTTTTAAAGACTTAGCTCAGAGATATATTCCTTTGTTTTTTGTTTTTTTATTAAAGTATTTCTGTTTTATCAAAATAGAACTTACATAAGATGTACAACTTGTAAGTGAACACAGCTTGAAAAGTTTATATCAGAGTTGTAATTTTACCTAAATTTCGTTAAAACTACTAAAAGCCGTTTAACCTAGTAATTTTAGATTTTACTTTTCAAGATAATGTTGCAATTAAAAACCTTTTTTCCTTTTATGAAAATTTGATCTTTTATGTTGCCCAGGTTAGTTTTGAACTCTTGGCCTCAAGTGATCTTCCTGCCTTGGCATCCCAAAGTGCTGGGATTATAGGCATGAGCCCCTGCCCCCCAGCCAAAAATCTGTGACTCGTAAGGACCTTCATTTTAGGTGATTTTAATTTTTTTTTACTAATTATCCTCAAGTACTTACAGTAAAAAATATATGGGTTAGCCCATTCATTTTGAAAGTAAGGAATCTGAGGACCATAGTTGACATGATATTGGCAAAGGTGAAATGAACACCTAGGTCTCTTAACTTCTAGTCTATTTTTTCTTTCATTATTATATGCCTTTATCCTCATTTGGGTCAGTAAAATGTACTGAGCAGTCACCATGTGTTGAATTAAATGTTGTGTGCTATGAAGGGACACAATGAAATGAAAAGGCATGGTGACTTTATCCCTTGAAGCAAATTCCGGTAGGGAATGGTATTCCTGTTTTTGCATTTTAGGAAATAATTTATCAAGTAATGGAAGTCTTTGAATTTGAAGAAAATTATTATCATGTAATATTGAATATGATTTTTCTCTTCTTAAACATTCTCTATGTCTCTTAGTTTTTTTATCTAGAGAATTCAGAAAGTTGACTTCAGAACTAGAACATATGTATTTTTAAATCCAAAGGTAGTAAGACAAGCTCTTAATCATTTTTTAGAATGATTGTCAAGTTTGAAGTAACAATCTTATATAGTATAACTATATAGTTTAAGATTATAGTTACACATGAATAAATTTGATAGGAAAAAAATATAGTGCCCAGTTTCATTATGAATGACTTTCACTATGAATGAATGCTTTGTGATGTGTTGGGACATTGTTCAGGGAACCTGGGAGGTATCAGTAAGTAAATCAAAGATCTCTGCCTTTGTGAAGCTTACATTATAATTGGGTTGGCCAGAACTTTTTCATTCCCAAATCTTTTCTCTACTTCATGTACTTCTCAGTTTGGTGGTAATATAAAGCTTTCTTTTTGCTCTGTTATTTATCTGCATGGTAATGATGACTGCCTACTGAACTTAGTGCCAGCTCTGTCATGTTTATAAAACTGGATGCTTTTTTTTTTAATGGGGCCCAGGATTGTGAGTGGATGTGGCTTGCAATATGAGGCATTTGTAGACAGGGTCCCAGAGAATAGTATTGAATCTAAACTGAGTTCTGTTTAACTTTTTAACCATGGTTTAGTCACAGCTTACAGCTCTGAGTTGAAAAAAAGGTGAATAATTTCTAAAAGGGCTAGTTTATTTTATGTGATTGAATACACGTGGGAGTAAGGAGGAGCATGCTCTTACTCTCTTGCCCTCAGAGGAAAATTTCCACATTACATATTTATTATCTACTTTAAAACCATTATTCTGTTACGTGAATACTTTCATGCTTTTGCTTTTTTTCACAGTATTTCTCTTAAAATAAACATAGGTCAATTCTGTATCCATGGGGTCTGCACCCATGGATTCCACCAACCACAGATCGAAAATATTTGAGCCAAAAAAGATGGATAGTTGTGGCTGTAGTAAACATGTACAGACATTTTTTCCTTGTCATTATTCCCTAAATAATACAGTACACCTATTTATATGGCATTTACATTGTATTTGGTATTATAAGTAATCTAGAGATGATTTAAAACACATGGGAAGATGTGTGTAGGTTATATGCAAATGCTATATCATTGTATATAAGGGACTTGAGTGTCCATGGAGTTTGGTATCACAGGGATTCCTGGAATCCACCTCCCACAGATATCAAAGGATGACTGTACTTAAATTTATTCTGTAATTTTGACATAAACTTGTGGTTGAATTATGGGAAAATTTTTGTTGGAATTGTTAACATGTAAAAAGAATAATTCCAACTATGCAGTTACATTTTTTTCCCAGTTGATGTTATTTTTTAAAAATCTCCTTTTAAATAGGCATTCTACTGGAGATACCAAAGTTCCCTTCTGTCTTCAGTCCTGTGTAAAACCTTTGAAATATGCCATTGCTGTTAATGATCTTGGAACTGAATATGTGCATCGATATGTTGGAAAAGAGCCGAGTGGACTAAGATTCAACAAACTATTTTTGAATGAAGATGGTAAGAATTACATAAACATTGGTTGAAAAAAGAAATGTCTCATTTTCCTATGTAAATCTAAGTCGTTTTAAACATTTTTTGATTAAAATTAAAAGTATTTGTCATGTGATTTCTATATAATCCATTGAGAGAGTTTCATCACCTACTTTTAAAAATGATTATTTTAGGCATCTCATACCACTGGGAAGTGGGCTAGGGAGAACATGAACTTCTCTCTTCATAACCACCTTTAGGGAAATATAGCGAAATCTCAAAATACATGAGATTTGCTTTAAAATAATTTAGTTAAGGCAGCTGGGAGTGCTGGGTATGATTATTACTATATGTTGGTAATTATTGCAGCTAAATGATAGGTGCATGGGTGTTTGTATATTATTCTATCTATTATATTGTATATAGTAGTTGAAAGTTTTATTGTGGCCCTGGTTGAGATAGTGAGGATTATTATTTTTCAGTGAGTGTTTTTACTTTTTATCCTTATAACATTAAAAAATTTGAAAGAAATGCTTTGTGTTTAATGCTTGGTTAACAAATCTTTTTACAGGAATTCAAAAGAAAAGGGGAGGACAAAAGTAGTTAGTTTGATCTGATAGAGATTTTAAGTCTAAACATCATTTAGCTGAGTGCAAACTAAGTTAAACTAGTCCCATGGTTTGGTTTCTGTTTTTTAATCTTCTAAGCATATGCTGTGTTTCTGATTGATGAGTTAAGATATAGAATTGAAGAAAGTGAGAGCGAAGTTTGTAGTAATGGCTGTGAGAGATACACTTTTGTACTTTTTTTTTCTGCTGTATAAAAAATGAAATGTGCCTTATACTCATTATTTTATTAGTTTGTAAGATGAAGTCATAAGACTGGTATTTTCTTATGCTTCTCATCCTATTTATTTTGAGAGCAGTTACATTTTCTTTCCCATTTTACCGTAACCTTTTTATTCTGATGCTACGTTTGGTTTTATGGACATTACTGTAAATTAACAACTTCAATAAGGACATCATATGCAGAAGCACTTTATTTACTAAGCTCATTGACATCTAGATTTAATATTGAAAGAATTAATACTGTTATTCTAAAAATACCAAATATTTTAAAAGAAAAATTTAATACTTTTCCATGAACAGCAAAGGAGAATAGACATGTCTAGTGAATTGATGGATTTCGAGGGAGATATTTAAGAAAAAACAAATATAGTAATTTGAATGTTTAGAGGATTTCAGAAACAAAAAAACAAAATGGGCTTGGAGCAAATGAAATTAACAGTATAAGTAATGAATTTTTTTGCCATATATATTTATGGTTTTAGGAATCATGAATTATTGATACTGTATTCTATATAAGAAAAAATGACAAATCAGAGATTTAGAATTGTTTATAATAAGAATAAAACATAAAGTTTAACAAGAGATTTTGCCTCGATATTCATAGACGTTTTCTAAGCCTGAGCCAACACCCTGAGTCTTGAAAGTAACAGTAAATACAGGCTTCACTATATTACACCTTCCTGAATTCTGATTAGAGCCTGTGCTCTTGAGTCCTGATTTAGTTTAGCCCAGCAAAAACAATTTGAAGATCTCGTTCATATTTAAAATTGCAAGGGTAGATTTTTGGTGAAACCATACACTTTTTGTGTGTGTATGTATATATGTGTGTATCTAAAATAATAAATTTTTAAAAAATAAATATATTACTGTTACACCAGCTTTATAAGATTGTGATGATTTATTAAGACTAATAGGGATATGGTAAATAGAGAAATTGTAGTAGTTTTTTTTTTTTTTTTGAGATGGTGTCTGGCTCTGTCCCCCAGGCTGGAGTGCAGTGGCATGATCTCGGCTTACTGCAAGCTCTGCCCCCCGGGTTCACGCCATTCCCCTGCCTCAGCGAGTAGCTGGGACTACAGGCACCCGCCAGCACGCCTGGCTAATTTTTTGTATTTTTAGTAGAGATGGGGTTTCACTGTGTTAGCCAGGATGGTCTCGATCTCCTGACCTCGTGATCTGCCCGCCTCGGCCTCCCAAAGTGCTGGGATTACAGGCTTGAGCCACTGCACCCGGCAGTAGTTTTTAATAACAGTAGTTTTTTTTTTTTTTTGAGACGGGGTTTCACTCTTGTTGCCCAGGCTGGAGTGCAGTGGCGCAATCTCGGCTCGGCGCAATCTCGGCTCACCGCAACCTCCGCCTCCCGGGTTCAAGCGATTCTCCTGCCTCAGCCTCCCGAGTAGCTGGGATTACAGGCATGTGCCACCACCCTGGCTAATTTTGTATTTTCAGTAGAGACGGGGTTTCTCCATGTTGGTCAGGCTGGTCGCGAACTCCCAACCTCAGGTGATCTGCCTGCCTCAGCCTCCCAAAGTGCTGGGATTACAGGCGTGAGCCACCACACCTGGCAATAACAGTAGTTTTAAAATGTTTGCAACATAGAAAGTTTTGGTAGGAGGTGGCTGATATTTTTTATCATTATAAGTGAGCAAACAAGTTACTTTATGGAGATGTCAGTTTTGCAAACTACCATCTCCCAGGGAAGTCTTTTTCTACCTTGTAGTGATCGGGTTAATCAACAAATTATTTATATAGCTTTCCTTGTCTGTATTGTTAACAGCTCTGGAGGGTACATGGGCCTTGCTTCTTGGAATAACTTTTCTGACTACAGGATACAGAAGGCAATTACATATTTCTAATACATAATGGGAGAAGACATACTTAAGCATTGAATACTGTTAGTTGTATTATCTTACAAGTATGTAATTGACAGGTGCCAAAATGTATGTGCTGATTATATGTGTGGAGGATTGAGAAAAAAGAGGAGTTGAGTTAATTTACATGAGGATGACAGGACTGAATTGATAGGATGAATTGTGGATGGTTGGGAAGAATGTGAGAGGGCACTGCACATTTTTTCCAACCATCCTCAATGGGCACTGCACATTCTTCGTAACCATATATATCCCAACCAGATGGAGAATATTTTCTCTATATCTAGAGAATATATTGTAAATGTGTGTAATGTCAGATAATTGAGTTTCCTTAACTCCAGTTTTTATTTGGCACTGTAAAATTCCAATATAATACCGAAAATATAAATATCCAAATTAAATTGGAAATCCTTTTTAATATTTTTCGTTCTTTAGTATATGTATTAGCAAACTTTGCCTCAGCCTCACCTGTGAACAAAACCCTTGTAAGGTTCATATGCTTAGCAGCTTGAAAAGCTTCTTTTGATATAATATGAAAGAATGCTGTGTATTTTATTGCCTTTGGGGAAAATAAATACTTGTTAAAATTGATCTTTTTTTGCATTATAGTTTAAAGCATGTTCATAAATTTCAGATGTCACCCATGTCCATTTTGTCAGTATAACACGCTCTGATATTTCGTTACTTTAAATGATAGCCTTTATTAGTGTTGTAGGTTATTTCTGCCATTCAAAACTTTTTTAAATTAAAAATTCTAAATTAAACCCATCAACTCCATCTTACCTTAAGACAGAGCAGGGAAGCAAGAAAATTTCACGGTCATAGGTCTTAGGCCGAGGTTTTATACTGCAGTTAGGCTGGTGGTGTGTTACATTCTCTCTGGCGGGTTTCCGGATGTTCAGATGTCTGGCTTTTGAGCCAAAGGCAGAATGAGCAATTACATACATCTGAAAATTGGGCTGTCATGCCTTAAAATGATTTAGTGTTCTTTAAGACATCTTGAGTGTAGTATATGTAGCATTTGCAGAGTATTTATCATTTGGAAAATATTTAATACTCACATTTATGTGATACCATTTGGAGTACATAGATTAGCAGTCTTCTAGGACTGTAGAGTCTAAGCCTGATAATGTCAAAAGCTCTGAAATGACAGATAATAAACATCCATACAAATAAAAGTATAAACTAATTTATACTAATTTAAACTAATTTAAACTAATTTGGGATAGGCAAATCTTGATTGTAATAATCAGATATAACACAAAGATTTTATTTTAACTTTTGAAACTTGGCATTATGAATACACCCAAAATGTAGGATATTTTTCTTTTTATTTATTTATTTTTAATTGACAGATAAAAATTGTGTATATGGTATACAACATAGTGATTTGAAATATATATGCATTGTGGAATGGCTAAATCAAAGTAACATACATTACTTCATATATTTATTTGTAATGAGAAGACAAAGTATGCTTTCTTAACAATTTTCAAGTACATATAATACTTGTTATTAATTATATCATGTTATAAAATAGATCTCTTGAACTTATTCCCCCTGTGTAACTGAAATTATGTGTCCTTTGACCAACATCTGGCAATCCCTTCTCCCCCCTCCCCCACTTCTGGTAACCACCAGGTAGATAAATTAAGATGTTGAGGTTCGCTTGTAAATAGATGTTTTCACTGTCCCCAAGATTTTATTTTTGGTGCTTGTGTCATGCAGTGAATGAGAATATAATCAGTTGAGTTTTGAAATTCTTATTTATTGTAAGAATTAGGAGAAGAAATAGGAGTTTGGATTAATGTAAAGTTTTAAGTAACTTTAAAATTATATAAGAAATACAAATATACCTTTATTGTCAGGAAATACAGAAAGCCTAAAAATATCCCCTATAGGCTGTGCATGGTGGCTCATGCCTATAATCCCAGCACTTTGGGAGGCCAAGGCGGGAGGATTGCTTGAGTCCTGGAGTTTGAGTCCAGCCTGGGCAACATAGGGAGATCCTGTCTCTACAGAAAATAAAACATTAGCCAGGTGTGGTATGTGCCTGTGGTCCCAGCTTCTTTGGAGTCTGAGGCTGGAGGATCACTTAAGCCTGGGAGGTCAAGGCTTCAGTGAGCCATGATTGTGCCACTGCACTTCAGCCTGGGCGACAGTCTGAAACTTTGGCTCTTAAAAAAAAAATCCCTTATAATTTTATTATTCTATGTAAATCACTTGTTTGTGTTTTGAAATCCTTCTGTGTATGTGCTTGTATATAAAGATAAAAATAAAGCACTAAGAAAAAAGCAAAATTGAGTACGTTAGCTGTGCTTTTTCCAAGGTCATTTTTAGTATAGTAATATTACTCAAGTGTTTAAGTATTTGAAATAATGGTATTGCTTTTATATTTTACAGATAAACCACATAATCCTATGGTAAATGCTGGAGCAATTGTTGTGACTTCACTAATAAAGGTAAAATGTTGATGTTTCATTTTAACCTAGTAAAACTTTTTTTTTTTAACAGCTAAGGCATAAAGATGAATCTGGGATTATTTATGTAGAATTATGAAAAATTTTCTCTTGGTGTTAAGAAATTTGTCTTATGGTATAGTGTTAGGATCTTTATTTCAAAATAAATGATGTAGTCATTTCAAGGCAAAATTAAAACAGATGACTCATTGTAAATTCCAACAGTCATTTACTCTTGACTTGAAGATCTGGAAAATATTTAAAGTCTGCTGAAGAAAGGCATAGAGGCTTTTTTTTTTTTTTTAAAGTTTTGATATTTTTCCTTTCGTTTCCTTTTGGTTCTTCCAGAATGAACAGTTATAAATAGAATTAAAGGCATTTTACTGTATATTTGTTATTAGTATATGTGGGAACAAATGTTCTGGTACTTAAGACAAAGTACATTTACCCTCAAATATTCTCAAGTCTTTGATACTCTCATGAGCTGAAATCACAGTTTTTATTGGAACTTGTTTCATTTGGTTTTACTTAAATCATGCCATAATTAAAATAAATAAGGCTTATTCCAATTATGGAGTTATATTTTCTTATGCTTTGAAATTTGCATTGTAAGGGTTTTTTTTTTTTTTAGTGTTTGGTTTGCGTTAATAATTGGAAGATCTAGTATTTTAAAATAAGTATTTGAAAATGGTTCCTGTGTGATAGATTTTTAAATCTACCACACGATTTTAGATGTTTCAGATTTTTAATTTCTAATTATAAATTTTATTTATATTTAAATAAATTTTATTTATGTTTGGAACATTTGTATACTTCTTTGGTAAATCTGTGCCTATCTATTCCAAGTTAGAGGAAAGCATAACTACATGGCCTTGTAAATGCATTACTGTGGATAAGGTACCCTGGTTACATGAAGGATATTTGAGTATAAATGATACCCTTGGCCCAGTTCACAAAATTTCATCTAACTTGTATACTAGAAAGCCTTTCTTAACTTTTAAGAGTTTTATATCTGTGAGAAAAAGCTTTTAAAATAGAAGGCTGGTATCTTAAGAATCTATATGTTTACTTGTTACTTCAAGGCAAATTCTTTGAAAGTATTGGCCCATTTAATTCTTATAACTCTAATGAAGTAGATGTTATAGCCAAGTGTTTTTAAAATGTAACTAATTGTAATAGGATATGGAGAAAGCTGTCAGTTTGAGCTGAAAGAAACTTGAAAATGCGATTATTTGCAAGGCACAGTCCTAGCTTTAGGTAGCTTACTTTGTAGTGTGGGATATGCAAAAGTAAATGGGTCCTTATAAGAAAATTCAATAAATGCTGTGATGAGAGAAAAGCCTCATTAATAATTGCTTAGATTTGAACAAGTAACTTAAAGTAGAAATAAGGAAACACATACTATAATGTATGTGTTAATGCTTGATGACAAAAACACCAAAAGTGTTTCTTCCCAGAAAAATATCCACATACCATAATTTTACATAAACTTTCAGGTGTTCACTACTCTTCGAGGCTGATCCATGGGTCCTAGTTTAAGAACTTTTAAACTGAAGAGAGATTAACATACACTACGCATAGTCTCAAAAGGGCTTATGTAAATAATTAATAGAAGACTTCCTTCACTGCACACAGTTAAAAATCTTTCATTTAATGATTCATGGGTTTAACAGACTACACCGAAATGCTGCATGTGGGAATTGCATGTCTGGTTATCATATCACACTATCATTTCATTAGTTTCACTTGCCATGTTTAGTCATGAGTCATAAACTATACATTGAGCTGCATTTTAGTATGAGTGATTATAAACAAAGTTAAAAGATACATACAACATAAGTGTGGTTCAGTGTTCAACAGTGCAAAAATTTAATTGAGTCATCTTGTACCTACAAATTTGATCAGTGATTTTCATAAAAATTTAAATTTACAGGCAAAGTTGGAAATGAGGCTTCAGGATATGGTTTATATTTAAGGTCACTTTCTCCTGAGTTTTTGTTTTGTTTTTAGCATGTGTTTCACAAGTGCTTTTTTTTTTTTTTTTTTTATGAAGTTCATACAAATCTTGGAGAGCAAAGCCTGATATAACCCTATGTAAAATTGAATGCCCCAGAATATGTAATATTTTTCTTAGGATCTTTTAGGGAAAGGATTAAATTCATATAAATATCTATAATGTGATCTCTGCAAATTGTATGATCACATAATATTTATAAATTGGTATTGGTTTGAAATTTAGGTAATAAAACCATAGCCAAAAGGCCTTAAAAATTGTCAAACCCAGTTCTCTTACTTTATATAACGGAGGAAACTGAGAACCTGGCAAGGTTGTAACAGCAGTAGAATTGGACTTGAACTAAATCTCCTGATACTCAATGTGCTGTTCATTACAATTCACTCTGCCATATTTAACGTAGGTGTTTGCCATTTCTCTTGATGACATCTTTAATTTTAGTTAGCATAGTTATATTGCCCCAAATGCAGAAGTACTATTTCCTTAATTTGAACTGGTTCAAACGATAACAATTTATTGGTTTAAAAGTTGTATCTCATTTGATAGCAAGTGTTACGTAGTCATTCTTCGGACATTAGTCAGTAAAGAAACAGGCCCTTTTCCAAGATGCTTGCATCTGAGTACCCAAAGCCACGGATATTTCACCATGGCTACTAGAGGTGAATTCTGTTTTTAGCTCTTTTAATTGATGACCTTAAGGCTATTTGTGATTTTTTTTTTTCTTTCAAAATTCAGGAATTTATCATGGTGCCATTAAAATCATTTTCTTCATGTTAATCCCCCCACCCCAAAATTAAGTAGAGTCTTTAGTAAGACTCTTGATTTCATAATTTTGTAGTATTGATATTTTTTCCTTGTAGGATTGGTGGTGATCCTCAGGAAATGGGGGAAGAGGCAGAGCAAATGTTCAAAAGGATTAGCAGATTGTGGAAAAAAGGAGAATTTGGACAGAAGGAGCCTGTTGCATAAATTCTTAACTACTAAGCTTATAGGAAAACTCCAATATTTAAAATTTTAAACAAAGCTATATAGGTAAATACCTTTTTAAAAACAAATGTAATTTTATACTTAAAATGCACATAATTTTTAAAAATCATAAGGGTATTATACTTCCTCTCTTTTTCTCTGTGGTAGCTACTAACTTTAAAGGAATACTTTTTGTTGTAATCTGTTTTATTTGGGATTGTGATAATGTGTGATTGCTTGATTAAAAGGAAAGAACAAAAATAAATTTGAAAGGAACAGTTATTTTTATATGATGTAGCAGTATCCTTACGTATTTGTTTTCTTTTCACTGGTAAAAATTTCACGTAGTTTTAGTTTAAAAGTTAAGATCTGGTGATAACTTAAGGGTTAGGATAGGAAAATGAGGACAACATACTGCAAAATAATTGCCACACTTAATGCTTTTTCATGTTAGAAATAGTAAAAGTTACACTGTCTTCTATGTTTTTACCTCTCAGAGTTTTTTGTTTTTTGTTTTTTAGAGACAAGGTCTCTCTCTGTTGCCCAGTCTAAGTGCAGTGGTACAGTCATAACCCACTGCAGCCTCAAACTCCTGTGCTCAAGTGATCCTGCCACCTCAGACTCCAGAGTAGCTGAGACCACAGGCACAGGCTACCATGCAGGGCTAATTCTTTATAAAGCTAGGGTCTTGCCATATTGCCCAGGCTGGTCCCAAACTCCTGGCCTAAAGTGATCCTCCAAGTTTGGCCTCCCAAAATGCTGGGATGACAGGCATTAGCCACTCTACTTGGCATGCCTCATTCTAGTGGTAGTTTCCAGTTTTTGTCATTTAAAGAAGTTCAATTTTCTTTTTAATCAAAAGTATTTTTGAATTTTAAAAATTAGGGTTTTTTTTCTTTCTCTTTAAACAATTTGTAATCATACTCATTGAAAATCAAGACAAGCTTAGTTAATGTATATGTGATGTTCAGTTTGGTTATGTTAGCAATAACCTGTTAGGCATGCTTATAAGACAGGTTTTTAAAGTAGTTTGTGACTCTCAGAGTAATGCATGATGCCTTGGACTTGCAACATTCAGAAGACAGGATTATATTGGTTTATTTACTTCTTGTTTATATCAGTTTATGCTTTAGTTTTTTTTTTTTAATGAAAGGTAGAGCATTTATTGTCAACTGAAAATTGTTCTGTTACTTTATTTTTAGGGTTGATCTATGAAAATACTAGATCTAGAAAAACATTCTTTTTTACCTGGAGTGTCTTATTTTTTATTTTCCTAATACTCTTTAGCTTTAAACCATTTTCTATCATAAGACTAAATTAAGAGTATTTCACAAAATCGTTTTTAGTTACCTCTTTTTGCCTTTTTCCTCTATGATCTCTAATTTTTAATTGGCTTGCACCTCCATACTTTATGAATGGAATCAAGTGCGATACTTACAAAATAACTCTGATGCATTGATTTTAAATGAGCCATTTTATTATTAAATTTATTGGCAGATGTCCTTGTTAACAGTGTTTTTCACCTGTTATAAAGTATAATACATGAATCAATTCATAAATATGTTGTAAAAACTATAAAACATTGCAATATAGTTACATTAATTTTTTAATAGATAATGTTAAAACTCAGTGCCTCTATCAAATTTTCATTCATACAGTATTCTTCAAAGGAATGTAAATTCTGTAACTTGACAGGCATATTTACAGAAAAATTTTATAATTTACTTTTTTTTTTTGAGACGAAGTCTTGCTTGTCGCCCAGGCTGGAGTGCAGTTCTGCCTCCCAGGTTCACGCCATTCTCCTGCCTCAGCCTCCCGAGTAGCTGGGACTACAGGCGCCCGCCACTGTGCCTGGCTAATTTTTTTTTTTTTTTTGTATTTTTAGTAGAGACAGGGTTTCACCATGTTAGCCAGGATGGTCTCCATCTCCTGACCTCATGATCTGCCTCCCTCAGCCTCCCAAAGTGCTGGGATTACAGACGTGAGCCACCGCGCCCGGCCTAAATTTGTATAATTTTCTGGTACCAGAATCTGATTACCCTTTTCAAACAACCCATATGGGTTTGTTTTTTAAAAATCATTTGGTGAGTGGATTAGAAATTTTGATAAGTATATTTCTTCCAATTTGGTTTATTTTAAAAATGTTTCTACTGTATTTACTACAAATGATTATAGCTTTTTCAAAAATAATACAGTATCTAATAATGCTTGTACAGTGATCTTCAAACTGGGATAAATATATCTTTGGATTCCATACTTGGAATTCTTTCCAAGGAATAAAGGGGCATTGACAGTTTTAAGATAAGTCAGTTTCAAAATCTGTTTCTAGATGCGCCTTTTAAAAAATTAATCTGCCTTTAGTCCAGGTGTCCTCCTATTTTCCAAAAGAAAGACATAGTCTCATGTCTTTCAAATTTTAGTACAGTGCACTGCTTCACATTGTAAAAACCTCAGCCCACCAGCAAAAGAGGACATTTTGAAATATTAGAGTCAGTGTTATTAAGGGTGTGAACCATTGTAATAACTGGTAATAAGTCCTGTTATATACTAGGTTGTTTCCAGTTCTTTGGTTTCAGCAAAATCGAAAGGGAATCTTAAGTTGTCAGTCAATAGGAGCATTAGCATAATTTTTGAGGCTAGAGTACTGTATGACTTTTGGCATGTAATGAGCTGGAGGCATATAAAGAACTGAGTAACATTGCTATAATAAAACTTTTAAAATTTCAATCTACTTGTCTATTATAAGCAATTCACACCTCTGTAAAAATTAAAAATCGGAAGAGAATTAGTCCTGAGTTCATTCTAGCAATAGAAGATATCCACTGATATATGAACTAAAAATCAATTACTGTTTCAAATGGGAAAGAAAAATACTCAAAAGGAAAATCTTACAAATTAGTATGGGAAATTATTAGCAAATAAATATTTTTCCTTTAATTTTTTATTGTGAAAAAATTCAAACATACAAAATACACGAGTATGACCAGCTCTCATTTATGCATGCCTAGCTTTTATTTTTGTTAACATCTGTTTCTCCACCCAGCTCACCCCACTACTCCATAATGATAAAGATAATGGATTTTTTATCATTTTTAGTTTTGATTTTGCATTGGGGGTGGTTTACTCTCTTTTGTATATGTAGGCATGTGCTTTTCCTAAGAGCTTTGCAAATAAACTTTTTACTGTAACTTTTTCAGAATTAATATGACATGTTAATGATTATTAGATCTCATCTATCCTTGGGGTACATGGAGTCGTTCCAAGAGATACACAAGCAGATATAGTTTATTGACTTAAGTTAAATGCCATTTCCAGGGTAAATAATATGAACAAACAATAATCAAATGCCTTTACATTTAAATGAGGAAGTATGGGGGAGAAACATTCTTTAGTCAATGCAATTATTCAATACAGGCATACCTCAGAGATATTGCAGATCACCTAACTAAAGTGAAGATTGCAAAAAAGCAAGTCATACCAATTTTTTCGTTAACCAATGCATACGGAAGTTGTGTTTATACTATAGTAAGTGTGCAGTAGTATTGCATCTAAAAAAAAACAGTGTGAATACCTTAATTAAAAAATATTTTATAGGTAAGAAATGCTAAGGATCATCGGAGCCTTCAGTGAGTTCTAATCTTTTTGCTGGTGGAAGGTCTTGTCTTGATGTTGATGACTACTGACTGATAATGGTGGTGGTTGCTGAAGATTGCGGTGGCTGTGGCAATTTCTTAAAATAAGACGACAATGAAGTTGCCACATCAATTGACTCTTACTTTTATGAAAGATTTCTCTGTAGCATGCAATGCTGTTTGACAGCATTTTACTCAGAGTAGAACTTCTTTAAAAATTGGAGTCAGTCCTCCAAAACTCTGCCACTGCTTTATGAACTAAGTTTATGGAATGTTCTAACTCCTTTGTTGTATTTCAATGATCTTCAGAGCATCTTTACCAGAAGTAGTTTTCATCTCAAGAAACCACTTTCTTAGTTCACTCATGAGAAGCAACTCCTCATCCGTTGAAGTTTTATCATGAGATTGCAGCAATTCAGTCATATCTTCAGGCTCTACTTTTAATTCTAGTTCTCTTGATATTTCCATCACATGTGTGGTTACTTCCTCCACTTGGACCCCTCAGTCATCCATGAGGATTGGAATCAACTTCATTTGAACTCCTGTTAATATTGATATTTCGACCACCTATGATCATGAAAGTTCTTAATGATATTTAGAATGGTGAATCTTTTCCAGAAGATTTTCAGTTTACTTTGCCCAGATCCATTAGACAAATCACTATTATTGCAGCTATTGCCTTATGAACTGTGTTTCTTAAATAGTAAGACTTGAAAGTTGAAGTTACTCCTTGATCCATGGGCTGCAGAATGGATGTTGTGTTAGCAGGCATGAAAACAACATTATGCTCCTTGTACGTCTCTATCAGAACTCTTGGGTGACTGGTGTGTTGTTAGTGAACAGTAGTATTTTGAAAGAAATATTTTTTTTTTTTCTGGCTGGTCATGGTGGCTCACACCTGTAATCTCAGCACTTTGGGAGGTTGAGGTAAGAGGATTGCTTGAGCCCAGGAGTTCAAACCAGTCTGCTCAATATAGTGAGACTCCCATCTCTATTAAAAAACAAAATCTTTTTGAGCCGTAGGTTTCAACAGTGGGCTTAAAATATTCAATAAACAAGGTTGTAAACCGATGTGGTCTTATCTAGGCTTGTTATAAGCCCAGGCAGGGTAGATTTAGCATAATTCTTAAGGACTCTAGGGTTTTTGGAATGATGAATGAGCATTGGCTTCAACTTAAGGTTACAAGCTGCCTTAGCCCCTAACAGGTCAGGCTGTCCTCTGAAACCAGACATTAACTTCTTTTGGCTATGAAAGTCATAGATGTCATCTTTCAATAAAAGGCTGTTTCATCTACATTTAAAACCTGTTGTTAGTGTAGTCACCTTCATCACTGAAGTTAGGTAGATCTTCTGGGTAACTTGCTGCACCTTCTGCATCAGCCCTTGCCATTGTTTCACCTTGTACTTTTATGTTATGGAGACGGCTTCTTTCCTTAAACCTCATGAATCAACCTCTGCTAGCTGCAAACCCTTTTCCGCAGCTTCCTCAATTCCCTCAGCCTTTATAGAATTGAAGAGAGTTAGGGCCTTGTTCTGAATTAGGCCTTGGCCTAAGGGAAATTGTAGCTAGTTTCATTTTTTTTTTATCTAGACCACACAAATTTTCTCCATGTTACCGGTTATGCTGTTTTGTTTTCCATCATTTGCGTGTTCATTGAAGTTCCATTTTTAATTTCCTTCAAGAACTTCAAGAAATGCAAAGGAAACTTCATTTACAACTTGGCTAACTTTGGTGCAAGAGGCTCAACTTTTGGTCTGTTTTGGCTTTCAACATGCCTTTCTTACTAAGCTTAATAATCATTCTAGCTTTTTAAAAGTGAGAGATATACAACTCTTCCTTTCACTTGAACATTTAGAGGCCATAGTAGGGTTATTAATTGGCCTGTTTTCAATATTGTTGTGTCTCAGGGAATAGGGGTCCCCAAGGAGAGGGAGAGAGATGGGAATGAACAATCAGTGAAGCAGTCAGAACATATACAACATTTATAGGTTAAGTTGGCCATCTTATATGGACATGGCTTGTGGTACCCCAAAACAAGTGTAATAGAGCAAAAATGACTGATCACAGATCCCCATAAGACATCTAATAATTATCAAAATGTGACACAGAGACACAAAATGAGCACATACTGTTGGAAAAATGGTGCCAGTAGACTTACTTGATGCAGGGTTATCACAAACCTTCAATTTCTTAAAAAATGCACTATCTGTGAAACACAATGAAGTGAAGCTCAATAAAATGAGGTGTGCCTGTATTTTCTTTTGCTCTATTTACATAATCTGTCTAGAGAATGTTGAGTACCCAAAATGTTATACTGTATAATGCTAGACATTGGTAAATACCAGTTGTTTCTTAAAAACAACGTTAAGAGCAAAACTTAATTGTGCTTTAATTTAGTAAGTCACAAAATAGACCAATTATGTGACCATAGTCTAGAGTTGAATGGTTTTTATTTTTGTGTATTAAACATGACAGCCCAATGAAGAAAACTTGTAAGAGTTTTATAGGGTACAGTTTAGGTCACAGAATGAAGTTCAACATAACTTGTTTATTTTACATTGATTGTTTAACCAGTAATTATCCATATGACATCCCAATGCAAATGCTGACATCCATTTCCAAAAGAGTTGTTTTTTTGTGCTTTTTCTAAGGTTACAAAGGTTTTTGTGGTTTAAATGTTGTTACATATTTTACAGCATTAGGATCTATGGAATATTTTGACAACTGCAACAGTTCAATGAAGTTGGTAATTTCTTCTTTTAATTATTTTTCATTGAACAGCTTTGGAGTTACATTTCTACATTTTGATTTCTGGTATATTATAAGGAAAGAAAAAATTATGTCAAAGGATACTTTAGAGAAAATACATAGATAGTGATTACAATATGGCTGTAATTAAATTATCCTTAATCTTGTTGAAGTTTTGTTAGTGCCTAATTTTGATGAAATAGTATGGTGTTCCTTCCAGCTACTGATTGTATATATGTGATTGCACATCTTTCTTAAAAAAGTGGATTTGTAGGTTTTCACATATTGTCAGCCACACTCTAATCCTCTTGTAAAGAATGAACCTGGCTTTATTCAATTAAATAATTCTCTGGTACAGGTTTTCCTCCCATAATATTTTAAAGTACAATGTTTTGGGTTTTTTGAGGGTAAAGTAAAAGAAAATATGTTTTAAAAACTTTAGTTGTCAAATTATTTTATTTTAAGCCTATTTTAGAAATTAGAGATGTATTGTTTCTTTTGGGTGCATATCACCAATTAATACGTTTGATTTCAGATCTACAACTTACTGCTTTGTAAACTTCGCCGAGGTAAAATGAAACCATTTGGCTACTTGAACTGATCTACATTACATAGATTTTTCCTATTGACATTTGCAGTAGATAACATGTCAGAAATGAAAGTGATGAAACAATACATCTTCCATATTCTGAATTGGCATAATGCTAAATACAACAGAAGCTAATTTTTTAGAGACTGTGAAATATAATTTTTTTTAGTTCAAGTATATTATAGCAAGTGAGAGCTATTAAGAATAGAGCTTTCTCTGCAGTAGTAAAATGCAACCAGAATGTTTGCATATACTGGAATTAAAAGATTAGTTTTGCAACATAATTCATTTTTCTAACTCTGATATTAGTTTAAGGATTTAATAAAATATAAGTAGATTGTTCTTAATTGAAATATTTTATATATACTTAATTCTTTTCGAAGGGTGAAACTTTATTTTAAGTTTTTTTAAATATAAGATTAAATAAATAACACATTTTAGCAAATTATGTGCTGTCATGAAAGATAAGGGAATTCATGGTAACTTGTATTTAAAATTCTGTAACTTTGGGTTGGGTAAAGATATACTTAAAATAAAGCATTCCCTTTGTAATTCTAATGCATTCTCAACATATGGGTATTAAATAACATGAAAAAAAGTTTATATAAATGTTAAATTACTTTAGAACTATTTCCTAGATTTAAAAATACTAATGCAGTATATTATAATAGTAGCTTTGAAATTTTGATATTGGCTTGAAACTTAACTGTAGTGGTACCTATATTAACGTATTTATGTCTCTTATTTTTTTGCAGCAAGGAGTAAATAATGCTGAAAAATTTGACTATGTAAGTGCAACATGTCATTCAGTTTTCATGCCACATTCTCTATATATTTGTTTTTTGATTACTAATATTCCCTACTTTTGGTTTCTAGGTCATGCAGTTTTTGAATAAGATGGCTGGTAATGAATATGTTGGATTCAGTAATGCAACGTGAGTGTTTTAAATACTGTTTTGTTACGTAAAAACACACAACTGTATTTAGAATTGATCCACTCTCTTTTCATTGGAGGGAAATGAATGATTTCTAAATTACCTGACAGAAACACTTAAAAATACTTTAAATAGTTTTGACAAATTTCTTACAGGTAATCATACAATCAGAAGAGACCCCAAGTTTATCTCAAATTACTGGTGCTTATTCAGTTTTATCTTTGCTTGTAATACCTGTCTTACCTCTCTTCTATTTCTGTTCCAGGCTATCTGGATTTTTACCCCAATTTTTTATTTTAAAATTTGTGAGTCTATAGAAAAGTTGAAAAAATAAATATCTGGAATCTTTTACTTATATTTTCTAATATTTTGTCTTACTTGCTTTTTCTCAATCTCTGTCTCTTTAGATAGATAAAAAATATGTATGTATACCTCTAAACACAAATATGTAAATATATATGTACATAGATTTTTTTTCCCTAAACCATTTCAAATTAAGTTGCAGGCATCATACTTCACCCTTAGATAAGAAAGCACATACAGTCTAAGAATAAGGACATTCTCCTACATAACCACAATACCATTAACACATGTAAGAACGTTAACGTTAATTTTAAAATATCATGACATTAATCAATATGTAAATGTCCCCATCTCTTCCCCAAATGTCTTTTACAACTTTTATTATTATTTTTTAGATTCAGGAACAAATCAAGGTTCTTACATTGTATTTATTACGATGTCTGTTTTGTCTCTTTACTTAGAACAGTCCCCGTGCCCTTGCTTTCACAAATTTTATTAAATGGCTTTTATTTTTAAAGAGTGCAGGCTGCTTGTTTTATAGACCAGGGGTTGCTGACTTTTTCTTTGAAGGACCAGACAGTAAATATTTTAAGCTTGTGTACCATACGGTCTGTGTTGTAACTTCTCAGTTCTGCTGTTTAGTAGAAAACAGCCATAGACAATATGAGGGTGTGTTATAAAAAACTTTATAAAAACAGGCAGCAGGCCGTATAGTGGATGTTTCCCATTTTGTATTTGTCTGGTTCCTTGTCATTAGAAACACTATAATGTTAAACGTTATCGTAATATTATTATGTTAAACAGTTTTAGCATGTATACTACTATTTTATTCTTATTTTGCACTTCCTGCTTCGCATTTCAGGGGTAAACATTTTCAGGTTGCATGGCTTCCCAACATTAATTCATCAGCTTAAGTATCTTTTCCAGGAAGTATTCCATGAATCTCAACTTGCCTCTTTTCTGTGCTCTTCTGTTACCATATTTTATCAAACTTATTACATGTCTCTCTTTGCCCCATAACCACCATTAGACTCTGCCCTCCTTAAGACCTAGATGGAATGTTGTGTCTTCCAGTTCATTTCTGTATCCCTGTTATCTGGCAGATAATAGGCACTTGAGATAGTGTTGAAGAACTATGTGTCAGTCACTGTGATAACTGCTGACTAGTTAGTCATTTATCTAAACTATGTTGATGTTTTTTTTAAAAGTACGGCAAATTGATAAGAATTTGAAATGTTAAAATGTGCAATTAGAAGGGGCTGTCCACCTCAGTGATATAAAGAACATTAACCACAGTTCCTCTAATATCAGCAGCCCTTTTAGACTTGTAGGGCAATTCTCAAATATACCGCAAATTAAATCTGTCTAAATCAAAACTCATTCTCTTTCTTTCCAAACTGCTCTTTGCTCTAGAGATAGATCCCTGTATCAGTTAATATTATTATCCTCTCAGGCTATGTTAGAAATTCAGGCTTTGTATCAGTCTTTACTCTGCCTCTCCTTTTTCTCATCAGGTTGGAAGATTATCCAACTACTTGCATATTTGATCATACCTCTCCTTCCATTCCTATCACAGCTGCCTAAATTCAGGCTTTTGTAGCTCTCATTACAGTATTCTCTTAATAGATCAGTCATCACTTCTTTTTCCCCTTTTTCAAACTGATGTCAGAGTTATCTTTCCAAAATGCAGATCTGATTAGGTAACTTCTTTGTAAGCCCTCAGGCTTTTGTTTTGTGGGTAGTCAGGAGCTATTAATTATTTGGCATCTATTGGTTTTGATAATTTGGTCCCAGTCTCCTTTGTTTGTTTGATGTTTTCCCACTCCTCTCCATGTGCCATTCCCCAGTTACATCAGAATATTTGCCATTCTTCAGTGGAGCCCTGTCTATATACTTTTCTAACCCGTTCATGATGCATGGAATTTGCCAGTGCCTAGGCCTCACCCTGAAATCTATTAGTCCATTGAGTCCTGCAAGATCCATTTTGTGTTTCCCACTCTCAGTGAAAGTTCCATGATTATGTCAAGTTCCCTGATTATGTCAATTAAAATGGACTCTTATTGTACTTTTGGGTAGCCAGAGGATTCTGCAGTTTTTCAGTGTATTTTAATGGTAGAAGATTTGAGAATTTTAAAATTAGCATTTTTGTTTACAAAATATGAAGACTAGAAAGGACCTGAATTCGTTTCAGTCATTTTATAGCCAAGAAAATGAAGATTGAAAGAATTACCACTTAAATGACTTGTCCAAAGTCACACAAATAGCCTATTGACAGAATTGATTGGAACTCTGTAGTCCTGAATCTTAGTTCAGTGTTCTTTATGCTGTACATTGCTATGCAAATGAAATTATGAACAATCACACTTTTAAAGAAAGTACATAGAGCAAATGTTTTTTTTTCTTCTTCCAGGTTTCAGTCTGAAAGAGAAAGTGGAGATCGAAATTTTGCAATAGGATATTACTTAAAAGAAAAGAAGGTTTTTAAATTTTTGTTTCTATTTCAAATTATTCTTTCATTTAATAAAATACATGAAGATGTATGCTAAGAATTCAACAATAGCCTTTAAGCAACTACCTATTACTATTTAAGGTGCAGAAGTTTTTGCAGAGTGCTCGTGAGTCAGTGTTATCAAATTGTTAATGTTATTGTTAATTTGATTTGTATCTGGCAGCATTTAAATATTTGACTCATATTATTTATTAATACAAATTTTGTTTGAGGTTTAGTCTATTTTTTCAAAAGCATGATGCCTGATTACTGTTAACTACTCTTGATTTTTTTAAGTGGCTGGTCTAGTAACTTGATTTATAAATCATGAATCATTTTATCATTGTCAGTTAAACTAGTATCTAGAAACTTACATGATGTGATAAAATTTTGCTTTTTTATTTCATGTTTATACTCTTTTAGAAGTTACATGCTATTTTATTAATTAAAATGAAACACTTGTGTACATTTGAAATTTTTCATATATTTCTCTACTTATGTGCATTCCTGTGTGCCTGAATTTTTAATTGCCTTTCTGGTTTTTTTAGTGTTTTCCAGAAGGCACAGACATGGTTGGTATATTAGACTTCTACTTCCAGGTAATCTAATTATGTAAATCGTATATATAAATGGATGTGTCGGCTGGGCACGGTGGCTCACGCCTGTAATCCCAGCACTTTGGGAGGCCAGGGCAGGTGGATCATGAGGTCAAGAGATAGAGGTCATCCTGGCCAACATGGTGAAACCCCATCTCTACTAAAAATACAAAAATTATTCGGGTGTGGTAGTGTGTGCCTGTAGTCCCAGTTACTTGTGAGGCTGAGGCAGGAGAATCCCTTGAACCTGGAAGGCCGAGGTTGCAGTGAGCCGAGATCACGCCACTGCATTCCAGCCTGGCGACACAGTGAGACTCCGTCTCAAAATAAATAAATGGATGTGTCACATTATGCAAAATATAGATGTCTCAGAAATCTTGGTTCTAGGCCATGAGAAAATACATTTTCCATTGACTTTCAAAAATGTCTTCATAAAAGGCAGTCTCATGTCCATGCATGTTGCCTAAAAATTCATGCCTCAAAATGTAATGGGGACAATTTTTTCTGTAAACATATTTAAGAATTGTCAAAAATAATGAACACTCCCAGAAATTGGCACTCTTAATTATAAACTGGGCTCTAAATTTTTCGTAGCTTTTACATTTTGTTTGGGAAAAGCTTTATTTTTTATTTTTTTATTTTTTAAATCAGAGGGCTCTTATTCAGCATTTAAAAGTGTCAGTGTCTCAGCTGACTTGGTATCTTGTAATTTCTTTGTTACTACTCTATCCTGGCTTAACTGGTGCTAGTTCATTTCTGCAGTGTCATATGTCGGGCTTTCTTGTAAGTTAGAGTAGCTCTCAATATTGAGGGGGTGGGGTTGAGCGAGAGGGACCGTGTTACGCACAATGGGCTATGGTATAGAACTCAATTTAGAATAGCCTTCCTGGAGATCTCTTCTTTCACCCACATTTTCAGCTCAATTTATTCTTACAGATTTAACACAGTTGGTGCCACTGATGGGGCTGTAATGTGAAGCCACATAGGAGGCTACATTATTGTTAATTTCTAGTTCACCTTACATTTGCCTGTCTTTACTATTAAAGGTTCCTTAATTTTAACCTTTCAGTAATCTTAGAGAATATATAAGGGAGGTTGATAATGAGTTAGATTTTGATAGATGTCCAGGTTGCAGCTTTTCATCGGCCCAATGTGAAAAACCGTAAATTGGGAATCCAGACCATCAATATAAAATTTAAGGTCTAGCCTGGCCACTTATTAGCCATGTGACCTAATTTTAGTTACTGATCCCTAGTTTCCTTATGTGTAGTATATGCGTCACCTGCCTTGCCATATTATGTGGAAGATAACATGAGATGATATGTGAAATTCCTTTGAAACTAGCCTTTTTTTTCCCCCTGGTCTGTATGAATTTTTTCCGTAAGTTTCTTTTCCTTTGGAATACATATTTAAATTTGGCTGTTATAGAATCTACTGTAATGTGACATTTCTATACTTCATTGCAAAAATCAAGAAACAGCCATAGAAGTGGTACTGACTTTTTTGGAGAAGGGCTGCATCAAATTGAACGGCCATTGAGATTAGCAGGAGAGTACCCGAGTTGGCATTTGGCAAATTAAGAATGTGCTGCCTTATGACAAACAAAATTCCAATTAATGTTAAGTATAAATTAGGAAATGATCATTGGAATTCAGAAAGCCTTGCATGATTAAGTCGACCTTATCACAAATCTTTGCTATCTGGGGCAGTATTGCAAGTCGATTCTGTCGTTTTTGAGAAATAGGGAAGAGATTTTTTATATAAATAGGCAATGTAGTCAAAGTTAAACACACAATGTTCTAATTCACTGTACTTAGTTTTCCTCCTTGCTATTTCCAAACCCCTTTGTGCCTCTTGTAGATCTTGGAGTATGGCTGAGGAAAATTTATAAGTTGAACTCATTCTTCTCCTATCCACTTTATTTTTTGACCCCGTCTCATCCCAATTTTGCTTACTATTAGCTAAAAATAAAATGTGGAAAAATTTATTTTCATTTTATGGGTAAATTTGGGTTTGGTACGGTGAACTATTTTCATTATTTTGATTGTATTTAAATGCAAAAATTTTATCCTAGAGGGTATTCTTAGCACCCATAGTAAATATCAAATAAATATTAATAAATGGTCTAAAGGATAACATTTTGGTTTAGGCTTACAGAGCATCTGAGACAGATCTGCTTTATATTTTTCTTCCCCTTTTTCCTTTGCCTGTTACCATATAGATGGGGATGCCGAACTTTGTTATGGGTGAAATGTCAGGCACTGTAGCATTTTTTTCTAAAATGGTGATTTCTCATGTAGACACTATCATAATCTTCATGTATGGTGCTTTATCTTAAAAATATTTCATGGCTCTTTTTTTTTCTGTTGAGTTAAAAGTAATTATGCTTGTGTATTCCACAGAAAGTATTAATATTTAAGCAAATTTGAATATCACATGGGATAATAACAAATCTTAGTGTTTAGAGGCTGGCACTTCCTAGTCTAGTTCTGCCATTAAAAGACTGAGTATCTTTGGCCAAATCAGGGTAAATCTTAAAAGTGGGTAGGACTTCGGTCAACTAAAATCTTCAGAATGTCCTCAAGTTTATATTAAAGTAATCTCTTTGGAAGAAATATTTCAGATCTGTATGAAATACCAAATAAAATAGATTATCTTAAAAGTGAACAGTAATATTAAAAGTAGTATGAGAATTCTGCTTTTTCTTTGTGTTAGCTGTGCTCCATTGAAGTGACTTGTGAATCAGCCAGTGTGATGGCTGCGACACTGGCTAATGGTGGTTTCTGCCCAATTACTGGTGAAAGAGTACTGAGCCCTGAAGCAGTTCGAAATACATTGAGTTTGATGCATTCCTGTGGCATGTATGACTTCTCAGGGCAGTTTGCTTTCCATGTAAGTAATTGTTTAATCTTATTTTCTCTGGCAAGAAACTAGTCTGAACTGGTTCTTTTAAAAATGCAGTTTGAACTTTGCTTCTAAAGCTGTATATTAATTTTTGAGAGAGAGGCTTGTTTTCAAGGTTAATTTGTTACAAGATTAGTAAGGAATAGAGATAAGGTCTACCAGATGTTCTTAAGAACTTGGAAGTTTGATTTATAGAACCTCATCCCTTCTGCTTTTAAGGCAATCCAGTGTACAAGGTTAGTACAGTCTTTCTTTACTTTTTGTTTTTAATGTTTAGCATTATGATTATGTATCTTAAGAATTCTCTAAGTTCAGAAAGATTGCAAAGATGTGACGTTTCACATCTTTGGTTACGGCCATAGCTGTTTTAAGGACTAAAAGTGTATTAAAGTTAAAACTTAACAAAAATGTACTGCTTTAAGCTCTGTTGTGCATTTGCCACTTGTAAAGTATATAGACTTTTTTTATTTCATTCTGCTCATGTCAAGTCATAATGCCCTTCTAAAAGCTTTTTTTATTTTGGAAATTTTCAAACATGTAAAACGAGAGAGAGAGAGAGATACATTTAATGTTATCCATCACTCAGCTTCATTAATTATGAATACATTACTAATCTTGTTTCATCTGTATGTGCATCTGTTTCCCCTATCCTTGTCATATTTCAGTATGTAATTCTAAATAAGGATCCTTAACAAAACATAACAATAATACAGTTTTTACATATAAAAATTAAATATTACATATCAAAACTTTAATATCATTATTAATATCAATATTAAATTGAATATCAAAATATTTAGTTAGTGTTTAGATTTCCTGGATTATCTTGTAAATTATTATTTCTTTTTTTTTTTTTTTGAGACGGAGTTTCACTTTGTTGCCCAGACTGGAGTGCAGTGGCACGATCTTGGCTCACTGCAACCTCTGCCTCCTGAGTTCCAGCGATTCTCCTGCCTCAGCCTCCCGAGTAGCTGGGATTACAGGCGCCTGCCACTGCACCTGGCTAATTTTTGTATTTTTAGTAGAGATGGGGTTTTGCCATGTTGGCCAGGCTGTTCTCGAACTCCTGACCTCAAATAATGCACCTGCCTCAGCCTCCCAAATTGCTGGGATTACAGGTGTGAGCCATTGCACCTGGCCTATTATATTATTTTATAGTTTGTTTGACTTAGGATACAGATGAGGTGCATACATTATGATTGGGTTTTGTCTCCTTTTTTTTTTTTTTTAAATCTATTGGTCTTCTTTTGACCTGTCTCTCTTTTTTTCTTGTTATTTTTGGTTGGAAAAACTGGGTAATTTAGTCTATACAGTTTTCCACTGTCTCTACATTGCTGATTACCTCTGTTCCATTGTCCCTTGTATTTCCTATAAATTTGTAGATCCAATTCAGGTGTGTTTTTTTTTTTTTTTTTTTTTTTTGGTCTGCTTGTTTTGTTTAGTTTTGTGTAAAAGTACTTTATTGGTATACTTCTTTTATTTTTGTTTGTTTATTTATTTATTTATTTTGAGACAGAGTCTCACTGTGTCGCCCAGGCTGGAGTGCAGTGGCGTGATCTCGGCTCACTGCAACCTCCATCGCCTGGGTTCTAGCAATTCTCCTATCCAGAGGTACTGACTGACTGAATGTTAGTAAGCAATTAATGAACACTGCTCTAATGACATTAATTTTTTTTTTTATCATTTGTCAAGTTTTGCTAATGTAACTTAAATTTTTTGAGGAGGAGTAATTTAAATTACCATTTTAGAAAATCTTTTAAGAATATATAACTTTTTATTGTTTTCTAGTTGTAAAATATTTTTAAAAAATAATTTGTTATATTTAAAAACAATACGTTTATCTTAGAACAATTAGAAAATATAGTCAGGAAGAATAAAAGCATCCATAGCCTCACAATTTAGATGTAACTGCTATAATTCCTTAGAATGTATCTTTAAACAATTTTTCTATATTCATATCTATCCCAAACTGTTTCATAATTTTTTTTTTTTTGAGATGGAGTCTTGCTTCGTCACCCAGGCTGGAGTGCAGTGGTGCGATCTTGGCTCACTGCAACCTCTGCCTCCCAGGTTCAAGCGATTCTCCTGCCGCAGCCTCCCGAGTAGCTGGGATTACAGGTGCCTGCCACCACACGCGGCTAAGTTTTGTATTTTTTGTGGAGACGGAGTTTTGCCATGTTGCCCAGGGTGGTCTTGAACTCCTGACCTCAGGTGATCTGCCCACCTCGGCCTCCCAGAGTGCTGGGATTACAGGCATGAGCCACCGCACCCGGCCTTATAACTTTATTTATAAACATGTTGATAAAAATTTATCTACAATATTTTTAATGTTGAAATTCTATGGTATGTATATATATATATTTTTTTTTTCGAGAGGGAGTCTCACTCTGTTGCCCAGGCTGGAGTGCAGTGGCATGATCTCAGCTCATTGCAATCTCTGCCTCCCGGGTTCACCTTTCTCCTGCCTCAGCCTCCCGAGTAGTTGGGACTACAGGCGTGCACTTTGGGAGGCTGAGGCGGGCGGATCACAAGGTCAGGAGATAATTTTTAATTTTTAAACCAATTTCCCAATTGTGTTTTTTTTTTTTTTGAAACTGGATCTTGCTCTGTCATCCAGGCTGGAGTGCAGTGGTGCGATCATGGCTCACTGTAGCCTTGACCTCCTGAGGTCATGTAATCCTCCCACATCATCCTCCAGAGTAGCTGTGACTACTGGTGTGCACTTCCATGTCTCACTGTTTTTTGTAGAGACGAGATCTCCCTGTGTTACCCAGCCTAGCCTCCAACTCCTGGGCTCAAGTGATCTGCTTGCCTTGGCCTCCCAAAGTGCTGAGATTACAGGAGTGAGCCATGGTGCCCAGCCCCAGTTTCCCTATTGTTGAACATAACATTTCTTATTTTAAAATGTTTACCTGAATACTCTTTTACTGAATTATTTTTAGGTTGGTCTTCCTGCAAAATCTGGAGTTGCTGGGGGCATTCTTTTAGTTGTCCCCAATGTTATGGGTATGATGTGCTGGTCTCCTCCTCTGGATAAGATGGGCAACAGTGTTAAGGGAATTCACTTTTGTCACGTAAGCATATTTTCTTAATGTAAATAATGGTGTTACAAGTTGAGCCATCCAATGATTCTTTTTTTTAACCCATTTTCCATAGTTCATTAACTCTTGGCCCTCCGCCTATAGTGTGCCAGTTACTAGGGAGCCGTGGAAATACTCCCAGAGGAGCTTCAAGTTGTCTCTGTCAGACAGCTCCCATTTAATTATTCCCACAGATTATATTTGTTAGATGCTAATATTTTAATTTTCATGGTTATAATTAGTATGAATTTTCAAAAGCTCAACAAAAGGTATTAAACTTGGAGAAGTAATTTAAAAGCCAGTATATCTTAAGAATTATTTTGGTTTATTATATCTTTAATCTGCATGGTTAAATATCTTTATCCATTGACTACCTTTAAACATTTTTTTGAGGAAATAAGCACTGAAAATTAAAAAAAGATTAAACCATTTTTAAACTGTTACTGCTCTTGATAGTTCTGTATTTTGTTGTTACCCAGTTCCTGCTAATGTTTGAGCTTCTAGTTTTAGTTACATTGATTACTTGCTTGAGTTCATATTAAGTACCATACTCAATTAAAATTGTTTTATTTTCCAGTCTTTTATATTTTACAAAAACTAGAGTATGACCTTGGAGTGCATATAAAATATAGTAGATTGTAACCAGAGTACTTATTTATATTTTAATGTGGCTTTACACTTATTTGATAGAAGAATTCTTTCATGGGGCCGGTTATAAACCCTATTTTGTAGAAGATGAAAGATGATTTGATTGGCTGAGCCCTAGGATCATGTTAGTAAGCAGTGTTCTTAAAACTTATATCCATATCTTACTCTGATTTTAGTTCTCTTCTTGATGCATTATACTACTTTATTAGCATGTAGTGATGATTTCTAGGCTGGACGATATAAGCAGAGTTTGTTAAAATATGGATATATATAACCAATGAATAGCCAATTTCTTATACCTGCTCTGTATAACTGTTTACAGGATCTTGTTTCTCTGTGTAATTTCCATAACTATGATAATTTGAGACACTTTGCAAAAAAACTTGATCCTCGAAGAGAAGGTGGTGATCAAAGGGTAAGCAAAATTCTTATTTAGATAAGTATATAAAATTTTTAAGAAGAGAAAAAGTGAGATTTGCCTGTATAAATAAAATCTTAGTTTGTTAGTGGCCTCGGGTCTTTGCTAATCATAAATGAGTGTAAACAAATTGTTGACATATAAATCCGGGATCACCAGTATTAAATACTTAAAGATTGTTTAATAGATAGTTAATAGATACAGATATTTAAATATTGCTGTTTTGTTATTTAAATTGAAACTAGTTAGCCTAGTGTCAGGGATTTCCCCTTCCATTTTCTGCTATTTTAAGCAAGATTTTTAGAATTGATTCTGTTAAAAAAAGAACAAAACAAAACATTGGAATGTGCTGCATGCTATAAAGAAAGCATCGTTTTAATATTTGTTCGTCCTAAATTGAAGTTTAACTTCTTGCATACTGTGTAGATGGATATGTAAATGGAAAAGGATTATCATATTAGTGAGAGACCGTATGAAGCCTCAAAAGTTTTATAAGTCACTGTAGATGAAATATTTTTTTCCACCGTGTTTAATGCAATATTCCTAATAATCTTACGGTCCTATTTGTTTGTTACGAGTTTATTTGGCTTCATACTATTGTACACATATATTCCTTTTTTTAGAAGTAGTATTAAGAGTCAGGACTTAACTTTTTTGGTCTATATAGTTTTTCACTGTACCAAGGGGCTTGTGCTGAGAATTTTGATTCAGTTTCTTTGCGTACCATATTGAAAATGTTTGTAGTAAAATTACCTAATTAGACCTCAAGATAATATGAAGAACTTCTAAGTAGAAAATATTTTTAATACATACTAAGTACATTTTCTGTAGTGCTAAACTAAATTTTTGTTAGTTTTTATCAAATTAATTTCTGTTACTATGTAAGAATTATGCAAAACCAACAGAATAGAAACTTCCATGGGAGTCGACCTGAGTAACATGAAGCAAAATGTCAGAGGTGGTGGTTTAAAATGTTAACATTTTAATAATGCTCATTGAAAAATACCATTTTATAGCTTGGACCTTTCTTCACTCAAGTGCACTAATAAATTATGTATGTTGCTTGAACAACTAGCATTCCTTTGGACCATTGGACTATGAAAGTCTCCAACAAGAACTTGCTTTAAAAGAGACAGTATGGAAAAAAGTGTCACCTGAGTCAAATGAGGACATCTCTACAACTGTAGTATATAGAATGGAAAGTCTGGGAGAGAAAAGCTAAAGAAATGGGTTCTAGTTTCAGAATGTTTCTTCATTTAATCTTTCAAACATCTTTAGCTTTTTTTTGCAAGTTATAAATATTTATTTGAGGTATTTTTTGTTCTCAATCTTGGGTGCTGGAGCCATAAAGCTTTTTTTTCCTTTTAATCTTTGTATAAAGGCAGTAGATTAAGAAGTGCATTTGTTGGTCTTTAAAAAGTATTTACAAGTACATAAATTTGCTTTATTTTTAAAAATACAAAAAGGAAAAATTTAAATTTTTTTTGATGTAATTAAAATGTTAACTATGTGGTCAGATAATCCCATTTTACAATAGTAACAGAAAATTGTAATTCTTAGTTCTAAAATTCACAAATTAAACTCATAAGTTTTGTTGCATTTTGTTTTTTCTTTTCCATTTTTAAAACTAATGTGATGTCTTTAGTGGCAATAGAAGGTACTTCTATGCTAAATACAAAACTAAAAAGGCAAAATAATGAACCCCAAATTATTTTATTTAAAATAGCAGTGGATTATAAAATTAGCTTGTGTTTACATTTATGCCATTTTTGGTGATAGATTGGCTTTACATTTTAAAAAATTTATTTAAAAATTTATCAAATGCTTTAAAATATGACTCCTACTTTTTTTATTTTGCAACTCCTCTGTTCTGTCAGAGTTGTTATATACAGGAGTGTCTTATGTTACTAAAACATTCCAGCCAAAGAATTTCAGATGTGAGATAATGATGTTTCATCAATAAAAAGCTATAATGGTTAGTTACTCAGAAGGAGAAACAGTGAGTGTCTTCAAGTGAATTGTTCACCTAAACAATTTTATTTTCATATTATCCACATAACTTTTTCTATGTTATATTTAAATATGAATGGCAAATTTTGGTTTTTAGCTTTTACATTTTATTATCTTAATTTTATAAATGCTAATATTTCTTTTGTGATAAGTTATAGCATCTCATAAAGTTTGTTCTATTTGAAGTTTTTTAGAGTACTTGAGAAATGAATTTAGTCTGCAGGTAGTAAGTATGCTACTAAAATACGTTAGATCTAAATCCTTTTATTTGGTATAAAAATGCAATATTGAGAATCAAAACTTGTTTTTAAGAGAACTATAGATTCTACACAACCTGATTTCAAGTAATTATTCATAGTATTTATAGTTGTCTTGGCAAAGTGATTGTAAAATTCTGTAGGACCTATTCACACTTCTTCCTTCTTCCATATACTTCTCTGGTTTTCCCCATAGTTCCCCTATAATTTCAAGTTTGTTGAAACCTGTTAATTTTAGTGGGGGATTAGAAGAAAAACTTGGTGGTTTCTTAGCATGATGGTGTATGTATGTGGTAATGGAAAGTCTGTAAAAGTAAATATAGTGTAGCAAAAAAGATTTCACTGAGTATTTTAGATACTAGTGCAAATAAAGATAGAAAATCTTGATCATAATGTCTTAAGTTTGGGAACTGTGATATTAAGAAAAGAAATTCCCTTCTAGAGGTGCTGGCCAAAAAGCCTTTTGGGCTAACTTAAGTATTAAATTTATATATTTAAATAATTATATTTTAAGTTGTAGAGGATTTTCCCAAGGATTTTATGCTTACTTGAATGTTCTTTGAATGTTCAGATGCATATCCTAACTGGATGCTTCTCAAGGCCTTACTGCATATTTGTGTTGCATATTTATGTTAGTTGCACCAGGGCCATTTGTAGTTTGGGCAACCGAATGCCTTAATTGGAAAAAAGGCATTGTGGTTTCCCCTATGATCTAAATTGTTACATTTTACCATTTCATTCCGAAGTTGGTTTTACTTTATTAAATGAAGATTTAGTTTTCATATCGTATACATAGCTGTATAGATTTCAAAATTAGGTTGTTAATTTGTGTCACTTACTATTTTTGTGTTGGTAATGCTTTAAATGCATACTTAAAAATGAAGTACTGTTATCTAAGCTACTGTGTTTAGAAAATGTTAAGAATGAGCAGAAATTTTTATAGAAAAGTATAAACGGAAGAAGAGATAAGATACTGCGAATAGGCCCTCAAACTTAAAAAAGAAAAAACTTTGCCAGTTTTAAGGACATATTTTGATTCTTTCAGTATTCTTAACACCTTTTTAAACAAAGTTCTTGATAGTACCCACTATTATTGGGTTTGTTTTATGCCATTATTGATTCTTGATATTCAAGCATTTACAATGTAGCATATTTGATTTTCTTTTTTCTTTCTTTTTTTGGCATCATTAACATTTCATTTGAAATGCATATTGTTCTTGAAGTACTTTGTTTTTAGCATAAATGTTGTGCATTTTATCTTAGTGTTTGGATGAAAACATTTGTGTTGTTTAGCTTTCATTTGCTTTGTATATTTAATAATGTACCTTTATTTTCCAGTATGCCTACATTTTGTATTGCACAATAAATTTATTTTAAGCTGATTTTATTGTTTTTTTTGTTTTGTTTTGTTTTGTTTTTATAAAAGCAACTTCAACATTTTAAGTACAAATACAGTTGGGATTTTAACTTAGAAAAAATTATTCTTTATGAAGATACTGTTAAAGTGTTTGCTATTCTGAAGCTGCCTCAAAGTAAACTAGAAATATTCAAAAGGGCTTTATTTGATTTTTTAAAATGCAATATAGCATTAGTGGTTTTTTTGGGAGGAGGACTTTTCTTATTGGTTGTACTAGAAGTATTTGAATAAAAACTTTTCTCTCAATTTTTTTGGTGGTTTTTCCATTTGGTAACTTTAAAAAAAGTGCAACCCTATTTGTAGGTTATTTCTGCTTTCTGAGGAGGAATATTGTTGTTATTCACTATGTAACTCTCATTTTATCTGTTGTTGCCTAAATAATAGGAAAAACATTGCTAAACCAAATGAAGAGTATCATCATATTGCTTTAGAATAAAACTGTTAATCTCAGTAGAATTTATATTAAACAGAATGACAGTGATACAGAAATTCACCTTAACTGGTTTCTGAGGGGATTACATTTTCAGAAGGAATTTTGTATATTTCCACAGCATGATCCAAATTATAGTACAAATTATAGAGGCTCCATGTATTGTAGGTCAAATATAGTACTTTACATTTTTATGTTTAATTAAATCTGCCATTCATATTCTGGAGATTCCTGAATATATTGTAGAAGTTTTAAAACTATTTGAAAGGGGAAATACTGTTGTTTACATGAATTTGTATTAATCTGTGGGATTTTTAAATGAAGTTCTTTTAGAATTAGTTAATAAGGAGTTCCAGTATAATGATATATTCAATATATGTAACAGTTTATGATTACTTGCTTTTAAAGATTTTTTTAAAAAATTTATTTGAAGTAAAGAGAGAGGAGACTTAAAATACCTGGTGATCTTGATCTGACAGTGTATATTTAATAGGCATATATTTATGTGGAAAGAACTGCTGAAATATACTGATATGTCAGCCTATATCCTGATAATTTATATATAATGTGTGGGTTGCATATGTTTGTGCATATGTATATACGTTTGTGCATACATATATATGATTTCCTTATCTATGTACCTTAATCTACCCATTCATATTCTGAAAATGATGAGCAGTTCTTTTCACATTGTGTACTATGTATAAATTATTCATTGATCTATTCCTGTTCCAAGCTTTGACACAAAAGAACCCCTAAAATTTTTGCTGCCCTAGAATTGGTAAAGTATAACATACTTTACTTCTTCAATTTGACTTTAAAGATTTGTGGTTTCTGTTACCATTCCCATTCACTACCAGGACTGCCAGGGTAAGAGAGTAACTAACAATATTGGGGGAACTCTGGAAAAGTGAAACCAAGAATATTAGATTTCATGTGGAATTTAAAGCACTTTCCAAAATGTATTATAAGGAAGGATTGTATTTTTTAAATTGTTTTTGACTTAAAAGAAGTAATGCACTTATATTGAGCAGTTTATGGAACAGTTTTATTTAGTTACTGTGGTACAGTTTTTAGTTTTAAGAATCTGTTTTACTATTCATCTGTAAAAAGTTTGGTTTTTCTCCTACATGGCCTTGAAAATGCTAGAAAGCATTTTTTAAAGGTATACGATCAGAATACTTAACGTGTGATTTCTTCTCAATTACTTCTCTACCATTTTATATTTAATGTTGTATTTGCATTGTGTAATAAAACCAAAACCAGATGTTGGAGATGTAGCATAAATGGAAATTTGTTACCATGCATGATGGCCTTATGCTCAGATTTTCATTTAGACTTACTGAGAATGGACTTTACCTTACTCGGTCTTTTCTCTGTCATGTAGTTCAAGGGCAAAATTATACATAAACATACACTCAAGTATATCCAAGTTCAACTATTTTTCTTTTATTTCAAATTGTAACAAAGTTAAAAACCTTTGTTTGTTAACATTGCTTAGAAATGGAAGGAATTTAATTAGAAATGGAAGGAATTTAATTGGGTTGGGGGAAGTTCTTTTATTTTATACCCCAACCTCCAGCTAGTAGTTTATTAATCTGAATACCATAAAATGCACATGACTTTGAGAAATTTAGAAAACTACTCTAAGAGGATCTGAGGCAATATTTATCCAACATGAAACAGCGGGCAAAATGTGATGTTTCGTAGAGTTCTTAACTTTTTAAATAGTAATAGAAAAGGTACTTATTTTTAAAATAGTATGTTAAGTAGACTGATTATAAATGCTTATTTAACAAAGTGATTCTGTTACTATGGTCTTAAAATGTTTTCTATTTTATGAACATAGGAGAGGAAGAGAATTTAAGTTGACTTTGTTTGCCATTTCTATTTTGTAGATTGTAGATCTACTTTAGTAATTTTTGTAAGTTGTAGCTAATAGAGATTTTTTAAATATGCCATGTATAGAAAACCTGTTTTCATAAAAAACTTTATAATGGCTTCCTGATCCATTAACCCTTAACCAAAATGAATAGGATACTAATTAGCACTTGGATTGCATTGCTTTTTTGGCGGAATCTGTGGGTTTTTTTTTTTTTTTTTGTAAATTTCATTCACCAGTAAATTACAGAATACTTATTATTGAAAACCATCATGTATTGCTTTAAAACAAAAGTTATAATCTTGCCCTCAAAAGGCAAGCGTTAGAAACAGGTGAGCTGGTGCCAACTGCTTCTGTCGGTTAATCTTGTAACATTTTTACTATACATTTAACTCTAAATCTCATTTACTAATTATGGAATTTTTTTAAAGAAAAATTATATACCACATCTCAATGGCAAAGAATAATTCATTGTATTTATTTTTAAGCCATATTTCAATATCTGAGGATATGATTTTTCTGTACATAGTATGATTAAAAATAATGGTATTTTTTCATTAGGTATTTACCTTGCTGAAACACTTTCAGGCCTTAAAACCACAGATAATTAAAATTATCTATTTGGAAGGCTTAGCTTTTGAAAGAAAAAATTCTTACCCAAAGTAGTTTTTAAATTTCTATTTTCATATTATGTTTCTGGTGATTTATGTTTATATAATGAAAATCTCCTCTGCACAGCAATTATATTTGGAATCCTGAGCTATAATTAAATTTATATTCTGTAAAACAGCCGAAGGCTTTCTTTTGTTTTTAAAACATAGTCCAACCTTTCTAGAATTTTGATGTACTTTTATTTACCATAATCTTATATATTTTTTAGAATCACAGATTTGAATTTGAAAGTAATCTTAAATGTTACCTGGTACAGACTCCCACCCCACTCAGCCCCCTTTTCCAGGTTTCCTAGCACTTTGCTTTTTCTATTAGCATATTTAGATTTTTTTCTCTTGAGGGGGTTGGTCTGTTTTGTGTTTTGTTAGGATGGACTTTCTGTTTGTAGATGTTTCTGTTTGTGGTTTAGTTTTAATGAGAGAAGCATAATTGGCAGTAGTTAATGTGACTATAAGTTATTTGGCAGATGGTACCATCAGCATTTATTAAAACTAATTGTATTTTTCTAGTAAGCAGTCTTATGTCCCAGTTGTTAAAAATTAGTAAAGTTAGAAGTAAATGTTAAAGTTACACAGTAGTTCTAAAAATAAAACATTACCCTGCAATCTTTGAAAGAAAACTGTAGCAGAAATGTAAATCTAAAAATAAATGTTACATCACTGGCTTTTTAAAATAAATTCCTTTGAGGTTAGATTAAATATATAAGTAAAACGATTTTAAATAAATAGAAGACTAGTCAAGTTCTAAACAAATGGTTTCTTAAGAAAAATTTGTTTTCTTTGCATGTTAGCTCTTGGAAAACATGCAAAATATCTAGCTACTTCCCTTGTTTATTTTAGACATTTGGATCTGTGAGTGGCCCCCAAGTTTCCTAATTTGTCTGTTTATTTACTCTGTCTATAGTACATGTTGTCTTCAGTATCAATCTCCATTTCATAGTTCTGGAGTTTTAATATTTATGAAGGACTGTGTGTATTGAGTTCTTGAAATATGTTAACTTTTGAAAGGCTTTGTTGACTTACAAAATGTTAAAACTTAAATATTGTTGCTCTCAAAATATTATAGTATTGGTTTCTTAATTCTGAAAATTTAAACTGCCTGAGTAGCTCTTCTCCCTACAAGTTTCAGTATAAACTCATTCAATATAAAGTCTGCTTGCTTTTATATTATGCATTCCAAAATAAAAATGATGAAATATTAGTATCAGTTACACAAATGTAACTACTCACATTTGAACCATTTTATTGTAAAATTCAACTTTCAATTATGATAATCAGTCTCTTGCTGAACTTTTTAGATCTAGATGAGAATTATAAATTTTTGTTATTTTATATGTGTTATATGTGTTTATATATGTTTTATATTGTGTTATTTCACAAATCATCACAAAAGGGCAATTTCAAAGATTCTTTTGAGAGGACAGCTTAAAGCTTAATCCTTAAGGCTTGACTTTCTTCTATTAAATGAGATTGATACCTAAAATCATGGTATAAATTATTAATTGAATTCCACCCAAGTTCTGTTGTTTTGTTCTTTCTCACAGTCATTCCAAATTAAAGATTTTAGTTGAAAAACTCAGAATATATTATCTAAATTTCAAATATTCTATTTTTTATTGTTTCATATTATAATTTATTTTGGGCCAAAATGAGGTAATTTAAAAAATTATATCAAAGTTACTCAGGAAATGGGTTTTCAGTTCCGTATCTTTATATATGTTCACTTCCAAATCTTTTGATGTTGACATTTGCCATTGTAGTTTAATTTTCTTTAAAAAGTTCGAAAGAAAACCACACATGAAATGTAAAAGTCCAAATTTCTCTTCTTCAGTATAATATAGCTTATTCTTTATTTATTATTTTACTTAGATCCTTGAAGTATATGCATCATTGATCCAGGTCTATGCACAAGATTTATAATGTAAATAAAGAATGAACTAAATAATACTGTTTGAGATGAATATTTGAATTGAGATGAATAAACGTTGCATCTAATGCACAATGAAACTTCATTGACATCTGATGAAATTACAGTACAAGTGATTTTGTTAACATTCTATGGTGACTAATACTATTAATCCTTTTTAATCATACCAATAAAATATTTCTGCCTTAATGTCTCTTTTTACTGGACTATGAAGAAACAATTCTGCTGTTAAAGGATAACCAAAAAAATAACTTCCACCTATCTGAATGCCCTTATTCTGGCAAATTAGCAGTTTTATTGTAGACGTACCCACTTTAAGTTGCTCTGCTTCTCTTCTAGAATTGCTTTTGTAATAAGTGTAAATTTGTAGTCAGATAACTCATTGCTTTTATGAAGTTGCTTTCCCACTTGTGTGACCTTAAGAAAGTGGCTGAAGTCCAGGATTCTTCTGGCTTCCTGGTTTCCATTTCAATATTTTCAATCCCTGTTTTACTTAGTTAGCAAACTTTTTTTTTTTTTTAATGCCTTCTAAATAGGAATTTTGTTCTCCTCATGTTGTTTTCTTCTCTTCATTTCTGGTACCCAACCAATATCCAAGATTAGATCCCTCTATATAAATGAAAATGTATAACCTTTAAAATTATTTTCTTTTGGTCTTTTTTTCTACCAAGTAAGAACTAAAAAAGATTACCATCCCCCTCAGCATTTCACTAGTTTTTGTTCAAACAGCACACAAACAGAATTATTTCAAGATATTTAGCTAATTAAATTTGATTGTGCAATTCAGATCTATATAAATTAACCTTAGCATTATTCCTGTGCTTTATTATTCACTGATAGGTTCTTATTCAACTAATGTTTATTTCTTGCCTAATATGTGCCAGAAACCGTGAAGTGTTTAGGATATGCAGTGAGTGGTTAATGAGACAAGTATGATCCAACTTGTGTTTGCAATTAAGCAGGGATACAGGTACTGAATAAATACTGAAAATAATTAAAATGGTAATAAGTGATTTGTTAATACTGATGCATGTAGATCTAATTCATTTTAAATGTTACAAAATAAGTTACAAAATGGTATATGCCATATGATGCTATTTTTGTACATCTATAATAAACTTTATGAGACACAAATATGCAATGTAGTTACTAATAAAACTATAAGAACATGAACACCAATCTTTAGATAAAGCTTACTGCCAGGAGGGAATGGAATGGATGCAGAGAGCATGGTTAGCTGTATCTTTAATGTTTCATTTCTTTAAAAAATATTTCAGCAAATATAATGATAATGATAGAAAAGTAAAAAAATGCTAGGAGAGGGTACAATAAGAACTTGTTTTGTCTGGGTGGTTAAATATGGTTGGTTTTCACTGGAAGGTAATACAGTGTGTAAGTTTTGAAGGAGTCAGAGGAAATATGGAATAGTGTTAATAGGCTAGTCTGACTTGAAGGCCCCAGAACAGGAAGGAGTTTAGCACATTTGAGAAGGGGAAAGAAGAAGGCAAATGCGCTGAAGAAGAGTGAGGTGAGGTGGATGGAGATTGGCTGTGGATGACTCCTAAGAGATGGGGCCATATTATGTAGAGTGGGCCTTCTCATATTTCGATGTACATCAGAATTGTTAGAGTGTCTTAATTTTAAAATACAGCTAGCTTCCTGGGGCCCATTCCTACAGTTGGATTCAAAAATCTAAATGTTTAATGTGCACCCCAGGTGCTTCTGCTGTAGGTTGTCCTCAGGACACAGTTTGGGAGACATTTCTGAAAGGTCTTATATGCTATATTAAGAATTTTGGACTTTATTCAGAGTTTAGTGTGAAACTTTGAAGACTTTTTTTTTTTTTTTTTTTTTTTTTTTTTTGAGACGGAGTCTTGCTCTGTCTCCCAGGCTGGAGTGCAGTGGAGTGATCTTGGCTCACTGCAAGCTCCGCCTCCCGGGTTCACACCATTCTCCTGCCTCAGCCTCCCGAGTAGCTGGGATTACAGGGGCCTGCCTCCACGCCTGGCTAATTTTTTGTATTTTTTAGTAGAGACGGGGTTTCACCATGTTAGCCAAGATGGTCTCGATCTCCTGACCTCGTGATCCGCCCGCCTCGGTCTCCCAAAATGCTGGGATTACAGGCGTGAGCCACCACACCCGGCTGAAACTTTGAAGACTTTAAAAAAGGGGAGAGAATGATTTGGTTTTTAAATACTGCTCTGCGGAGAATGGATTAAAGAGAGAGAAAGTTGAAGTTTTGGACTCGAGATGTGTTGGTGGCTTGGACTAGAGGTGAGAGAAATAGGTAAATAAGAGATGTGTTTAAGAAATAGGATTGGCAGCACTTGGTGATCGTTTTTGGTGGGTGAAAAGGAATGCGATATCAAGCTGACTACCAGGTTTTTAGTATGAGCAACAGGGCCAAAGCTGCTGCATTAACTAAGATGGAGAACACTGGAAAAGCAAACCTTGGGAGTATGGGAAGAAATTAGTTTAACTTTGGCTATTGTAACAATGAAGGATCTGTTTGATTGTGGATATCAGGAGGTTGATTGACAGTGCTTTAAACATATGGGGGTTATTTTTCTAATATAACAGAAAGTCTCAGGGACTATCAGGGAAACCAACCAGGGCTAGTGCCATTAGTAAGGTAAACTTCTGTTACACAAGCCTTAAGTGTGTTGATCTTAGAAATCACGCCTATCAACTTAGAGTTGCAAGGTGGCTGTTTCATCTTTAGCCTCACCTGTATGGCCAAAGTGGGAGAAAAAGAAAAGAGTGATATCTAAATCTAAAGAAAGAAGCTTTACTGGAAACTCACCTGACGCTCATTGACCAGACTAACTGCAAGGGAATCTGGGAAAGTGTTTTTAATTGGACACAATACTACCTTTAACAAATAGAGGTTCTGTTAGTATGGAAGGGGTGGGTAGTGGATAATGGTTAGACAACTATCAGTATGTAGAAGCTAGCTAATGTTTGAGATATTTGTGAGATATCTAAGTAGTGATGTTGAGTAAGCAGTCAGATTTAGGCCTAAAACTTAGAGCAGTGTAAGTTGGAGCTATAATTTTGTGAGTGGTCAGTATGAAGAGTAGTATTTGAAGCTGGGGTGGTGTGTGAGATTGCTTAAGGTGATAGTATAAAGTGATAAGGAAAGTGTATCAAAGACAGAACCCTAAGAAACCATCATTTTAAAGGTAAGATAGAGTAGGAGAGGCTTCCACTAGGGAAAGGTGGCCAGAGAAGAGAAAATCCAGCATAGTGCAATATCAGCAGTCAAGGAAAGAGTATTTTAAGGAGTTTGGAGCATTGAACTGTATGAAAGCATAGATAATTTAGTAAGATGAGGGTTTTATATTTACATGATGTCCTTTCTAAATTTTTTTTAGATAGAACAATTGCTTTATTTTTTAGTGTCTTAAAATATGCTTTTCTCCAGCAATTTTCTGTATTATATGTTGGAGGAGCCTGCTATGTAATTTGAATAATAAAGTGGCTATGAAAGTGCTTTGAAAAGTTACAGCATTAGAGAAACATACTGTTATTACACCTCTTCTGTGAGTATGCTCCATAAAGCACACATGTTGAACGTTTCACAATAGAAATGTGAAATAAACATTGAAGAATATAGGGAGTTAAGTAAGGCTCTGGAGACCAGTGAAAATGAGGGATTTCTTTTCTAACATTAAAGCAATTAGTAAAGATTGTGTTAGTATTGTGGGTTGGAATAACTATAGAAAACTCAAGTCCATGTGCCTGGCTTTGTTATAGTAGCAGGATTTGAGGCATGCTAAGAGAAATAGGACCTTAAACTCTGAATTGAAACCATAATTCTTCCTGTATGAATGCTAAAACCGTGTTGTTTCACAGCAGGAAGAGAACCTCATCTATTTTCAGGGACCTTGTTTGTATTTATTTATTTTTAATTTACACAAAATGGTGTCTTTGTAAGAATAGTTTGATTCCAATGGCCTGGATTTTTTTTTTTTGTTTAATATGTGTATTTGGTGATGAATGTCTTCTCTTCCTGTCTTAAATTCGCTTTTAAGTTCTTTGACTTTTGGGTTTTATGTACTTGTTTTTTAAATATAGCACTTTATCATTCCAGAAATGTGGAACCTTGTCCTCTATCCTAACACACTAATGTAATATTCACTAATGTTCATGAACTTTTACAAAAACTTGTTTGTATAATAGTGGGAGAAGACCAGAAAGATAGTGAATGAGAAACTTTGATAGTTGTCTGTGCAATACAGATATGCTTAAGGTCTGCAGTTTTGTTCTTTGGAGGAGTAGCTGTCTTTGTCTTTGCTCATTGCTATTTTTCTTCTCTTCTGCTTTCTGGCTTATTGATTAGGAGTGCTGTTTTTCAGACCACACAAAGATATATTGTTAGCTACTTTTATAATTGGATATATAAAGAGGGATGCTTATGACCTCATTGGTATCTTTTTAGACCATTCATTGGTGTTTACTGGAATAATATGCCACTGAGAAAAGAAGTTATTTATTTGCTGCCAGTAGCGTAACAGTCATATTTGCTTTTATTCACATTCACCCAACTCACATTTCATTTTTAAAGTTTTAAATGCAAAGAATAAAGGTAATAACTTTTTCTATTTGTCATTTGTGATATTATCAAATTGAATTATTTCTTTTGTTCTTTTATTTTCCCTTCATTTAAAAAACACCTTTGGGTAGCACCTCAATATAAAATTAATATCTCTGATTTTTCTATAAATTGTTTCTTTGTTGCTATTTTCTGATTTCCTATCACAACATATTTCTGTCTTGGTATTGTATTATTGAGGAAGTCCCAGGTTTTGTTAGGAAATTGCTTGACCCAGTAGATAGTAGTTGCAAGCACTGGCCCTGGCATCTTCCAGACTGGGTTTGAGCCCTTGTTCTTCCACTTACCAGCTCTGATACCTTGCTGAAGTTGTTTAAATGTTTCCTGTCCTTTAATAACAGAAATAACATTTGGAGCACTTAGCTGAGTCGAGAGAGTAGGTGCTTCATATTAACTATTTTGTTGTAAGTAATATATAATCTTTAATTTTTTGTCTTCATAGGTTGTCAGATTTTTTGACATGATTATGACTTTTTAGTTTACAAATGAGTGAAATTATTTCAGATTAAACTGGTCATTGAAAAATTTTGAGGCTAGGCATGGTGGCTCACACATGTAATCCCAGCACTTTGGGAGGGTGTCAGGAGGATTGCTTGAGCCCAGTAGTTTGAGACCAGCCTGGGCAACATAGTGAGACCCCGTCTCTACAAAAAAATAACAAAGAAATCATCCAGGTTTGGTGGCACATGCTTGTGGTCCCAGCTGTTCAGGAGGCTGAGTTGGGAGGATCAGTTGAGCTTGGGAGGTCAAGGCTGCAGTGAGCCATGATTGCAGCACGGCACTCCAGTCTAGGCAACAGAGCGAGAGCCTGTCTCAAAAAAAAAAAAGAAAAAAAAATTGAAAATTGTATGCTTTTAAGGGAGTTTATTACTTAGCAAAGTCAAGAACAGAATGCAGTTCTTGGAGGTACCATTTTGAGGTTGTATTTTTAAAGTGAAATTTCTGTAAAACAGAGCTTCTTTCCTTTATAGTAAAATTTGCTATTTGATTTATTCCTCTCTATTGAAATTACTATATGAGAACCTCCTGCATTTGTGTAAGTTTGGAAATATGGGCATGAATTTATTGAATTGCTATTCCTATAAAAGATTTTTTCCCCAACCCTCCGAATCATATCAGTTTGGATTAGTTTTGTCTATATATAGTATATTAATAACTGTGTCTCAGTAAATCTTTGGAAAGCTTAGGAATATGTGGCCTCATACTCAGACTGTCTAATTACAAAAGTAGTATAATTTTTTTTTACACATCCTTAAAAATATTAAATAAGCTCAGTAGTAAAGGAAAGAGGAAATATCTTCAATCACATACACAATACACAGGTTTACTTTTACCCTTGGGCAAGGTGATTAATTTACATATGATGGCAACTTAAAATTTTTCTTTAGCCACAGTATAATAGGTAGTATGCCTCAATTTGACCTTAAGAAAATATAAAAGCAGGCTGAAAGCTTATTTTCATTTAAAGACTATAATCTGCCAAGTTGGAGTGAAGCCTTTAAAACAAAATTGGATCTGGAGTCATGATGGTTTATTTAACAGTTGAAGAAAAGTATCTATTCCATGACAACAGATACTGTACTGAGCTGGAAATGAGAGCAGCTTATCTCAAACTAGAGGTGGTAGAAACAGAAGGATGTTTTTTCAGTTACCTGCTTTTTTTTTTCATTATAGCAGTTCCAAACAGGCTGAATTCATGTTTATATGAAGACAGAAACTAAAGATGAAAAACAGAGGAAATTTTGGTTTGGCAGTTGGTAATGGAGTTAGAAATTAAATAGTTGAAGTAAAGTGTAAAACCAGTGAACCAATTTTTCCTCCGTCTCTCCCTCCCTCCATCTTCTCCCTTTCTTCCTTTTCTCCCCTCCCGCTTTGGTCCCATCTAGGCTTCCTTCCAATATTGAGTAAAGAACTTTTATGGATTAGAGCTAAATTGATATTTAATCCGTTGGTTTCCTTCTGTGCTTTGGATAACAATCTGAGATCTATTAAGGACTCACATCATCATGGTCTAGTTGTACAGAATTGGGAATCCAGATACCTGAGTTCTACTCAAGCTCCATCACTAATTCATATGCTGTGTGACCTTGAGCCAGGGTCCTTAATCTCAGTGGTAGTAATAAATAAAATATATCTATCAACATATTTTATAACCAGCCTGTCAGGGATTTTTAAAAACAACTATAACTGTTTAAAATGTTGAATGTTTTAGGGTCATCCACTATATAAATACAGAGTAATGTGAGTATATAATTCTAATAATTGCTACTTACTCATAAGTACAGAATTATTAGGGCATTTACAGAAGTCACACAACTCAACCTTTAAACAAGCTCAAACTGAGTAGGATAATGATAGGATTAAAGACTTAGGAATGCCATGTTTTAGATGTGTAAAACTGATACACTCCCCACCTGCTTCTAGCTGTTTTGGAAAAAAGTGAGATTTGCTATGCCAAGCATGCCAGTGTTAAGTGAACTCATGTGAACTGTAACATTTTTTGTCCCACTGTTGTCATGACTTTGTACAAATAAACTAAGATAAGATTGTCTGGTTCGGGCAGATTCTGATAAAGAGACTTGATAAGAAAAATGCAGTAGTGCTGGAAAATCTACAAGATGAAGGGGAAACTGTTAACAGTTAATTTATAAATTTTAATGGCTCTCTGCCCAGGTGCAGTGTCTCTTTGCCATGGGGAGGTATACATTAAACATCAGAGCCCTTAATTTAATAGCTATTATTGCGGCTGTGTATAGTCTGTTTCTTTATAGTAAGGAATTATTTATCAAAACATAGCTTCCATGCCTCTGGCATTTACTGTTAACCCATTATTTTCTGGACTTTGGCCTCCTTGACAGGTATTTTAAAATCAATGTAACTCAAGTATCCAGTGGGGAAATAGGGGAATGAGCTTTGATCAATGGTTAGCACACCTACATCCTTTGCAAGTATTGGTGTGGAGGTGGATGACTGATCTTCTAGAGTGCCCCTCTCCTTCAGTTTGTTTGCTATGATAGGCATTCCAGAGGGTGTGTCAGCTTAGTTGGAAATACTCGTGGCGCTCTTTAACAGACCAGGAAGCAGACTGTCCCTAAATGAAATACTCCATCTGTTGTCTCAAAAGTGTTAAACTAGTTTCATTTTCTTTTGTGGCATTCTACCCACAGCTCATTTCATAATTTATGTAAACTTAAAAGTATAGGGGGCTGTTGATGCTAGAAAGAAGAGGAATTTGTGGTTTTGCTTTTAAATAGTGCCTGTGCATGGGCTGCCTCCTAGTGCTTTTCTGTTTTGGAGAGAATTACACTCACTTTGTGTTCAAGCACCTATCTTCTGGTTTGGACTAAATCCAGCTCCATAGCTAGCCTTTTGTTTTCATGGGAAGAATACCAAACTTCCATGTTAGTCTTTAATAATTTTGTTAAGGCGAGCTAGTGTTTTTCCCTTCTGATTAGTTACAAAGCCTTTGTACATTAAAGTTTCCTGATTTTTTTTTCTCATGCTTTTGAATAACAATATACTCTGAATAAACCAAGTATATTCTAAAATCTTCTATTTTGGGCCTTATTAATAAGAAATGGACTTTTAGAACGTTTGAAATGTTGAATAATGAAGTGACTAAGTGCTACACACATACTATAATAAAATCTCTTCAAACGAGCATGGTCTAAATTCAAAATTTTAAAGGGGAATGTGTAGTTCTTATATCCAGTCACTGAAACAGATGAGGCTTTATTGCTTAGAAGTACCAACATAGTTTTAAAAATAATAACTGGGTAATTAATATATTAATGGTATATACAGGGGAATTTGGATTTTTCTTAGTGGTGGGGGAAGTAAGACACACAAATGCTCCATGTGGTCATGTGTTATAGTGCCATAGTGCAGCAAAGGTAGACGGAGATTACTTTTGATTTAAGAGATTGGAGCAGAGTTCACAGGAATGGGTAAGAATAACATATCAGTGAGAAATGGGTGGGGAAAAATGATTTCAGGAGAATAGTATGCACTGTGGGAGGAAGCAGGAGGTAGATCCAGGGTTGTGGTGGGAGTGGAGGTATCTAATTGACTCTGTCCCTAGCACATGCTGTCACAGGGCACTGTGTGGGCAGCTGGCAATAAGCTACATAGATAATGAATGCTGGGCTGGGATGGCCTGGGGAAGACTGACAGCAAGGAAGGGACTTTCGGGCTAGTCTTTGAGGGAAGGGAAGGATTTGATTAGGAATCTGGGTGTTCTTAAGAGCATAGACACCAAGACAAAAACAAGGGCAGTAAGACCAATTTTGCTCTATTGAGGTTGAGAAGAAAAATTAAGTTAGCTGGACTGAAGAACCTTGAATACAAGGCTGAAGAACTTAAATGTTATCAGGAATGATTTTGGGTTTCTTGATACTCCGCTGCTTAGAAACCTGTAGTGATTAGAGCAATGTTTTGAGAATATGATTAGAAGTATGTGGAGAGGTTTTGGAGGGTGGAAGAAGGACCAGAAGCAGAGGCATCAGTTAATGATTGAATAAATCTTGTAATGATATTCAAAGATGTAAAAGTTAAGGTAGATGGGCTGGGCACAGGGGCTCACACCTGTAATCCCTACACTTTGGGAGGCTGAGGCAGGCAGATCGCTTGAGGTCGGGAGTTTGGGACCAGCCTGGCCAACCTAGTGAAACCCCGTCTCTACCAAAAACTACAAAAATTAGATTAGTGGTGGCACATGCCTGTAATCCCAGCTACTCCAGAGGCTGAGGTGGGAGAATCACTTGAACCCGAGAGGCGAAGGTTGTATGAGCCGAGATCTTGCCACTGCACTCCAGCCTGGGTGACAGAGCGAGACCTTGTCTCAAAAAAAATAAAATGCAGGGTTGGGGGCCGATAGAGGAATTAATTTTGCAATTTAATACCCAAAATTGAATATTTGATGCCTTGAGGGAGAATATTCACTTAGTCAATAGATATTTAATGAGCACCTATTATGTGTGATAGACACTGAGTTTACGGTGGGGAACAGAAAGACAAGTGGTCTCTGCCCACATGGAGCCTATATTTAATGAGAGAGACAAAAAACAAGTATATATAAAAATATATATACTTTATATATAGTTATATATAACAAATATAGTTAAAAAGGATATAGTTAACAATACAATATATATATATATATGAAGGGGAAAAGCAAGGTAAGGGATAAGGAGTGATGAAAAGAGGGGAGTGTTTTAGAGTCTTGAGAGAACATTTGAATGGAGACCTACCCAAAGGGAGGGGGAGAGGGAGCCTCCTGACAGCCTGGGGAAAGAGCATCTCTAGCAGCCAGTTGTAGGCCTTGAGTGCCTGAGACCAGCCAGATGTTCTGAATGGAGTAGAGCTGGAAAGGGAAGAGTGGTAGGAATGATATGTGCAGTGTAACCAGGAATAGAGCCTTTAGGGTCCTGAAAGCCATGGTAAAGAGTTTGATTTTCCTTTAGATATGATGGAAAGGCACGGGAGTTCCTTGATGTTTTTAAAAGATCCCTATGGCAGCAGAGGTGATAAGGTGGTGGTTCAGATGAGGCCTAAGGCAATAGTGATAGAGGTGGTGAGAAGTGATAGGATTCCAAACATATTTTGCAGGAAAGAGGATTTATTGATGAGCTAGATGTGGGCTGTGAGAGAAAGAATAGAATCAAGGACTACCCCCCATGGTCTGTATGGTGAATTTGTCTGAATTAGAAAAAGCTAATTCTGTCTCTGGCCAGAAGCAGAAGCACTTCTCAGCACCACTGGGTAAAGAAGCTCCCTTCCTCCCAGCACATGTACCTGGGTGCTAGGACACCTTGGTGGGAAGAGCGTGGGCTGGTAACCCGTGTTGGCCCTGTGGCCAGGCATCCTTGTGAAGGACTCAACCTGCATAAGTGAATGCAGCAGCACTGGATGACTCCTGAGTTTGTGGCCTGAGCAAGTGGGTGAATTGTAGTGTCATCCCCAAACTGGGGAGACTAGAAGAGGAGCTGACTGTGAGTGGCAGAAGACAGGGCAAAGCAAATTCCATTTTGGGTATAAGTCTGAGATGCCCATTAAAAGTCCTGGAAGCAATGTCAAGTAGGCAGATGGCTATGAACTGGAGCCAGGGTGAGAAGCCGGCAGGACTGTTGCTGTTTTTGAGTTTGAAGTGACTATCAAGTGGAGCTGTAGGACTGGAGCTTAGGAGAAAGATTTAGATTAAAGATGGGGAAGTCAGTGTGCCCAGAGGAATAGATGAATTCTTTGAGGGACATTATATTGAAAAACAAGAAGATTGGACTGCCTTGGGAGTAGTATTTGGCAGTGGAAAGTGGGTAATGAATCTGCAAAGCAGCAAACAGGAGGAAGATTAGGGTGATGGAGCAGCATGGAAGGCAAGTCGTGAGAGGGTGGAGGGTGCTGGGGGGATCTGAAGGAATCAGGGCTTAGGAAGCTGCTGGAGCTTTGGAGAGCGCTGTTTAGAGGTAACAATGAGTGTGAAGGTAATTTTCAGGGAATTAAAAATATACTTTCAGGAAATAAGCGCTGAAGGGAGAACAATAGGGTCAAGTGTTGCTTTTTAAAAATAGGATGAAATTGTGTCTGTTTTAAGGTAAACTGAGAGAACCAATGAAAGAGGAAAAGTTAAAGATGCTAGAAACAAAGGGGATCAGTGAGGGAACAAGAACAGGGCATCTAGAGGATAAGTGTTTGAAGGAATAGATAAAAAGTAGTCTCAAAAATGAGGAAGCTTTTTACTTTGAGCGATGAAAACAGTTTTTATCTTTTTAGCAAAGTTGTAGTTAGGATCTTCTGTCTGTTTTTAGGGGTCTCCACTGGTATTAAAGGCCTGAAGAAAGTATGGCGGGAACCAACAAGAAAAAAAAATTGTCAAGCAGTAATGAGAGACCAGGTGGAAATATGGAGAATAATCTGTAATAGCCAGTCAGTATTCTGTGGTCCAAGAGCAAAAAGGGAATTGAGAATTCAGAGTTGACCCCATTAAAAAAGAAAGACATTAAGGACACCTGAAACAGTGGTTTATAACCCAGAAAAGTGCATATCAAAGTCACCTGGAGACTTTAAACAAAATTATGGGCTGAGCATGTTGGCTCATGCCTGTAATCCCAACAGTTTGGGAGGCCAAGGCAGAAGGATTGCTTAAGGCCCGGAGTTCAAGACCAGCCTGGCCAACATAGTGAGACCCCATCTCTATAAAAAACAACAAACTCTATGCATTTACCTCCTTTCCCTAAAATGTATCGGATTGAGGTGTAGGAGTAGGACAACAAGAAATGGGAGAGATGTTTATGTATGTTTTTAGAACATTCTGGGTGATGTTCTTCAGTTCTTTGTTCCACCCCCATTCCCCATTAAGAAAACTGTTCTGGACTCTGGGCAGGAATAGAAAAGGATGGCTGGAAGGGAAGCTAAAGGACTAAGTGGAAAGTTTTTTGAAGTGGTATCAACACAAATAGTAATAGTAGTATTTTGGGGGTGTGCTCAGCTAGTTAAGTTCCTGTACTGCAGACCTTTACAGAGTCTTTCATATGCTCATGAATCTCCAAGAGGGGGATTGAATATTTTAAGATCATATACAAACACAGGATCCTTATTTTCATGGGCCATCTTACGGACTAGTTTCTGCAAATTACACTTTGAAAATGATGAATTAGAGAACTGCAGCAATGATCAGTTCCAGTTAATTTGGAAGGTTCATGGGTTTTGGAAGGGGGAAGCCATACTGGAAAGGGAGAATGTCCGGGTTAAGATCTTGAAGCACAGTTCCAGGCTGTGGCTTTGTTGGTGGAGAGCTGGGTTACTTTCCATTCCCCAGTTAAACTTGTTTTCTACCATTGAGTCCAGTATCAGTTGAGTCATCAATATGAATGTTGAAGTTGCAAAGTGTAAGACAAAATGGGGAATTTATGAAGTATTTACAAATATTCTATGGTCAATAGTTTAATTTCTCATAGATAGGGATGGATAAAGTCTTTATGAAAGCAGACCAAAATCCAATGGCTTTTCAAATAACTAGACTTTTCCTCTTAACTATAAGAAAAGGAAAGTGGGTAACTGTCAAAAGTAGATACACTTTGAAATCTTGGAGCACTTAATAGAGGTGACTTAATATTTTGGAGTTGAGAAACTTTTAAACACAGCAGTGTCATAAGTTCTGAGAATGACCCAATTTGTACCACCTGGGCATTGAACTGAAGGCTGTCTTTCCAGTGAAGTAAAGTTTAAGATGACAGTTAACACTGAATGTTCTCTCTTAAGATTTGCAAAGAAGCCAGTGATTGGTGAGGATAGTGATTCTTGGCAGGGATTAGACATTTATATAGCATGATTTAATTTTTAATAATGTGAATTTTATCAGCATACAGACTTCCTCACAATATTGAGACATAGAAAATGGGAAGGCTTCTAAACAATTTTCAGTTGCCCCAACTGTATGAGTTTCACAAAATTCCATTCTCTTCTGCCAAGTGATATTATTCCATTCCTTCCCTTGTGTATCTTATCTTTATTATTGAATTTTCCCTCACAATCCACTGTTAAAAGAAGAAAGTATCACACACGTGGGTTCTTTTGGCTATGGAAGTGTCCTTGAGATCACTTTTTGCACGTGACTCAGCTGAAGTGTTCAAAGCACATGGAAATCACTTGCCAGTGACAGGTGGACGTTGTATGTGTTTTCTCTCTCCTAAGGATGCCTAAACTTTCTTTTCTTCACAGGTAAAGTCAGTGATAAATCTTTTGTTTGCTGCATATACTGGAGATGTGTCTGCACTTCGAAGGTATGTTTACAGGATGGATTAGCATGCACTTTACAGATATTTATGAAGTTGCTTCTGGGCGAGCAGCCATTTTAAGGTTAAAGTCTCACTTTTCTTTCCCTTTGATAAAAATGACCCCAACAAAATTTTTATTAAATAGGCACTTCCAGTGCCTTAGGCCTGCTTTCCAATCTTGTCCTTTTCTGCCTCCTATAAAAAAGACCATATCTCTGTTTCCCCAAGTAGTAACTGTTCAGCTAATCTGGCTAATTAGTACCAGTGGCTTACTGGAATTGGACAGTGCCTTCTCACTCCCTGTCTACCCTCCATTCCCAATCTTTGATATGTGTGTGTGTGTGTGTGTGTGTGTGTGTGTGTGTGTGTGTGTGTGAAGCAGCTGGGGGGTTTGGTGTCTGGCAGATCATCAGGATTAGTAAGGCCATATACTGCTGTATACCTAAGGTCTTTTGTGTAGAGTTGTAACTTATTTTCTTTTTTTTTTCTCCCATTAATACCTCAAATAACTGATTTTCAAAGTGGAAAAATGTCTGTGCTTCCCCCCCTTGTTTTGAAGTCTGACAAGTACTAGTAGACTGTGAAATGTTTAAGAATGGGAGTCTTAGTAAAACATACAACTTTACTATAGGGATTAGTTTCTTGCCCTTATGAGACATAAACCTTGGTACACAGTTGTGCCATAATTCTTAAGTTGCGAACAATAATGTAATAAAGTTTAATTCTGTGAGAGATGGTTAACATTTAATCTTACCTAAAAAAAAGCAAAGCTGAGGAAGAGAGGTGAAGTGGCATCTACCCAAAACACCTGTGTACTGGTTAATAAGGTCGGTAGTTCCCATTAATGAGCTTGATGAAGGATGGCACCTGACAGGGCCTTAAATGAACTGATGGAGTGAATGTTACCAGTGTGAATTAAATTTGCTTTATATATAATAAATAGCTGTGCTTACACATTTTCAGATTTGCTTTGTCAGCTATGGACATGGAACAGCGGGACTATGATTCTAGAACAGCACTCCATGTAGCTGCTGCAGAGGGTAATACAGGAACTACTCCTATCTATTTTCTTTCCAGATTTAATTTCTACTTAGTACTAAAATCTGCTCTTTTTTTGGGGGTGGGACGGTATAGGTCATGTTGAAGTTGTTAAATTTTTGCTGGAAGCCTGCAAAGTAAACCCTTTCCCCAAGGACAGGTGAGCACTTATGTTACCTTCTAAATATGTCAGTATTTTATTATGCAGGACTGTAATATTCAAGTGATGATAATATTTCAACCTACTAAGACATTCTTGAACCTGCTATGATATCTTATAAAGGCAATAAACCTTGTTTCTACTAGATAGGTAATTCTGTCTCCCATATCCTGTTTCTTATCTAAGAATGGTGTCTTATTTAGAAATTTTCAGGTTGATTTGACCATTAGTCAATACACTGTATGAACAAAACAATTTTTTTTTTGCATTTGGGAAGAAAGAATTGGAATTTTATCCTCATGGATTTTAAAAAAAAAATTTTTAAATTACACTTTAAGTTCTGGGATACATGTGCAGAACATGCAGGTTTGTTACATGGGTATATAAGTGCCATGGTGGTTTGCTGCACCCATCAACCCATCATCTACATTAGGTATTTCTTCTAATGCGATCCCTCCCTTACCCTGACCCCCAAACAGGCCCTGGTGTGTGATGTTCCCCTCCCTGTGTCCATGTGTTCTCACTGTTCCACTCCCACTTACGAGGGAGAACATGAAGTGTTTGGTTTTCTGTTCTTGTGTTAGTTTGCTGAGAATGATGGTTTCCAGCTTCACCCATGTCCCTGCAAAGGACATGAACTCATCCTTTTTTATGATTGCATAGTATTCCATGGTGTATATGTGCCACATTTTCTTTATCCAGTCTATTATCGATGGTCATTTGGGTTAGTTCCAAGTCTTTTCTATTGTGAACAGTGCCACAATAAACATACATGTGCATGTGTCTTTATAGTAGAATGATTTATAATCTTTTGGGTATATACCCAGTAATGGGATTGCTGGATCAAATGGTATTTCTGGTTCTAGATCCTTGAGGAATCACCACACTGTCTTCCACAATGGTTGAACTAATTTACACTCCCACTAACAGTGTAAAAGCGTTCCTATTTCTCCACATCCTCTCCAGCATCTATTGTTTCCTTTTTAGTGATCGCCATTCTAACTGGTGTGAGATGGTATCTCATTGTGGTTTTGATTTGCATTTCTCTAATGACCAGTGATGATGATATTTTTTTCACATGTTTGTTGGCTGCATAAATGTCTTCTTTTGAGAAGTGTCTGTTCACATCCTTCACCCACTTTTTGATGGGGTTTTTTTGTTGTTGTAAATTTGCTTAACTTCCTTGTAGATTCTGGATATTAGCCCTTTGTCAGATGGATAGATCGCAAAAATTTTCTCCCATTCTGTAGGTTGCCTGTTCGCCCTGATGATAGTTTCTTTTGCTGTGCAGAAGCTCTTTAGTTTAATTAGATCCCATTTATCAATTTTGGCTTTTGTTGCCATTGCTTTTGGTGTTTTGGTCATGAAGTCTTTGCCCATGCCTATGTCCTGAATGGTATTGCCTAGGTTTTCTTCTAGGGTTTTTATGGTTTTAGGTCTTATGTTTAAGTCTTTAATCCATCTTGAGTTAATTTTTGTATAAGGTGAAAGGAAGGGGTCCAGGTTCAGTTTTCTGCATATGGCTAGCCAGTTTTCCCAATACCTTTCCCCATTGCTTGTTTTTGTCAGGTTTGTCAAAGATCAGATGGTTGTAGATGTGTGCTGTTATTTCTGAGGCCTCAGTTCTTTTCCATTGCTCTGTGTATCTATTTTGGTATCAGTACCATACTGTTTTGATTACTGTAGCCTTGTAGTATAGTTTGAAGTCAGGTAGCGTGATGCCTCCAGCTTTCTTCTTTTTGCTTAGGATCGTCTTGGCTATGTGGGCTCTTTTTTGGTTATATATGAAATTTAAGGTATTTTTTTTCTAATTCTGTGAAGAAAGTCAATGGTAGCTTTATGGGGATAGCATAGAACCTATAAATTACTTTGGGTTGTATGGCCATTTTCATGATATTGATTCTTTCTAGCCACGAGCATGGAATGTTTTTCCATTTGTTTGTGTCCTCTCTTTATTTCCTTCAGCAGTGGTTTGTAGTTCTCCTTGAAGAGGTCCTTCACATCCCTTGTAAGTTGAATTCCTAGGTATTTTATTCTCTTTGTAGCAGTTGTGAATGGGAGTTCACTCATGATTTGGCTCTCTCTTTGTCTATTATTGGTGTATAGGAATGCCTGTGATTTTTGCACATTGATTTTGTATCTTGAGACTTTGCTGAAGTTGCTTATCAGCTTAAGGAGATTTTGGGCCGAGATGATGGGGTTTTGTAAATATACAATCATGTCATCTGCAAACAGAGACAATTTGACTTCCTCTCTTCCTATTTGAATACCTTTCTTTCTTTCTTTTCTGAGACAAGAGTCTCGCTCTGTCAGCCAGGCTGGAGTGCAGTGGCAAGACCTCAGCTCACTGCAACCTCTGTCTCCCAGGCTCAAGCAATTCTCCTGCCTCAGCCTCCCGAGTAGCTGGGATTACAGGCGTGTGCCCACCACAGCCAGCTAATTTTTGTATTTTTAGTAGAGATGGGGTTTCACCATGTTGGCCAGGCTGCTCTCGAACTCCTGACCTCAGGTAATCTGCCTGCCTTGGCCTCCCAAAGTGCTGGGATTACAGGCATGAGCCACTGTGCCCAGCCCCTTTATTTCTTTCCCTTGCCTGATTGTCCTAGCCAGAACTGCCAATACTATGTTGAATAGGAGTGGTCACAGAGGGCATCCTTGTCTTGTGCCAATTTTCAAAGGGAATGCTTCCAGTTTTTTGCCCATTCAGTATGATATTGGCTGTGGGTTTGTCATAAATAGCTCTTATTATTTTGAGATACATTCCATCAATACCTAGTTTATTGAGAGTTTTTAGCATGAAGGTGTGTTGGATTTTGTCAAAGGCCTTTTCTGCATCTATTGAGATAATTGTGGTTTTTGTCATTGGTTCTGTTTATGTGATGGATTACGTGTATCGATTTGCATATGTTGAACCAGCCTTGCATCCCAGGGATGAAGCCGACTTGATCGTGGTGGATAAGCTTTTTGATGTGCTGCTGGATTCAGTTTGCCAGTAGTTTATTGAGGATTTTCGCATCAATATTCATCAGGGATACTGGCCTGAAATTTTCTTTTTTTGTTGTGTCTCTGCCAGGTTTTGGTATCAAGATGATGCTGGCCTCATAAAATGAGTTAGGGAGGATTCCTTCTTTTTCTATTGTTTGGAATAGATTCAGAAGGAATGGTACCAGCTCCTCTTTGTACCTCTGGTAGAATTTGGCTGTGAATCCGTCTGGTCCTAGACTTTTTTCGGTTGGTAGGCTATTAATTACTGCCTCAATTTCAGAGGCTATTAATTACTGCCTCAATTTCAGAACTTGTTATCGGTCTATTCAGGGATTTGACTTCTTCCTGGTTTAGACTTGGGAGGGTGTATGTGTCCAGGAATTTATCAATTTCTTCTAGATTTTCTAGTTTATTTGCATAGAGGTGTTTATAGTATTCTCTGATGGTAGTTTGTATTTCTGTGGGATCAGTGGTGATATCCCCTTTATCATTTTTTATTGCACCTATTTGATTCTTCTCTTCTTATTAGTCTTGCTAGTGGTCTATTTTGTTGATGTTTTCAAAAAACCAGCTCCTGGATTCATTGATTTTTTGAAAGGTTTTTCATGTCTCTGTCTCCTTCAGTTCTGCTCTTAGTTAATTCCTGTCTTCTGCTGGCTTTTGAATTTGTTTGCTCTTGTTTCTCTAGCTGTTTTAATTGTGATGTTAGGGTGTCAATTTTAGACCTTTCCTGCTTACTCTTGTGGGCATTTAGTACTATAAATTTCCTTCTAAACACTGCTTTAGCTGTGTCCCAGAGATTCTGGTACGTTTTGTCTTTTGTCTTATTAGTTTCAAAGAACTTATTTATTTCTGCTTTAATTTTGTTATTTACCCAGTAGTCATTCAGGAGCAGGTTGTTCAGTTTCCATGCAGTTGTACAGTTTTGAGTGAGTTTGTTAATCCTGAGTTCTAATTTGATTGCACTGTGGTCTGAAAAACTGTTATGATTTTTGTTCTTTTGCATTTGCTGAGGAGTGTTTTACTTCCAATTATGTGGTTGGCCAATTTTAGAATAAGTGCGATGTGGTGCTGAGAAAAATGTATATTCTATTGACTTGGGGTGGAGAGTTCTGTAGATGTCTATTAGGTCTGCTTGGTCCAGAGCTGAGTTCAAGTCCTGAATATCCTTGTTAATTTTCTGTCTCGTTGATCTGTCTAATATTGACAGTGGGGTGTTAAAGTCTCCCACTATTATTGTGTGGGAGTCTGAGTCTCTTTGTAGGTCTCTAAGAACTTGCTTTATGAATCTGGGTGCTCCTGTATTGGGTGCATATATATTTAGGATAGTTAGCTCTTCTTGTTGCATTGATCCCTTTACCATTATGTAATGCCCTTTTCTCTTTTGATCTTTGTCGGTTTAAAGTCTGTTTTATCAGAGACTAGCATTGCAACCCCTGCTTTTTTTTTTTTTTTGCTTTCCATTTGCTTGGTAAATATTCCCCTATCCTTTTATTTTGAGCCTATGTGTGTCTTTGCACGTGAGATGGATCTCCTGAATACAGCAGACCAATGGGTCTTGACTCTATCCAATTTGCCATTCTGTGTCTTTTAATTGGGGCTTTTAGCCCATTTACATTTAAGGTTAATATTGTTATGTGTGAATTTGATCCTGTCATTATGATGCTAGCTGGTTATTTTGTCCTTCAGTTGATGCAGTTTCTTCATAGTGTCAATGGTCTTTACAATTTTGTATGTTTTTGCAGTTGCTGGTTACCCCTCGTGGAGTTTTTAACAACCCAGGGTAGACAAGACAAACCTTTAGAGAAGCATAAACTTTAAGATGATAATTAACACTGAATGTTCTCTCTTAGGATTTGCAAAGAAGCCAGTGATTGGTGAGGACAGTGATTGCTGGCAGGGATTCGACATTTATGCAGCCTGATGTTGTTTTTAATAATAATGTGAATTTTATCAGCATACAAACTTGCTCACAATATTGAGACATACAAAATGGGAAGGCTTCTAAACAAGCTAAAATGTATAAGAAAACTGTTAACTCTAAAATGAATATATTGGAGTTTGTTGAAATTTCTGCATTTGGTTGGAATCAGTTTCAGAAGGCTTCATGAAGTTAAATTTTAATCAGTGCTTTAGGGAAGAGACGAGACTGAAGGCACAGAATGAAAAGAAGGGCATTCTATCTATAGTGGGAAAAATATGCCTAGAATATATTCTGCTCCTCTCCTCTCTCTCCTGGTCGACATAGCAAACTGCTATTCATCCTGCAACAAATGATGTCAACAAAGTGGTCAGGGAAGGGATAAGAATGCAGCTTACACATATACATGTACAGTAAACTCTAGATTCATATCCTTGGACATTATGTACTGGAGTAGAGTATATGAGTCAATGAGTAATGAGAATAAAAGTTTAGAATGGGAAAAAAACGCATACTTGATGGTGGTTTGATATGTATTAGGAGTTTGGATTCATTTGAGAACTGGGAGCTGTATTAAGTTTGGAGCAAGTTGATTACTCTTTAGCTGTATTGTGTTTCTGTTTATTAAGCTTCAATTTTTTTTTTTTTTTTTTTTTTGAGACTGGGTCTTGCCTTGCCACTCAGGCTGAAGTGCAAGTGGCATGATCATAGTTCACTGCAGCCTTAACTTCCCAGGCTCAAGCGATCCTCCCACCTCAACCTCCTGAGTAGCTGCAATCACAGGCAAACACCACCATGCCTGGCTAATTTATTTATTTATTTTTTATTTTTTGTAGAGGCAGAATCTTACTATGTTGCCCAAGCTGGTCTCCAACTCCTGGGCTCAAGCGGTCCTCCCATCTCAGCCTCCCAAAGTGTTGGGATTACAGGTGTGAGCCATTGAGCCTGGCCAACTATCTTTTTTAAAATTAGGGCTTGGGTTTTGTTGGTTCAGCTGTTAGCTTGCAAGAAATGCAGAAAAGTTATGTCAGTGTCTGACAAATGTTAGCAATTTTGTAAGTTTGCTAACACTTTGGTTATCTAACTTTATTCCTATAGTTGTAAAAAAGCACTATGATTAAAAACTCCTTTATTGGCAGTATTCTAAAACCTCATGTTAGGTTGACAGTCTTCTTCCCTTTCCCCAAATTTTAATACCCACCCCAGGTTTCTAAAGCAAAAAATTGAAGAGCATTTTCCTCCTGTGTTTATAATCCCAACTAAAACACTATGTAATACATGTTGGAAATATTACTGTGCTTTGTATATGTATTAATTTTTTTTGCCCTAAATTGGCCTCTAGGAATGTGAAAGTAGATGTACCCACCTGATAAGAAAAAGTGAGCTAAGTAACTAACTTGATAACTAGGCATTCAACAAGTCTTTTTCTCTATTTCATAGAATCAGTGTCACCTTAAATTATAATAGGTTTGCACAGAATTCGTGAATTCTTGAGATAGAGTCTTGCTCTGTTGCCCAGGCTGGAGTGCAGTGGCGTGATCTCGTTCACTGCAACCTCTGCCTCCCAGGTTCAGGCAATTCTCCTGCCTCAGCCACCTGAGTAGCTGGGATTACAGGTGTGTTCCACCACGCCCAGCTAATTTTTGTATTTTTAGTAGAGAGGGGTTTCGCCATGTTGGTCATTCTGGTCTTGAACTCCTGGCCTCAAGTGGTGCACCCACCTTGGCCTCCCAAAGTGATAGGATTACAGGCATCACTGTATCTGGCTGAAATTAGTGTATTCTTTAAAGTTCATATTTTTCATTAATTCACAGAAGAATTGTAAAAAAGGTAACACGCAGTTGACATTCCATTTTTCCAGAAAGACAGATAATTACATACTGTAGAGGATGACTCAAAAGTCTGTTTCAAGCCACTGACTTCCTAAACTAATGAAGGCCTATTCAAAGTCACTTAATTCAGCTGTTTTTTTTTTTTTTTTGATAAATACAAAGATACATGTAAAGTTTTACTTACCTGATTTTAAAAACAGGCTACCAAAATTTATCCAAATATATTAAAAAATGAGACTGTTTTAAAAACCTTTCGTTTCCATATTGTGACTCCACTAAGCGGGTAAAAAGTTCAGGACAGAGATGGAAAGGAAAGAAGGAAACAGGAAGAAGTGAAACTAGGAAGGTGGTGCCAGTGGCACATGGATGAAGAAAGAGAGATCATCAGCCATGGAGAATTTTGTAATGTAAGTAGAGAGAGAGATTGGGTAGGAAGACAGGCTTCACAGTTTGTAAAGTGTAAGGGAACTACCCATCGTACCCTGTCATTGACTAGGGCTGTGAGTTATGTAGTTCTGTCTCCTCTTGCAAAAGACTTACCACTTCTGGCAAGTGATTAACCACTTCTGGCAACTCTTCATTTCTTCTTATCCTTGAATATTCATCTACATCACTCTAAACAGCACAGCCCCAGAAGCATGGAAAGGGGAGTTATTAGTATGGAAAGGGGAGTTACTCTTCTGGTGTAGTGGTCCGATTGAGTCCATGGCTTCCCAGCCTTACCAGAGGTGATAAAAATGTCAATTCCTTTGGGGCCAATCTTGCTCCTCCAGTGTGTTTTAGCCCTAATGAGGTCATGGTTATTTCTAGACTTCTGAGACTTACTGTGGCTTTGAATTGACACAAACACTAATTTTCTGTCAAAGGCTAGAGTGATGGATGTTATATGCCTGAATTTTCTTTGAACATTTTATTTTAAAAGAGATACTTTGGGCTTTTCATGAAACTAAAATTCTGGAACCCTAGAGCAGTCTATTATATCTGTCACCACAAGGACTTTCCTTAAAAAGCTCCCTCCATAAGCACTTGGATGTGTAAACAAGATCCTTTCACAGATCTTTTTCTCTTCCTCTCCATATCCCAACTTGTCTTGGAGACTACTTTTTGAATTATAAATCCCTTTCTGCATTTCTATTATTAATTTTTATTTGTAAAATTGCTAAAATAGCTAAATTTGGCCATTTAACCTGCATTTAAAATCTAGGAATGTGGGGTGATCATCTTTGTACATAAATTACCTAATGACCCTGTCCATGCTGTGCTACGTGTTTAGGTGGAATAACACTCCCATGGATGAAGCACTGCACTTTGGACACCATGATGTATTTAAAATTCTCCAAGAATACCAAGTCCAGTACACACCTCAAGGAGATTCTGACAACGGGAAGGAAAATCAAACCGTCCATAAGAATCTTGATGGATTGTTGTAATGGTCTCAAATCCCAAGATTTAAATCACTTACCTATTTAATTGTGGAAAATGATTATGAAGAACATGTGTATTTCTATCTGGTAGTGATGTATATTTTACATTTGTCATTTCAGTGTTACTGGAGTTTTCTTCATTGTGCACACAGGACAAATCTGATCTCTTTGGGAAAAAATAGAAATAAAACAATCTCCCTCCATAATGTGAGCAATATTACCTCGTGCATTGTATAATTTGATGTAAAAGAAATAGTTACCAATGCTAGCTTGTGTGGTCTTCCATGATTTATTTGTGTTTTGTGAATTTTCAATTTATGGTGATGATCTGCTGATATGCATTTATAAAGTAAGCTCTGTTGTACAGTCTGTCCAAATGGGTCAAGGTTGCCTTTAGAAGCAAATAGTGTGATTTTCAAGACTTCAAATACAAATTTAGTTTAAGTGTTTGAACAACTATATGCACTTACGGTTGTGTGTTTAAAATGTCTCTCTCACCCCCTAGCTTCATGATGTGACTCTTAAAAAACTATAATAGTTAACAACTGTTAGTAAGATAGACCAATTCTGATTAGACTTTATCAGGGAATCTGTTTAAGATATGTTTGGTGACCAAAACGTATGTGTGAATGTAGTTATAATGCTTTTGAAAAATTTTCCTTTTTCTATATCCCCTTAGTCCAGCCTCTCTTCTCAGACATTTAGCTATCTGCCTCTTTCCTTTAGCTGGGAAAGTGAGAGCTGGCATACTATGCAGTTTTTATGTTTTCCATAGTAAGTCAGAAAATGCCTCCTATTTCTGGCATCAGAACTTTGCCATTTGTCTACAGAAGACGAACCAGAGACAAAATTACTAAGTATAAATTAGTCAAGTTTATCAGTCTAAAAAACGAAGGGATGTGCAACTGCAGCTCTTTAAGAAGTTTTTTTTTTTTAGCTTCTAGGGTAAAGATAAATTCAGAAATGCTCTAAGCTACCAAAGTTATTCTGAAAGTATGGGAACTGCTACAACTAACAAACATTTGTTTCCAAGCCTGTCATTAAGAGTCTGCATCAAGAGATTTGTCCTCCTTGGGGGACCACTGGATCATTCCAGATTTCTTGTGATTTTTCTATTGTGTAATTCTTGGTGGGCTCTGTAGTTTAATAATAAGAAAAAGGCCATTTCATTTTAAATTGTGACCTATAATTCTTTGTCTTGGGTTGGTAATTCAGGATTCATTTGGAAAGTGGGTAAAAGGGGCTTCAAAAAACGGATAGAACAGGATTTTCTAGGAGTTACACATACATTTTATCCTGTCATACCTCGAGATAAAGTGGCATGTTAGTGAGGAGTTCTGATATTAAGCACACACACACATGCACACAAATGGACTTCTCTGAAGCTGTGTTTAGTGAAATGAGCTCAAGTACATGAATGTTAGTTGTTATCACATACAGCAAATTCCTTTTTTTTTCTTTTTCTATGAGCACACTCTGCTGCTTCTAAACTTTACATGCCTGATGGCACCTTACTCCAGCAGCCTCCAGGTGCTTTCATTTTCACTTCCAGTCTAAGCCAGTGGCTCCTGCCACTGCCCTCCCATTACCTAGATGGCACCTCCTTTGGTGAAACCACGGCCAATGTTCCTTAGCTGCACCAGGCCCGAAGCTGTTCCCATGCTTGAGCTTCCATGGGGAGGATGCTGAGTGAGCAGTTTCCTACCCCGTGGATCTAGCAAGCCATGGAGACAGGTAGCATTTGTAAGATGCTGCACAGGAGCAGCATTATCCCCAAAGATATTACAGGGTAGACACGTTTTAACTGAAATCAATCAAGATAACTTTATTCAAAGAGCAGCCCGCTTTGTGTGACTAAAATGAAACAAGACAGTTGAATTGTGTGACTTGAAGATTACCAATGATTTTGAGGCTTTTCTATAATAAAAAGAGGTTCTAACCATTATTTGGGAACAAAGAGAGTTTTCATCTTTTTTCAGATCAAAACCATTCTGTAAAATCTTTGTTGTTTAATTAAATGTGCCGTTATTTACCCCTGATGTTATTTATGACTATGTGCCGATTCCTGCTCGGGCTGTTTGCTGTTGGCTGGTAATAATATATTTGATTTAAATGCTGTTGACTGTGCTATTAACTGCTGCCGTCAGTAAACTCCAAAGATCTTTTTGTTTTGGCTTTAGTATCATATGTGCTTTTTCTGTATCCTGAGCGCTCTATATGATCATGTTAATTTAAAGCTTTATACACATTGTTGTTTTTGCTGGTCTCATCTTTGGTAATATGCTATACCCCACTGCTGCCCGACACTGCCCTTTAGCTGCAGAGCTGGATTAGCTGTTGACCATTTGATGCTGTTGTCTGTCTGGCAGGGACTGAATGACCTGATGTCAGATTTAGATTCTTCCTGGGGATTACACAGCTATGAATGTATTTGCTTCTAAAACCTCCCAAAGTGAATCTAATCTTAAAACTACAAGTTGTAAGTATTCTGAAATTGGGAAACATTTATTTTAAATGCAATCAGGTAGTGTTGCTTTTTACAGCATAATAAATATATGTATCAAAAAAAAAACTGTGTGGAAAAAATGAATTTTCTTAAAACAATTAAGAGCCAGGAACTCCACTGAGCATACAGACCATCTCTGGTTAGGTTCCAATCCATTTCTAATGCCTGCTATAAAGCTAGGTACTACACAAGGTGTCAGATGGGGTTGCCACAATGACTAGGACAAGAATCCTGTGTAGAGTTCACCTTTGAAGGTGAGGGATGTGCAGGCATGTCTCTAGTCCTCTAGATGCAAACACTATCCTTTTACAGTTAGGAAGTGCTCAGTAAATATTTGTTGAATGGAACCAGTAAACATACCCTTGAATGAGAAGAGAGGTTATTTTCACAAAGCCTTGAAATTTATTTAGAGAGTTGAAGCTAGTACTGCCACACTAGAATCTGAGTGTCACCAGCCAGTACACCTCAGCTCCTAATTTATTCTGCGTGGGAATAGCATTCGCTTCCAATGCCAGAAATCCCTGGTCTTCAGAGCACTCTTTCCTTTCAGGCCAGGGGTTAGTGTATAGTTTTCCAACCATAGAGAAAGTACATGAACACCATGACTGTTACATTTTCATTTATCAAAGTTATCTGTCACAAAGTAAGTTACTTTGCTAGAAGAGTCACTGCATTACTGGCATTGTAGAACTGTGATGAGCCAGGTACTATGCAAGGTGACAAGTGGGGTTACCACAATGATTAGAAGAGACATCAGAAATTCTCTAATCTAACTCACTCTTCTTTTATAGATGAAGCTGAGACCCAAGAGTGGGCTGTGATACAGAACTCTTAGTCCTGCGCTGTTGTTCTACGTCCTACAACACTGATTATGCCCAGTATGGATAGAATATACATATTAGCTTATTCATATGCACTATCTCCTATTAGCTAAGGCCTCTTCTCTGCTGAGTTTTAGGCAGAGGCCTAAGTGCTACAACAGAAAGTCCTGCAACATATAGTCAACTTCAGCTATATATATACATATATATATATACACATATACACATATATATATATATACACATATACACATATATATATATATATACACACACACACACACACACACACACACATCCATGGATAGGAGCAGGATATCAGTGCAGGCACAACAAATGTGTGAATAATCCTAAATAGTGAATAGTTATTTTTATTCTTGATACAAGATCATTTTATTTTTGTATAACTTTTTTAGGAGTTGGGATAACCTTCCTAATTTTACTTGCTAATAATCCTCATAGTAAAATGAGTAAATTCATAAATCATATACCAGATGGCCCAGGGAAGCAGCCCATGAATGTGTTAGGTGGCACTTATAAAAAGGCTTTTTGGGAAAGGATAATCTTTTATAGTTATGCAAGGAAATGATGTGATTCACTAGATTATATGTGTTTGGGGATGAGAAAGATTAGAAAATTAAGGCAGTTTTTTAAAAAGGAGGCATGAGATACAGCAAAACAACTGGATGGAAGGCATTAAAGGCAGAGACTGGGGGGTTTTATTTCTATTCTGGAGAATGAACCAGACTCCAGGCCTGTGTGCGCCCCCACTGTACCCCTTGCTTCCTTTCCAAATAGCCAATAAAAGGCTGCAATGAAGTGTGTCTGACAAGCAGTCCCAATGGCAAAAGAATATCAAGACTGTTTCAATTATGTAGAAGAAATGTGGAAAGGCTGCAAACAGACACTGACAGTAAGGTATTAAGGTGTTATAATAGCTTTATGAAATATTATAGGAGAATTCAGAGTTTGATAATAGGTATTTGACAGCTTTCTACCTCTTAGATAGCTTTCTGTTCTCTGTAGACTCAAGATAACGTTAATAAATAAGTTTAAGACTGCTTAAGTATGGCTCTGTTGTTTTTTCCTTTTTACAATAAATCAAGCAAGGTGTTTAATTTCTCAGTGAGTGTAGCAAACACATAAACCAAAGTGAGTTCACAAAAACTTGGAAGCTGAGGATTATCATTTAAGAGCAATATAAACTGATCTTAAAAAGCTCTAAAAGCAATATTGTCTTCAGCTTTCCTAAAACTGGTTTAAATGTCATTTCTTTGAAATTGTATTTTTTAAATATAACATTTACATTATTTGTAGCTTCTGGCTGTTTGTTTGCATCACAAAATCTTAAGTTTTAATAAGGTGACTGCACTAGAATGTATGATCCAGTGTCTCAGAATATCTTAAGTTCCATAAAAGCAGGGATCTTTGCTTTTGTTTACCAATGTTTCCCAAACATCTAGTATAATGCCTGGCTCATGGCAGGTGCTCTATATAAATCTGATGAATTAATTAATGAATGAATCATAACTAACCAAAGGAAGCCAGTCACATAAATGGTCCTTACTTTGTTAATGTCCCAATTCAAAAGGTAAGCAGAAGAGTTTTCAAAACACTTTCTAGCTTTTTCCTGTCCTTTCCCTGGGTTAGTCAGTGACAGGACTGCTCTGTTCAGAAAGACTTGCCTTCATATTCCACTTTAGCTTTCAGGCAATAAATAGATTTCACTCATTTCATGCCATCTCAGAAAACCCTCTTTCCTTTAAAATGAGACATTTGTCCCCAGTAGCACACATAAGCTCTATGCTTATAAAACACTTTTCAAACTTAGAAACACCACACGAGAAATACTCAAACACAAACAAATATCCCTTAAGTTAGGATCTACTCAGTGACTTCTTATAATGGTTAATTATGTAGAATACAAACTTACACTAGTTAGCCAGGGCATATTTACTTTACTCCTTGGAGAGAGACCACTCTCAGTGTTCACTATAAATAAGCTTTATATTTCCTAGATGTAAATACGAAGATATGGAGATGAGAATAATCATTCTGGTTATGATGCCAACATTCATTATCAGGGAATAACACTATTCCATGATAATAGCTAAATACAACTTGACAGACTATGCCTAACTTGGTAATTATGCCTCTTACCCTTTTTTCCCCAATACACAGTGTATTTTACTTTGAGAAGACCTGGCCTTCTAGCTTTTGACATCTTTGGAAAAAAATGGCAGCTTTTTTGTGGGTGCAATAACTTCTCAGTAATAACTCATCTAATCGTGGGGGTGTAGATTTTAGATGACTGCTTTGGAGACAAGACAAAGTCCCATTTCTCATGTATTTTAAAATTAAAAACTGCTAATTTGGGGGTATTAGCAATACCCAGATTCATTTTAAAATAAGTGCTGAATCATCTGTATATTTGGGGACAGCTGTGGTCGCAAAGAACCAAAATACTTTTGTTTGTTTGCTTTTTATGGCACCTATTACAGCTGTTGCCAATAATATTACTCCTCTGACCTCTTCCATTGACATGTCTTAATCTGCCATAGCAATTCTGAATATGTGTAGGGCAGGTAAGGACAACATTTAGGAAAATAGTGTTATTGATCTTATTTTAAAATAAGGATTGAGGTACATGAGAAAAGCATCAAACCAATTCATAACGTCAGTAATTTTAAGAATCTTTATATTAAATACTATTAATGAGAGATTAATAGAATTTTAGAATTTTAATACTTCTTAAAAGTAAAGTCTCTTGGCTAGTGCAGTAAAATGAAACCATGCCGAATTCCCAAAGGGCAAAAAGAACTGACAGCTAAACCTCAGCAATTAGAAACAATATTGTTTTAATGTTGTCTTCTTTGTTTTTTAGTCATTTCAATTGTAAAATCAACTGAAACTTAGGTTCTCGCCATCTATATAAAAACTGAGAGAGGAGGCCTCAGATTGTATGCAGTGCCACGGAAAGCACTGTGTGCATATTATATTTAATGCAATACAGATACTTTAGCTTTAATTTTAAAACAAAACTCAAGAAATCTTTATCTCCACCAAAGAAGAATACAGCATTTGCATGATAATATAGTTGTGGTAGCAGTAGTGGAAAAACAAGATACAGCCACATAGACAGCAGTATGTAAAAGGGAAGAACCTTGTCAAACCCATCTCTTAATCTACTTTTTGTGTCAGTGATAAGGAAGGAAAAAGGTAAAAATACAGTATACTTCACGAAACATCATCCACTCAAAAAAGTGTCTGGAAAAAGTACAGGAGAGAGAATGGAACCATTCGCAAATGTGAAAAACACATATATCAGCGAAACATATGCAGTTCTCAATGCAGTTACATAGGAAATGAGTTTTGAAATGATCTGATTCTCATATTATCTCTGGTGTATTATTCAAGTTGTCAGTTACTGCTTTTTCTACTCCTTTCCCAATTTTGTGGCTAATAGACTAAATACCACCCTAATAACAAAAAGGACAAAGTAGCCCATTTAAGAAACATGAATTAAATTTCTGAGTTTATCTACATCTATGGTTAATTTCAACTTTTGAATGAGTGGTTGTGAATAGCCTAACTCCCTTGGGAGAACTGTAAAAATAATTGTATGTGACCAAGATGAAAGCAGAATGTATTCAGCTTTGGATATCAAACACAACTTGTGAATTTGGAAATGTACATCCTTCTATTGATATTAGCTAGTGTCATTAAGCCATAACAAACAGTAAAGCTAATATTCTCTTCTCAAGAAACAGAATTTGTCTTTGTCTTTAAATAGCCAATGTGAAAGATGTAATAAAATACACATTTTCCCCCTACCAGATCCATGATGGCTACCTTTGAAAGAGGACTGATATAATTGTATATAAACTTGGCTTTGAACTATTTCACAGGTAAACCAATGGAAAACTGCCAGTTACACTTAAAGCAAAGAAAACATGTAAGAATTCTCCCACAGAAATTTACCGTTCCTACGTCAAGCAGTTCCCTAAATAACCACTGATTTATCCAACAACCTATAACAGTTGGGCACTGACTTTATGCATAACATTTGCTAGATGTTGCTTAACTTCTCCTTTCCCAAAGGACCCTCATTCTCGTCCTGATACTTTGGGTGTATCTGGATGTTTTTCACTTGTGAAACCCACTCTTCAGAGAATGCCTTTCAATTTTACCTTCAGTAAGATGCATGATGCCCTTCAGAGTAACTGATGTTTCTGAGTTAGAGAAAAATTCACTTGCTATCAACAGGTTGCAGCGAATTTGCTGGCCTTTCTTTCATTTCCCTAGAAACACAGGATGTGAAGGAACAGAGTAGCAGGAGGGAATCACAGATGAGAAGGAAAACTGTCGCCAGAGAAGATGAAAAAAATTCATGCTCTATACTGTGTTCATCTGTAAAAAGACAAAATGTGGTTAAGTTTATTACACTGATCTTGTGAAATGCAGACTCATACATTAAACATTGCTTGTCTATTCTAGAATGAAGTAGTAGGAAGATACTTGCAATGGCAAATAAATACCGTGGAATAAGAGGGCCTTCAGCATGTACTATGTATTATCCTGGGCTAATCAAGACCTTTTATATCACCTAAGCTGACGGATTATTACTCTGCTGCCCACTGGCTTAATTTTGTGAATCCATCCAGACTGCATAAAGCTTTTTGCTGTTATGCAAGTCTGGGGACAGAGCAACGTGTCAAATCTGCTCATGTGAAACGGGTGAGGAAATGCTGAGCCATATGCCAGAGGGAGAGAGGAAGGAGAGGGAAATGATACACTTCCCCTAAAGGCCACTCAGTGGGTAAAATCAATGACTGTGTTTCAGGTACAGACTAAAGAAGCAGAATTACTAAGAACCCCTTCACCTTCCCCACCAGTGCCTTCTGCCCAGCTGCCTTGACCAGGACAACTTATAGTAAGTAAACTGTTCATCCAAAGGATACTAGCCTGCCAGTGACTTCCTGTCTGACTTCCACACTGGTCTTTCCCCTTAGACCAGATGCTTTCAATCGAGGATGATTCTGTCCCCTGGCAATGGCTGAAGACATTGCTGATTGTCCCATCTGGCTGTGAGGGTGCATGTGCTTACTGGTATCTATTTGGTAGAAGCCAGAGGTGTTGCTGAACCTCCTACGAAGCACAGGAAAGCTCCCCACCCCACCAATCCCCAACAAATAATTCTGAAGCCCCGAATACCAGTAGCACCAAGACTGAGACACATGGCACTAGACTGGAAAGCCTCTGGAGAACTTTTTTTTAATCCCAAGTGCTCAATAGTGTGTGGTACATAGTGGGCTCTTAGGAAAATTATTTTGGATTGAAAAGCACAGTGAAAGTGTTGCCCCTATGTTTCAGTCTAGCTTATGTTTCTCTTTTCTTTTTCTTTCTTTTTTTTTTTCAAATTGGAGACGGAGTCTTCCTCTGTTGCCCAGACTGGAGTGCAGTGGCACCATCTTGGCTCACTGCAACCTCCACCTTCCAGGTTCAAGCGATCCTCCTGCCTCAGCCCCCCTAGTAGCTGGGATTACAGGCACACACCACCATGGCTGGCTAATTTTTGTATTTTTAGTAGAGATGGGGTTTCACCGTGTTGGCCAGGCTGGTCTCAAACTCCTGATCGCAGGTGATCCACCTGCCCCGGCCTCCCAAAATGTTGAGATTACAGGCGTGAGCCACCGCGCCCGGCCTGGCTGATGTTTCAAATGTGTGCTTAATAGGGTGGACCGTGGGGGTAAAGAGAGGGAGGGAGGGGGAGATAGATAGATAGAGGAAGAGAGGAAGCCCAGATTCAGATCCTGTCACTGCGTGACCAGGGCAAGTGGCTTAACCTCTCTAAATCTCAAAGTCTTCATCTATCAAAAGGGGATTAATAGTACCTAGCAGATAGGCTTGTTAAATTAGATGGCATACGTAAAATGTTTAGTATAGTAGACAGAAAGTAGTAGACAATTAATAGCTAGTCCTATCATTATGAGCTTTGGCTAAAGGCCTCTTGGAGAGTAGACTGGTTCTATTACAGTCCCAGAGGAAAACACTGATTACACAGGAAATCCAGACTAAACAAATGCCCAAGTCATACTGCAGAGAACACTGGTGCTCTGGCTCTCTTGGACAATTTCCTCAGGAGCCTATGGTCCTGTTGCTCCTGAGGCTGCACCAGGCGTTGGCCCCTGGTACCACCCTCTTTCAGAGCTGCAACCTCCAGACTTGGCAGAAGACAGCCAGCTTGGGGAGAGCTGCTTCTGTTTCAGAGTATACACTCTGATTCTAAGAGTAGATGCTGGATGGAAGTCATGGCCAAGGGGCAGGACAGCAAACCATTGTGAAGTCAACCCAATTTAGAGACTGATTCAACCGTTGTCTAACCAGTGCCGTGCCTATATTATGAACTCTTTTTCTTTTCTTTTCTTTTTTTTTTTTTATATTATAGCCTCTTTTAGCTCTTTAAGTCTTCTATGGGTTTAATGGGAGGCTTTAGTGGTGTATAGAGGGTGTGTGTGTGTGTGTGTGTGTGTGTGTGTGTGTGTGAAATGGATTTATTTTATTCTACAAATGAAATGAATAAAATCACCTGAAATGGAACGGAATGGCTACAGCGAGTGTCCAAAGACCACAAAACTGTTTCCTGACATGTGCTTAGCATATTTAAATTGTTCTCACAGTATCATCCTGAGAGCAGAGAGAGCAGTCCAACTGCTCCACAGGACTGCAGAGAGGGAACCAATCCATCTATTTTCTCAATAATGGTGATGACAGAGATGGAATGCTGATTGCCAAATCCCAAACACATACGGGCCTCTCACCCAAAGGCCATGATGCCTTTGTCTTAATAACAGAATAAACCCAATCCTGTACAAACAGCTTCTTCAGGGTGCATGTTTTGAATGGGGCAAAGATTAGCTTTTTGTGGGAGGCTTTCCAGGATACCGGACAAAAGCATGCACTAGAGACTCACTAGGTAGATTCAAATATTCTTTCTACCATTTACTAACTGCTTGATCTTAGTCAAGTTACATAAAAGGGGCTGTGTGGGGAGGAGGGGCTCTGTTCCCACATCTGTCAAAGTAGGAATAACAATAACACCTAACTCAGAAGGTGGCTGTGAGGACTGAATGAGTTACTACCTGTGAAGTACATGGTATACTGTAGGTGCTTAATGTCACCTATTAATGGTGGTGGTGATGATGATGTAATTTGCTCAGGAACAACAAAGGAGGTATAAAAAATCCCCCCATTTTACAGTTCCTGTGATGTAACATATTTTCTGAATAGGGCTTTATATTTATTCCATTTTTGTGCCAGGCCTATAGCAGTGTTGGGAGCGAAACTCTAGCAGGATCCTTCTTACATGCAGAAAAGGTTCATTTTACACTTGCCAATAGGAATGAAACTATTTCGCTGCCACAATAGCTAACTGTTTTTCTAAATGGCCTATTTCGTCAACAACAATCAGGAAAGTGTAGGAAGGTACAATCTCTAATGATTGTAGCCCGTGCTTAAGGTGAGGAAAAAAGTCAAAAAATTACACATGAGAAACCTGAATCCAGGCAGATCTTACTGAGGCCTTATCATCGCATTCCCCAAATGTCTGAAGAGTGACGCCCTCTCATTCTCGCTCACCTTTCCCCTCCCTGCCTTCCTCTCTTTGTTGAGCACCTACTTTTTGCCAGGCACCGGGTATACAGTAAGGAAGAAAGGCCAGTAATAACTCAGGATATTTTTTGGAAGCATTAAATAAATTTTTAAAAATGAGCTGGAATAGCTCCATGTGGAAAAGAGCTTAAAATTAAACAGCATCAGCAAAAATCCAGCCAAGCAAGCACAATCTTTAAGAGGAAGGATTTTAGGCTGAAAGGCAAACAATACTAGTTGATATACTAAAAAAGCACCCTCCAAAAGGAAGATGTTCCCTTTTGTGGACAATCATATTCCCATTTCTATCACGAATCTCATTAACTATTTCACTCCTTGAACCTTTTACTCTTGGCAAGCCCTTCACAGCCCCAGGAGCTACTTGTACAAATTAGCTCTCAAATATAAGGCAGATGAAGTAATCTCATTGCTGCTAAAGTATAATTCTCTCTAATTACTGTAACTACCAAGCGTTAGTCCCTCCCTTTCTAAAAATAACACTCCCTCCCCTAGACACAGTGATGAAATCGCATTCCGAAGAAAAACATTTGCTTATCAAAGAAATCTTAGTTCCTTAATATATGAAATTTCTACATGGACAACTTTAAAGGGGAGAGGAGGAAACCTGAATATTAGAAATGTCACTTGTTTTTTGGAAGGTGCTGAATGCGAGGAATAAAAATCCCACTGATGATGTAGGTGGTTTAAATCCAGCAGCTCCAACTTGTCATGGCTCATCTGAGCACTGCACTCTCCTTGGCTCCGCCAGGGCTCCCTCCCGCAGACAGGCCCGGGATCTGCCATGGTGCGCTCCCTGCCTCTGAGCACACACACTTATTGAGAGCTACACACAGGCCAGCCGTGGTACTCACCATACTGTCGAATTCTACAGAGCCCACTATCCGAGACACCTCGTCAAACTCCTCAGGAGACATGGGGAGCAGGTTGTCTGTGGTCTGAAGTCTAGAAGGGTGACTAAAATGGGGAAAAAGAAAAGAGCAATGTCAACATCTGAGTGATGAAAGCACTAGTGCATACTTACACACTTTATCTTTTGTCTGTAATTGAATTATCACGTTATATTTTTATTTTGGGTAAGTGCATACACTTGTAAAATACATTTGCAAAAGTACAGCTCATGGGAGGCTCATGTCCCCAGCCCAGCCCCTTGGGAAATGTTTCACACTCCAGGGATGTGATAAGCAATAGCCAGACTGGAATCTGTGCCGCTTCTGCCTGGGTAAGCCTAGGTGTGAGCATGTGCGGTGCACTACCCTGAGATGACAATGCCTCGTGGCTTACCCTGGACAGAAAAGCACCAGAGAAATGTCTGGGGAGTCCCTCATCCCTACCTTGAGGTTTGAATGCAGATAAAGCTGCTCCACACAGTGTTTTTACATGAAGGCTACATCCATTCACCCCAAGACAGTGCTGCAGGCCAAATAACTGACAATGACATTTCCAAAATTTTTTCTACCTTTTATAAAATGAAACAACAAAATCAAAGCAAGTGGAGACAGTGTATCTCAATCATTACTTTGGCCTTTTCTAGATTGAAAAGAACTACTTTCCCACTCTGATCAACTTTTGCTCATTTTATTTATACTTTTTCAAAGGGTATCAGTTTTGGGAAAATTTATATACCTTAAATACAAATTTGGTTTTTGGCTTTTTTTTTTTTTTTAAAGTAGTAAAATGCTGATAGGCAGTAACACGGGGATCTCAACAAGTTCAGCTGTGATGGCGATAGCAATTACAATGGAAAAGTAAAATACAAGCATCTTCAACAGGCCCCAGCCAGGAGCAAGGCTGGCTTGAGGTTTGTAAACATGTCACTCTTCTGTGTTCACTTACACTTCAGACACAGAAATCAACTCAGTCTTGATATATCCAGTTCCTTTAGGGCCATCAAGTTCCATTGGCTCTGGTGCTAGAAATAAACACATTGTGTACGCTTTCCATCAACCGAAATTCCATCAGAATACAACATCAACTTTTCGGGGGGATTAAAGTTCTACTGTGTTTCTAGACAGCTTAGCCTCCTAAAACTTTAAGGAGCTATAACCTCCCTGCCTGAGTCACCTAAAATTCTAGTGGGAATGCAGAAACAACGAGAAGAAGGATCTGAATTCAGTCTGGAAATAAGCTAGTGTTCAGCAGGACACTAGCTAGGAGCTTTCTCTTTACACAACTTGAAATCTTACAAGAAGTCTGAGCCCAAAATATGCAAAGTTCTATCCAGTTTATTGGCATTAGCCTGGCTAATGAATATTCACAGCTGTCAAGGTAAGCTGGGGACATCTTCATTCCAAAGTAATTGTCCTAATATTGAGATTTCTGATTCTGAAAAACAGCTTTGTTGGTGTGTTCCAAACAAAACAGGTCTAATTCGAACCTTCTCAAATGCAATTCATTGACAACTGAGAAGCAAGAGACCTGTGTTCTCAGATGAGGCCTCCTCTTAATAATTATCTAATAAAAATAGGATCTAGTAAGTAATTGGGCCACCCTAAATGAACCACTTCACTTCTCCCAGGCCTCAGTTTCCTCAACTTTAACGTGAGCAAGATGCCTTCTGTTGGTTTACCACAGTTCCTTATTTAAACCCTTTTCATGTGGAAACAGTGATAGTAACAAATACACAAGACCAGCAATGGACTTTTCCAACATTCCTAAAATAGGAAATTGTCCATTCATTTCTTACTAGCTGTATCAGGCCAAATAATGCATTATGTTTCACCTGCACTGAGTTTATGCCATCTTTTGAAAGCCTACTCTTACCAATTCGAAAGCAAAACACTGCATGGGTGGAGTTTCAGAATAATCACCCCCTCATCAGGAAAGACTGTGCCACGCTGTTACCACCTGCTTGCCCCACTTACCTTCCTTTGGCCTGGAGTAATACTTTCCAAAGGCATGGTCTTTGTCAATATTTGGATACAGATACTTCAGGGGATTCTCAGGAATATTCTCAGCAGCCATGACTTTGTAATTGCGAATGATGTCAGGGAAAGTAACAGCAGAAAGTTCTTTCTTCGTGTAGGGTTCAACCGCATGGAAGTCAGGTTCTAAAAAGGAGAAAAGCTAAGTAAATCCCATAGAACATCCCAAAATGAAAGAGGACAGAGAAATAAAACACTGCAGAGTTGATGGATTTGAGTGAACCTCATAAGAACTAATCACAATCTAAGCATTATAACATATACAGTAGACTGCTTTATTTCTAAATAAATTATAATACTGTCTCAGGGAAAATAAAGGGAGGTATTATTCTCAATAACATTCTATTTGCCATTATTTGCTTAGATTTATAAATCTGGGCAAAAAAGATTTATTAAAAACCTTTAAAAGCCTGCATCTTCAATGATGTGCTGCCCATAGGCACATAAATAACTTACTACTAAGTGGATCATCTTGGCTTAAGCCACAGATTTAAATTACTAGAGATAAACTCACTTTGTTTTTCTTTTCATATTGAAAAATCTAATTTTTTATTAAAATAAATTATGATATATAGAAAACAACATTTCAAATTAAAAATGATCCTATTTGCTACATTTCCCTGTAACCCTTAACGTAATAAACCATGGTTTAATTTACTCCCGTTCTTATTCCCAGACTGAATTCAGATCCTTCTTCCTAGCTGATACAGAATCTCCCTTTGGGTGTCGACCTTCCAGAGGCCACGGTTCAGGTGTTCTGGGGAGCCTGCTGTGGAACATGAGACTATGCTGCCATCCTAACCCTTCCTGGCTGGTAGTGTCCTGCTTGACCTTTCCTGGTTGCCAAGGGTTTTCTTCATCTCTGCTTGGTCTACTATATCTGTCTCTCAGCTGGTTCAGGAAGGGAACAGGATAAGAGGAAAAGGGCAGGTTCTAATGACTACTGCCCACGCCAGACTCTCATCTCAGCCTCCCTGCTTTTTCCTCAGAAGAAAAATAGAACAAGAAAAGTATTCCAGAAAAACAAATAGAACAAGAAGAGTATTCCTGAAAAATAAACAGAACAAGAAAGAATACCGTTCCAGAAAAAAAAAATAGAAGAGTATTCCAGAAAAACAAACAGAACAAGAAGAGTATGGCAGAAAAACAAATAGAATAAGAGTATTCCAGAAAAACAGGAGAAGAGGAATATTTCAGAAAAATAAATAGAACAAGAAGAGTATTCCATTTTGTGTCTACCCACTGAAAGTATAAAAATTACTAAAACAAATCAGTTTTTCCTCCTGCCCTTCAAACAGACCAAACTCTAAACAACAGTGAAAAGTAATCAGTTGGTCTTTATGATTTTTTCATTTACGCTGTTGAGCTTCACCCTCAGAAACCTGCTTCATAACACCAAGGTTTCTGGAGTCTTTTAGCCATGGACTCATTTGATTAAATAGAAACCCCATATATGATAAAGATAAATTTGCAGCTGCTCTGTTTGAAGGCAGGGTAGAGGCTGCCACTCGTCCCAACAGGTCCTGCATCAACTCCCTGGCTGATGATGTGTATGAAGTCTTCTCCCGAAGCCTGTCTCATCTGCACACTCTACTCTGGGATGACCCTAAGAGAATGTGGATGCTTACTCCTGTGGGAAATGTGATTCCTTCCAAGAACGGGTTGCAGATTACATTGACTCACATCCTTGATCTGCAGATAACAAACCTGATGCAAAGGAAAGAATTGGCATTGTCTTTTCAAAACCATCATTTCCACAATATGTTCCAGAGAGTGAACCACAACCACAAACATTTGTGGTGGTTTATTAAATCCTATCGGGGGCTCATTTGGGGTAAGTATAAGATCTGCAATTTCATGTCCCAAACGCACTATCTGTATGAGCTGACTGGCGGCGATGAAGAGGGACTTCACACACATGGAATGGTGGGACTATGTGCTCAAACTCCCACTCACCGCCTCCGTTCTGGGACCGCTCCACCCATGTGAATGTGATGGCCCCTTCCCGGGAGCTCTCACTGAACCGCAGCAGGAAGGTCCCCGGCTGCTGGTCCTTCAACAGGGCACGCTCTCGCTCCTTGCTGATGAAGCCCATGATGCACCTGGATATCGAAGAGATGGACGGATGGGCTTTTAGTTCAATCATGATTTCCATTTTCATGCTAACTTACAAACCAAGAAAATGGCTGGAATGTGAGAAAAAAAACCTACGGTAAAAAACGTAGACTATTTTAAAATCTGTTCAGTTGACACTTAAGGAAGCATTTCACTTATACATGTATATACTAAGGTTTTAAAAAAAGCGATATGAACATGGTGTCAGTAGGATGCTACAGATGCTCAATAACACGTGTGGGATTAATGAGCCTTTTATTGTTCCTTTATTATTTTAAAGGCCATAACAATGTCTGAATGTATACATCTTTTTTACTGGAGAGGAAGACCTAGGCAATATATTTTCATATTTTAGCCCTTCTGATCAAGTTAAAGCTTCTGTTGAAATATCAGCCGATCCTGGCAATAAGTCAAGATAGAAATGATTTACCCAGTTAAAAGGGTTTTTCTTCCTTCCTAGGGGCCACATAGTAGGTGCTCAAAAAATTTTTGTTGAGTGAATGAATGCATGAATGGCACTCAAGAGTTGTTTTTTTTTTTTAATTTAGCTTTGCCAATACATATACTTGTACTAAGAAAGTGTAAGGTTAATGTTATGAGGTTCTACTCTTCTGAAGCCCTGAAGGGGCAGCCTATAAATGCGCACTCCTGTGAGATTCACACACGCCTAGTCAAATACTGAAGCTGGACTCAGGCCTTGTCTCAACCTCGCAGCACTAAAAATATGTTTCAAAATACATCTATCGGTGGCCCTTACCCATCATTCCAGAGAGGGAGCAGGTGTTTTTTAATGAGTTCTAGGATGCTTTCAATCCAAAGCCAGAAGGGAAAATTTTTATCATTTATATTTTCCTGAAAGTATACAAATGCAGACATTATGAACAAAAATCTAAAACAATGACTTACCATGGCCCCTCCCACCATCATTTGCAAAGACTCCCCAGGTGCCAAGGATGGAACTGTCCCATTCAGCACAGCAATGGGATCCCTCCCCTGGCAGGGAATATCAAGTTCCCTCCCCGCTCTTATCAGCATTCAGACCAGGAGCTCTCCAGAGCTCTCCACTTCCCTGGGCCGGGCTCTGCTTCCCTTTCCAAACAGTAGCAAGCTAGCCTGGGGGTGACCTCCAGCGTGACTCACGGAAACACAAGCTGCCCCACACTAGCAAAATCCAGCAGTGCAAGCTGGTCCGCACTGTCTGGTGACTCCAGCAGAATCTAAATGTTCCCCGCAGTGGGCCCCTCTGCTCGAGCAGGCCGTTAAACTCGTCTGGCTGGTCAGGCTGCGCCACCCAGCCCACAACATACATTTCACACAGAAATGGCTAAAACACTGCTGGGCAGGGGTCCAGCGTGAGTGAACAGAAGCCTCATTTCAGATATGAAAGAATGTTATCACTCAGGCAGGTGCTTCCTGTCAGACTCCTGCTCGGAGACCAACCTCCTGCACTGAAGAAAAGTAAACAACTTGCCCGAGGGGCTCCTTGGCCAGAGAAGAACACGCCAAAATAAGCAAACAGTTAAGTAACTATCACAGCAAGAAACATGAGAACCTCAACCAAGAGCAAAAAGGACTTAGAGAGCATAAAACCCAGACAGTCCTCACCTTACAAAACCTCGTCCACGGAATGAGACCATCGGGGCTGGCGTTAGGACCTAAACAAATAAAAACCAGATTTTTCAGCAAACAGAAACTGATTCTAAAGCTTTGGTTGGACGGATGGCTCTTGTATTTGCTCTCAAGGAAAAGAGCCAAACACCCAACAAAGATTGTATGTACACAGTTGACATTTTCGGATACCTTAATGCCAAATTAACTGAGCAATTATAATACGTGCTGTAAGAGGGCGGAATTTAAATGGTCTAAAATATGTATATGTTGGTTTGAGTTTAATGGCAGAAAGGAATGGATGGCAGATTCCTGGGCACCACGATATGAGAGTTTTTAGGGAAAGCGGAAACATCACAAAGCCTTACCATCTGCTCTCTCCCTCCCCAGCCCCCCTTTTCCCTCCCTCCTCTAAAGAGAGGACAGTCCTTTTAATGCCTCTTCATGTTACACTTCCTTCCAAGACCATCAGCTGACTTTGCCTTTTGCACTAAATCAAAGGTGTTCTGCTGGGCCTCCTAGAGAAGCCTCCCTATCCAGTGCCTCTTCCCACTGCCTTCCTCTGCTGCTCAGCAGAGCCCCCTCTCCCAAGGATCCTACAGAATTTTTTTCAAAGTTCAACCTAGGTGCCCAAGATCACCCCTAGATCTTCAATGTAACTGATACTTGACTTTACAAGTTTATTTTAGACATTATTTATGCATTTCCCTCAGCTTTCCTCCAAATAGGACATGGGCTCAGGCAGTCTGATGCAAATCAAAAACCAAGTGAGAGAAACGAGAGGAAGAAGCCCGGGGTTATTAGCTACACAAATTAAAGCAGCCTGGGCGAGAAGAGGCGGTAAGCCCATTATCGGTCTTCAAAGAGAACTACAAATGAGCCATTACAGCTAGAAAAGATATCCTTCTTAACTCTCACCAAATAAAGAAATGGAATAAGGGGATTTTGTACTTGTATTAAACAGCACAAGACCACCACTGTGACAGCTGCATATCCAAGAGAAGAAGGCACTGTTGAAAGTCACTGAGTTAGGAAGAGCCTACTGCTGTTTGGAGTAAATGCAGTGCTGCTCTACAGAAAGCAAATCTGGATACAAGTTGTCCACGGATTTTTAAAGAAATAGTTCAGATAGCCTCACTCACTGAAAGATCTGACCTTGAGACTAGTGGATCTTTGATTTGTTTAGTATGAAGGACTAATAAATGCACTGACATTAACCACTGAAAGGGAATTATCTACCACTGTCTAGACTCTGTCCAATCAGGCAAAACTGCAGATCAAAAGAGGCATCCTCTTGTGGGGACGGCATCCTCTGCTACCTGGGCCCCACCTGAGGCAAGGGCCCTGGGTTTATGCTGCAGTGGGCAAGCCCCAGGACTTTATTTCTCATCATGTCAGGGACTTCCTTTTTTCTCCCCAAGGTTAATGGTTAATAGGCCTTCATCTTTCTCATCCAGGAACTTATTTCAGCCACAAATAATATATTTTACATAATTCATAAAACTTTCCCTTGGGAATTCATCTCAGAAATCTTAATATGAGACAATGAGGAACGGATTCATTTAAATGTTATCAGGTCTATATTTCTTTCTAAGGTGACATATGATTCTCACTTAGCTATAATAAACTATAGCTTGAAAAGCTGACAGATTTTAGTACTTTTTTACCTTTAACAAAATAGCAGAGGGGAAAAGAGCAATTAGAGAGATATTTTTATGAATTTCAATTTTTATAAACATAACAAGTTAATATGCATATACCAAGAAGCTTCTCTCCCAACATGTTCAGCTGGTCCACATTGAGACCTCTTTTGGTGACAGAAGAAAACTGCCAACTCAGCACTTCTGAAAGCTGAGCCCATCGTGCACATGGTGGAGTCAGGAAGAAGGACAGATTCTAGAGAGAAAACACCCAAAATCTAAGGGTTACTACAGAGACACCAGTCACAAGTGTGGCACTAAAACATATGTCCATCCCAAAGTTCAATTCTAGTTTATATGACACACAGGTGCTTTCACAGTAGGGGAAGAGAAATACAGTCAATTTTCATTATTTACAGATGCACATTTGTGAACTTGTTTACTCACTAAAATTTACTTGTAACTCCAAAATCTAAATACATGGCATCTTTGGGGTCATTTGAAGACACACCCGTGCACACACAGCAGCACACAGCAGCAAAGAATTCGAGTCTCTTAACACGCTTCCAACTGAAGCCAAACAAAATGACACTCGCTTCCTGTTTCACCTCTCATAAGAAAAACGTGTCCTTTTTGAAGCCTATTTAGCGCCATGTTTTTTGCATTTTGTGACTGCTGTTGGTGATCCCTGTTTAAAATGGTGCCCGAGCATAGTACCACAGTGTGGTCTACTGTTCCTAAGCATGGGAAGGCTGGGATGTGCCTTATGGAGAAAATACATGTGTGAGGCAAGCTTCACTCAGGCATGAGTTACAGTGATCCTAGCTATAGGTGTAATGTTAATGCCTCAACAAGTGTATTAGATAAGGTGTCTTTAAACAGAAACACACATAAACAATGTTATGCATTGATGGGTTGACAAAAATGTTGTGACCAGAGGCTTGAAGGAACCTAGCCTCGTAGTTCCCTTAGGAGCAACAATTCATTATTTGCTAGTTAAGTGTTCCTGGTGACTTTAAAAAACATAAGTACTTTGAATAATTATAAATGACTGTAATTAATTAACAGTGAGTATCCACACTCTAAGAATGGAGCATGCTTGTTTAGTAGATGTATACATTTTAAAAATAATAACAATAAAGTGGTATGGAATCACTGACTGCCCTAGCTTACCCACATGGGAGAAAAAACGTAATTCTCATTTCAAATACATATCCATGCTTCATATTCCCAGATTTACTCAAAAGCCTTAGAAATACCACAGGAGCTTTGTCACTTCTCCCTTAACAACTGGCCATTGGGGCTATTTCAGAGATGCAGCAGTGAGAGCGTGGGGTCTCTGCTTAACCCTGGGACCAAAGCAAATGTGTTTTCCATACCCTGGGTTCCGCCACCAGCATGTTGTACCAAAGGATGGAGGCCCAACCGCTCGGGAGCTGGCTGACGTTGGAGATCACCACAACGGGCAGAGAGGTCGTCTAAAGGATGACAAAGACCTTGAAATCATCTGAATCACAGAAATGTCACCTTCAGATAACTGCTTAGCCTCAACTAAAAGCAGGGGATTATTTGTAAATTTGTACATATTTAATACTTGAAAATGAGAAGTGTTAAGTTCTGTTCTTCTGTCCAGTTTAACTTGTCTTTGATGTATCTTTCAGTTAAGAAATAAGTCCCTAAAAATAATAATAGCTACAATAATTAATTAAGGGATATGCAATATGAGAAGATGAAAACTGTCACAATGAAAACATAAAATGTGGGGGGAGGGCAGAGCAAAATAAATAAGTCCCAATGCTTAATGTAAAAAAAAAAAATTAACATCAGCGATCTCAACTGGAACTTTTAAGTTATTGAATTTGAAGGTTAATTCAATTGTCTAGCTTTCTGGACCATAAATTAAGGTTAAGATAGTATTAGCTGAAAAAGATCATTTTAAAACAATTAGGTAAATACCTCCAGAACAAACACTGAGAAATAAAAATACATGTAACAATTAAAAGTAAAAATAATGAAGTTTTCCAACTCGGGACCATAAAAGTCTTACCTCGAGGTCAATTACCAAACCAGGCTGGCACAATTGGGTTTCAAAACTAAGGGAGTGAAGCTCTTCAGTAACGATGAGAGGACCCTTGGAAGAGAAAAGGAAAGAAGAAAAGAATATAATTATTCACAGATCCTAAAACTTTCAAAAGCCCAATTAACATTGCAACAGGCCACAGAGATCCTGGGCCCAATCAGTGGCAAGTCTGAAGACTCAATATTCAATCTCTCCCAGATTTAATGATTCTTAGTATCTCAGTGTGCTCTGAAAGATAAGTGTCTGAAGTTACGGCAAGGGTTATAGATTCAGAGCAATGATTGTCAATGGGGAAAGAGCAACTAATGGCTTTGTGACCTAAGGCTTCTCGACCCTCAGCTCTGTCTGCCTGCCCAGTGTGGCTGCACATCTCAATGCAGATGGGTGGGGAGAAGGTGAGAGGACTGGGAGTAAGTGCATACTTGTGATTGTCTACTGCCTACCGGAAGGGCTGACTCACATCAACTTGGCAGGTCACAAGTTGTCTTGGTTTCGGTAGAAATGGATAGATTTCAAAGTGCCTTCATAAGCATTACCTCATGTGAGCCTCACAACTTAGAACTAGAGAGGTGCAACAGCTAGACCCAGGGAGGTCAAAACATAGTTCAGGCGCACACCAGGGCTAGAAGGCATCTTTGCACTGCCTGGGCCTGTGTTTGTCCCGCTGCTCCATGTGACCTCCACTGGTCCTGGTGTGGAAGGACTGCACACTGTGTGTGCATAAATGACGAAAGTGTTCTCAACCAAAACAACTCCAGATATTTCATCCTTTGTCCATAGTTCATTTCTGAATGCATCACAAACCCAACTCCTTAAGGATCACGCTGTAGGAAGGAAACTGATGCAAAGGCAATGCTTTTGGTAGGGGATGCAATGGCCGAAAAGCCCTCTTGGCACACAGCAAGGCAGTCATCAAAGTGGCCTCTCGTTCCAACTCTGACAGTAACTCTGTGCACCCTTAGCTAAATCCTGCAAACTTCTGTGAGTCAATTTCTTCACCCGTAAGATGCGAAGAATACAAAAGCCCACAACAGCTACTCCACTGAGTTGTCCATGAGTGTCTAATGAATTTGTGTGCAAAATCGTTTGACAATAGTAAAGCACAAATGTGGTGTTTTTACTGTTGTCACAGATATACCAAATACCCAGCTCCTTTGCTGCTCTTCCCTGATGGGTCTGAACTCCTCTGTGAGGTGTCCCCAGCCACCAACTGACCTGTCCTTGCTAGACAGACCTGCCTGATTTGGGCCCATTCACAACATAAAGGGACTCTCACCTCATTCGTTCTGGTGCCAGCATTTTTCTGTTCTTTCAATTGCTATAAAACAAATAATCATCTTAGTAAACACCATGGTAATGGTCAAAGTTGCTATCTTCATTTACAAATGAGAACAAAGTTAGGACTAGAAAGAATGACAGACGTGACTTTATCTTTAGAATGCAGAACATGGGACAAATTGGCCCTCGTTCAGGGTCCATGAGCAGAAGCACGTTTCCTCAGTGGCCTCATGGTGCGGACACCAGTCTGGAGGGATCTCTTGGAATCACAACCCGCTCCTCTCCTGTGTTCAAACTTTCCCTGAATGTTTCCCCATGCACCTTCGTTAACTGTTTCATGCCCTGAGGCTCGGGACAGCTTCTCCCTCCCCTTTCCCTCAGCAGAGTCCTCCAGGCTGGGCCCAGTGACTCCAGGTCCACCTGCCCTCAAGTGGACGTCAATCTCTGAGCTGTCAATCCCTGAGCTGACGAGGGAGCAGGCTGGGGCCCTGAGGGCGGCTCTGAATACCCTCAGGCACCTGAGTTGGGCTAAGCTTTCGAGTTAGGTAGAGCTTCCTAGCTACGAGGCTTGCTGGATCACAAAGTGGTCTCTAGTGAAAAAGGATGCCTTTAACCTCCTGCAGGTTCTGGGCCCAGGGAAAGCTTCGGACTCAGCACCCACAGAGCCTCACAGCAACTGGCAGCCCCCATGTTCACAGAGGAGGAAAGATGGTGCACCCACACAGAGCATCCTGCTGGGTCTCCACTGCCTGGGGAATGAGCCCTACTGCCCTGGAGAAAAGGTGGTAGAGTCAGGCTGGCGTGGAGGCAGGGGCTGTGGGCAGGGCCACCAGGAAGGGGAACACGGGGGCTGAGGAGTGAACCCTGGTGTACAGGACCACACTTGGATCACAGTCAGGACACGGGAGCCATAACCTTTGAGAAAACTGCAAGCGTAGGTGAGTGACCGTGGGGATCATGCAGGCAGCAAGTGCAAATCATTTACGTAAACACAGGCTTAGGAAATATTTTTACTGCAAGTGATACAGCCCAGAAAACAGAGTGAACAGTCGTGGGATAAGGAGGAGAAACCAAAATGCCCCAAGTACTGGCGACAGGAAGACACCAGCCACAAAGTCTACAAACCCCAGCAGGGGGGCGTCCTCCACATGGCAATGTGCCAAAAAGGGCTGCTCTATTGTCAAAAGTCCTAAGAAACCAGAGACAACATAGAGAGGAAACTGATGTCCCTACCAGGTGCCGAAATTCAGCCGCCAGACTGCCATTGGTGGACTCCTCCATGTTCATCACTTTTGTGTGCGTGCCCAAAATGTTGAACTTCCTAAATCTATACAATATAGGAAAGAAATGCTGAAAAGTCTTCCAACTATTAAATAAATAAAAATATAGCACAGTATAGCGTAAAGTACGTCACGTACCCTTTTACTGTATTTCTCTCATTCACATCTCTGCAAAAAAAATATATATAATCACATATGCGTATTTAAAATTTGAAATAAGCTTTAACAAAATTATAAGAGTATAAGAGCATAAGAGTGTAAGTGAATGATGAATAAAAAATAAATCTACACCTATGGATTTGCAGCCTTTCATTCACTCCCTGCTTCCATCTACCCATACTAGGTCTGGCAAGTATCACTGAATGACCTTTGGCAAATAAATGGTCTGGGCCTTACATTGTTCATTTGCACAACATACTAACAGTGCCAACATATAGGACATCATGAGGAATAAACTAGTTAATTCCTCACCAGTACACCCTCAATAAATGTAAGCACCAGCACCAGTACACCCTCAATAAATGTTTAAGCTATCGTTATTGTTTATTGAGCAGCTACTTGGTGCAAGGCCCTGCACTAAGCACTGGGGATCCAGCCAACAGCACTGCCCAGTAGTCACAAAGCTCAGAGGACTGCCAATGTGACCATTTAATTCTCATTTTTATTCTCTATGATCTTTAATGCTCTCATGAAAGTACCAGGAAAGTCAGTTATCTGGGGAAAGTGGCAAGTTTAAGTTTTAAGTCTGAGGTTAAAATTTTGAAAGACCTTGCACTTCTATATCCAGTGATTACTTTGTCATGTTCTGGCCAAATAATGTATCCGTGAGCGTCCTAGATGTAGACTAGAAATCATGGGCTCACTCACAGATCTATTAGTTCCCCTTCCTTTCCAATCTCAACCAGAAGTTCAATGCTTTTGTGAATGACAATCACCATTAGCTATGGAAGGGACCTATTTTCCCGTTTGGAAAAAAAAAGAATTTAAAATAAAAGGGATAGTATGATAAAAGCTGACTTGTCAAAGCTAAGAAGACCGTCAGAGCTGGAACCGACAGAAAAGACACAAGGGCCCGAAGCAGCTGAGAGGAGCTGAGCTGACGCAGAAGATGGTAAACTGCAATGGCAACACAACTCTTGTGCTTCCTCCGTTTAGGAAGTAGGATATACTTCCCCATCCCCCGAATCTCAGCTGGCCTTGATTTGCTTTTAGCAACAGGATGGAAGGGAGTGATGCTATAGATGTTCCAAGGCTAGCACTCACAGGCCTTGTTCACTTGGAACACTGTCACCATGGGAAAAGCCCAGGCTAGCCTTTTTGAGGTGCATGAAGAAGGACCTGGTTATCCCAGCTGAGTCCCAGTCATGTAATAAGGCCTTGCTAGAGCACCTGGCTCCAACCACACTAGCTCAGACCAGGACAACCTACAACTCACAGAATATGAGAAATAATGAGTTTTTGAGTTTTTAGCCACTAAGTTTTTGTTTGTTTGTTTTTAGACAGAGTCTCACTCTGTCACCCAGGCTGGAGTGCAGTGGCATGATCTCAGCTCACTGCAACCTCTGCCTCCCAGGTTCAAGCGATTCTCGTGCCTCGGCCTCCCAAGTAGCTGTGATTACCGGTGCACACCACCACACCTGGCTAATTTTTTGTATTTTTCGTAGAGACGGGGTTTCGCCATGTTGGCCAGGCCGGTCTCAAACTCTGGCTTCATGTGATCTGCCTGCCTTGGCCTCCCAAAGTGCTGGGATTACAGGTGTGAGCCACTGCACCTGGCCTAGCCACTAAGTTTTGGGAGTGGTTTGTTAGGAAGCAAAAGCTAACCGATATACCAAAGATGATGGCAGGGAAGACAAGGCACAGACCATGCTATGAGGAAGAATATTCTTATAGGAGTGGGAAAAAGCAAAAAGCCAGAGGAAAATGATCTGAATGATCATAAATCATTTTTGAAACTTGCCAAAACAGTATGTGACACAAGCTAACAAAAACATTAAATATGGGAGGGGTGGGGGGGGAGCCATCTTGTTCCTTAATGAGAGTGGCCAAGTTAGTGCCAGTCCAGGTCTAGGGTCTCAGGGCAAAATAGGATGAGGCTGCTCCACCTGGACCCCCAAGAGAGATGCCCATTCCTGGGTTCCCACTGCCCAGAAGAGACAAGAGTGAATCCCACAGGCTCCACACAGTCTCCCCAAGATGCTGCTGACCTCGCTCCAGAAAAAAACCCCCAAATGACCACAGAATCATGGCAGCCTGGACGTTCAGCCTCGGGTTGGATCAGGGGCCTCTCCTTTGGGGCTGACCTAGAAGGAGGGGGTGGCATGCCAAGTCCAGCCACTTTGAGACTTGCTGATTACAATCTCATATGCACAAAGAGACACTCACTCTTTTGTTCATTTATAGTCTAAAAAGGCACAGGAATGTTGATACCAGCTCCAGGGGAAGCTCCCAACATCCACCAAGGGAGCTGCTGATTTAAATCTGCTGGGGTCATTTGTGATGGCCCTGGTGGATCTGACTAGAAGTCTCTGCTCATGCGCAGCATTGTCAGGACTCTGGGTTCAGCCCTGGGGCCCTAGGGAGGCAAACTTCCACCCAGTATAGACCCTTCCACAGCTAGAAATCTGCTTATTTAGTGGAGGAATCTGTGCTTGAGTAACAAAATCAACATTTCAATAGTACATGTATGTTATATAATGTTAAAGATATCTTACTTATCAAATAAGACTTTGACTTTCAAATTATAATTCAGCTCTTGCAATTTCACCAACAGTCTGGAAAGAAAAATAAAAGCCATTACTTAAAAAAAATTATCTGTTACAATTTATTTATTATGCCAATTCCCTATTAACGTTTAGATAAACTACTCCCCCTCCAGTTTTAGGGTATTACCAACAAAAAAACTGACAGTTTTGTAGATCTACTTAAATTTTTGTAAGTGTATTTGTAAGAATAAATTCCTAGCTGTGGAACCGCTTAGGAAAAATTGTAACACTAATTCTGACAGGATGCCGCCCTGATTTTACATTGCCACCAAAAGTTAATGAGGGTAGCTGTTTACCTCTATAACCTTGCCAATATTCAGTTTCATCACAATTTCGACCTTTGGCCAATTTATATGGGTAAAATAGCAAACATTACTTTCTATTAAAACTTGTATCTAATCTTTGTCCTGTTGGGAGACAATAAAAACTATTGCCCATAAGCAGAAAAAATAGCGTCCCATCTATAGTCACCCCAGGGTAGCATGGAAAGATGGAGGGCAGGTGAGAGGGTGTACCTCTGCTCCACTGAGCTGGAGACTTTGAGAAGGAGACCCCGGGGCTCTGTCTGCTCCGTTCAGTGGAGCAGGTGGATGGGATCAGATTTCTACTGTCCCTTCCAGCTGCTGAGTTCTAAAATTCCACGAGGGCTTCAGTGTGACATTGTACCTACCAGCCAGGGAGGGTTAACCACAGACTTAAATCAGCAACACCCCAGAAAAAGGACCCGGGCCAACTATGAAGGCCAGTCCAGTTCTTCAGCGTCTAGCTACTCATCATAAGAAGAATGCTTAAAGCAATGCAGCCATTCAATGGAAGAAAGTAAAGCCACATATTCCTGGAAACACTTCTACAATTAGTATCGAGGAGAAAGACTACAAAACAATGTATGTAGCCTACTCCGAGTTTTTAAAAAAGAAATATGTCATATTTGTGTGTGTGTGTGTCTCTATATGAAATATTTGTGTAGACATGGAATCCTAATTTTTTAAAAAGGAAACATTATGTCATGTTTGTGCGTGTGTGTTTCCGTATGAAATATATATTTGTGTAGACATGGACAAAATCCTGGGAGGACAGACACTAGGCCATTTACTGTGGTGGTCCACAGATATTTATATCACGGACTGCTTTGAGAAACTGATGAAAGCTATAAATCCATCCATCAGAAAAATGTACATGTTATAAATCCACATTCATACAGCTTCTGGGGTTCATAAGGCTCAGGTTATGAGCCTATGCCCAAGAGGGGTGAGGCAGCCAGGAACTTTTACTCTCTATTACACACATTTCTGCAATTTGGAATTCTGTTTTCCTGTGAACACGCATTACATTTATGATTGGAAAAAAACCAGGAGTGTGTACATATATGTATATCAGTTACATTTCTACTATGAATATATTAATAAAAGACTCTCAGATATTCTCAGTAAGAGTTCATATTAAAGTGCCCCCTGAAAAATTATTTCCTCAAAAGCACCCTATATAACAGTTTTTATAAAAGGAAACTAGGGGTACAAACTACGTGACAGGTGATGTATGGGATGCCATCTTTCCCTTGTTACCTCAACTTCACAGTGAACTGGACCCCTGTCTTCAAGACCAGCGGCCTCTGAGGGTGCGTTGGCATGCAGGGCTGTCTTTCCACCACAAACGAGCTGCAAATACCCAGCAAAGGATAGATAAGTTAGCATTTCCATTAAGGTTGAGGCAATCACAATGATTTTCCTGAAAGAAAAAAGGGGGTTAGAGAGTACGATCTAAAAAATCATTTGAAAGATTCTGACAAGTTGGATGAACAAAGTGATATTTTCTAATTAGTAAAGAAATCCCAAAACCTAATAGGGACTTAACAGAAACAGAATAACTGTAATGATCTGTGAAACTATTACATTGAAACAAACATACAATGAAGGCTAGGCACAGTGGCCCATGTCTGTAATCCCAGCACTTTAAGAGGCTGAGGTGTGAAGATTGCTTGAGCCCAGGAGTTCAAGACCAGCTCAGGCAACATAGTGAGACCGTATCTTTACAATTTGTTTTTTTTTTTTTAATTAGCCAGGCGTGGCTAATTAGTCCCAACTACTGGAGGGTTGAAGTGGGAAGATCACTTGAGCCCAGGAGGTTGAGGCTGAAGTGAGCCATGATCACACCACTGCACTCCAGTCTGGATGACAGAGTGAGGCCCTGTCTCAAAAATCCAAAATAAAAAATAAAAACCCCGTATTTAATTATGTTCATTTACATGTCAGAATTAAGAATAAAATGTGCACTCAAAGTACAAGTAATGTTTTTAAATTTTAAAAAACCCAACATACAGGACTTCTTGTTTGAACATTAGCCATAGGGAACCAAGTACATTTTTTTAAATATTACTTCCAATAAGTACGATATTTATTAAACATATCTTCAGTTGTTTTGTTACATAGTATGCAACAAATTACAATATTCTGCAGCCACAAATTATATGCAGAGTATGAAGAAGCTATTAATCAGACAGTGTAATCTTTCCATTTATAACTCTACAAGGAAGAACTAGCAAATCAGATCTTACATATAACATCTCACTAAACTTTACGCATGGAAAGTGACAGACACTGCTTGTGCTGTTTGATATAAAATGGCTGAACTTCATCTTCAGAAGACTATACCTGACATCTAAACACACCAATATAAACATCAAAACAAAATATATTCTAACCAACCACGAGAAAACAGTCTGATATCAGGAAAATACATTATTTTATAAACCAGCACACAAAGGTTTAAGACAGTTCTGAAAATGAAGTTAGCTGTCTTGAGTCAAGAGAATAAAAAAAAAAAGTCAGTATTGACCATTTACAATCTCTGACCTCTGTGGATATGGTAAGAATCTGTTGTAGTGCAGCTACATACAGTACAATTCAGGCAATTTTGTTTCTTCACTTGGGTTCAGATTGCAAATTTATTACTGTGAGAAAAGGATGGAGGCAAATTTTAGCAGGAACCTCCACCTGACTGCTTGACCAGAGTGCTCTGAATTTTAACACTGGACTTCTCAGCACCACCAGCTGTTGCTCCAGGACCCATTAGCTTCTTAATCTCAGCTGCCATCATCATGGAACACAGTTCTACATTCATTGCATTCTTTCTTTTTTTTTTTTTTGAGACAGAGTCTTGCTCCGTCTCCTAGGCTGGAGAGCAATGGCGCAATCTCGGCTCACTGCAACCTCCGCCACCTGGGTTCGAGCAATTCTCCTGCCTCAGCCTCCCAAGTAGCTGGGATTACAGGCGCCCGCCACCATGCCTGGCTAATTTTTGTATTTTTAGTAGGGATGGGGTTTCATCATGTTGGCCAGGCTGCTCTCGAACTCCTGACCTCAGGTGATCCACCCACCTCGGCCTCCCAAAGTGCTGGGATTACAGGCATGAGCCACCGTGCCGGGCCTTGTTGCATTCCTAGCACTAGTTTCCAAAAACAGAATTCCAAGGGAATCAGCAAATTCCTTGGCTGTTGTGTAGTCTACTACTTTCTCTGTGGTCAGATCACACTTGTTCCCTACCAACAATTTGTTGACGTTTTCACTGGGATAATGATCTATTTTCTGCAGTCACTGTTTAATATTATTGAAGGACTCCTGATCTGTCACATCATACACCACTAGGATGCCATTGGCTCCTCTGTAATAACTGGAGATGACTGTTCGAAACCTTTCCTGTTCTGCTGTGTTCCATATTTGAAGCTTGATTGTTTTCCCGTCTAACTCTATAGTTCTTATTTTGAAATCCATACCAATTGTGCTGATGTAGCTTTCTGTATATGTTATCATCTGCAAACCTAAGAAGGAGGCAAGACTTTCCAACCCCAGAGTCGCCAATCAGAAGTAATTTGAATAAATAATCAATTTGGGATTCATGCTGGACATGTCACTGTAGCTGCCACCGCTGCCACGGCCACCCTTGCTGCTACAGCTGCTGCCCTGACTCTCTGCACCACGGGTAACTGAAGGAAAGGAATGAGATAGGCTGTTCTGGGAGAGTAAATGTCTTCCCCGACTCTGCCCCCTGGAACGCAATCAGCAGCCGCTGCCACTCAGCTATTGCTTCCACCCAAAATCAAGTACATTTTTATCATGTCAAGTTTGCATTAAAAAAAAAAAAACTTGCAATATGAACCCTTCTTTTCCACTCAGTGACATTTATCTATCTACTAAGTGTGTCTAGAGAGCCTACTGTTCACAAGGCACTGCGCTAGGTCCTGCTGGGGGAAAAGGGTGACAAAGGCATGTCTCTGCCTTCCAGAACTTTATGATATTCAAGAAATATAAAGAAATACATAACAACTATATAACAAAAGGCAGAGTAGGAAAGGAACGAAGGGTGACTGTAGGCCACGAAGGGAGATAACATCTGTTTGGGAAATCTGGGAAGATTAAATGATGAGATACAAGGTGAAGCTTTCGGGATGATACAATTTTGAAAGCAGGTACATGAAAAGAAGGCTCTGAGGAAGAGGAAGTATCCTCAGGAGAGCCACAGAAAAGCAAGTATGCGGCATGGCCCCTATAGGAATCAGCAAGAGGTCAAGTTTGCCTAGAAAGGGGCGTGTGTGGACGTGAAGCGTGGAGTGTTCAGCTAGGTCCAGGCTGCAGAAGGGGGGCCGTGAATGCCCAGCTGGGCATTCACTTGGATCAGCAGGTGATGAGGAACCAGAATGGAACTCTGCTCTGGGACAGCACTGGTCACAGGGAGGAAGGACTGGGAAGGAGGACTGGTGGGGAGGCTGGGGAAGAGTCCAGAAAGGAGGATTTGAGAGCCTGAGACATGAGGAGGGGAGAGGAGGAGGTGAGGCATGTTAGGGTCACGGCGGAGACTCAGCCAAAGGGGAAGGAGGAGTGGAAGGTTACTATAGCTTCCAGCCTAGCTGGCCACAAGAGTGAAGAACCACTGGTATAACCAAATAATTCAGGAAGAGTCATTGTCATTAAAAAATTTGAGGCCAGGCACAGTGGCTCACGCCTGTAATCCCAGCACTTTGGGAGGCCGAGGAGGGCAGATCACCTGAGTTCAGGAGTTGGAGACCAGCCTGGCCAACATGGCGAAACCCAGTCTCTACTAAAAAAAATTAGCCAGGTGGGGTGGCATGCGCCTGTAGTCCCAGCTACTTGGGAGGCTGAGGCAGGAGGATTGCTTGAACTTGGGAGGTGGAGGTTGCAGTGAGCCAAGATCACGCCACTGCACTCTAGCCTGGGTGATAGGTGAGACTCTATCTCAAAAAAAAAAAAAATATATATATATATATATATATATATATATAAAAAACACCTATTAAACCCTTGTAAATCATCTGAATTAACGGTAAAATGTTCCTCTGTATAGACCGATTACAGAAGGTACAAATAAATGTCCCTTGAGTTACCTCTGAATGAGCTGCTGGAAAAGACTGAAGGTGCGGTCCCATAACACTTGTTTGTTTTTTGTGATAGGGTCATGTTCGTAGGTGTATTTCTGTTCCAATTCCTCCAACTTTTTAAGCTGCTGCCGAACTTGCTGCAGACTCTCCGCAACTATAGTGAACCTGGGAAGACACAAGACACAGATGTCTCTATGAGAAACAGTCCAGAAGCAGCCTGGATTAAAGGGAATCATGGTATATTAGTCCATTCTCATGCTGCTAATAAAGACATACTCGAGACTGGAGAATTTATAAAGGAAAGAGGTTTAATTGACACATAGTTCCACATGGCTGAGGAGGCCCCACAATCATGGCAGAAGGCAAATGAGGAGCAAAGTCACATCTTACATGGTGGCAGGCAAGAGAGTTTGTGGAGGGAAATTCCCACTTATAAAACCATCAGATCTCGTGAGACTTACTCACTACCATGAGAACAGTATTGGGGGAACCACCCCCATGATTCAATTATCTCCACCTGGCCCTGCCCTTGACACATGGGGATTATTACAATTCAAGGTGAGATTTGGGTGGGGACACGGCCAAACCATATGGCATGGAAACCAACAAGTGGTTATATGCAACACAAAATGTCACCTAGGATGCCATGCTCTGCCCTCTAGGGAAAAACAAAGGGAACGAGGCTTGTGCCAGCAGTAGAAGCTTTGTTATTTGAGGAGTACAACTAACATGCACTGAATGATTACAGCCTACATCAAAAACTTCTACACACCACTGAGGCCTATGTGAGGAGAGATGGGTGGAGGCAGGGCTTCTAGGTGATCTGTGACTGGTGCAGGGCAAAGAGGAGGCCAGAGGCAGGGAAAACAGCAAAGCAGGTGCTTCCAGGTGATGCAAGAGGCAGCAAAGAGCCACTGCAGGTTCTGTCAAGAGAGTGGCATCAGCAAGCAGTGTCTCGGCAGGACCAGTCAGAGATGTGGGGCAGAGGGGCAGGAGGAGAGACAGAGATGGGAGACAAGGCCGGGGACAGGAAGAGAGGAAGGAATGATGATTCTGGTTTCACTCAACTGAAAGGAGAAGGCAGTATGCTCAGTCTAGACCCTAAACATAAAAAGCCAATGAGTAAACCCAGTGATTGCTCTTAGTCTTCCTTCCTTGCAGTCAACTGCTAACAGCAACACAGGCTGGGGAAACGCTGTTTTATTCACTTGCAGTAATGACAGAAGAAAACCTTTTAAAAGTGTCTTCTTCCCTGGGAAAAGTATCTACTTCACTTTCTGATTTTGCTCGATTCCAGTTCAAAGCCCTGGGACAGCAGCCCTTCGTCAGGAAAGGAGAAGGCAGGATAACGGCTGGCTGAGTTCCAGCGGAGAAGCTAAACCAGTGTCCCCAACTCTGCTTGCACACAGAGAAAATGACAGCACAGTGGGAAAACTAGAGGGCATGTGTGTCCCTACAAGAGGCTCCTGTGGTCTAGGAGGACCACTAGGGGGCTCTAAACACCCCAGGGCCTCCCTGGCCACCTGAAGGGCTTTAGGGTTGTATGTATCCCTCAAGGCACATGGGGTGCACTGGGCTCAGAAGCTCTGCTCTAACCCACAAGAAATCTGGGGTACCTACAGGCAATTCACAGAACAAAAATAAATGGCTGAATATTAATTGTGATTTTTTTAAAAACTGGCAATATAGAAAATAACCTCGTGAGATCTCTGGTCCTTGGACCCTTAGCAATTGTCCCAGGCCACCTTCCCTCATGTTCACTCTGTGATTCCAAGTTCAGCTCCTGTTGCCCCTCACCTGGACCACACTAATATGCTAATAGTATTCCAACTGGTCTTTCTGTCTCTATCCTATCCTCCAGGCTGTGGCCAGAGTGCCCTTTCTAAATCAAAGATCAGAGAAATACATCTCCTGCTTAAGAAAAAAGCCTGCCTTGGCTCAGCAGTACAGCTGCGTACATCCCCCATTCCCAGCATGGTGCTGAGAACCTGCACCATCAGGCTCCAGCATCTCCCACCGGGTCCACTTTCCTTCCCATCTCCCTGGACACCCCACTCTCCAGCCACCCAATACAGCCCCTGCAGTCTCCCACATGTGTGCCTTTGCACACGCTGTGCTCTGTGCTGGAAAGCACTTCCCCTTGATCTACGTGGAGTAATCCTAGTGACTTTTGAGTCAGCACAAGGCCACTTCCTCTATGAAACCTTCCCTGGAGATGCTTTCCTTTGTCCTCCACAGAATTCTGATGGCCTTTTGCTAGAGCACCTGGATACTTTTACCACACGAATTATTACCATGTCTACATCCCCCCCTCCACACTGAGAACTCCTTGTTGGCAAGGGCCAAGAATCACTCATCCTTGTGTGCCCAGGTCCTACAGTGCCCGGCACACAGTAGGCATTTAATAAGTATTACTGGATGGATGACTGAATGTTTCCTAAAAAACTATTCTGTAAGCCTAGAAAAATGCCTCAAGCTATCTTGTTTTTAAGGAAACATTAAGAGTCAAGTCATTAAATGTGTTCTATAACGACCATGTCACTGATGTTTTGTACAGTCAAACGACACCCCATGGTACAGGAGTGCTCCAAACCAAGCAGACGTGGCTGAACGTGGCGAGAGTCATGAATAACACTGTGCTTTCCAAGGGAGTGTTTCCAGGGTAAGCAGAAGCTGGACTATGTCAAACTCTATACTAATGTTTTGACAGGGTCCATTCAACTAACACAGCTCAAAGGTACATTTATGTGTTTATGTGGTTAGCCAGTCAGCTGCCAGTTTTCTGCTTTGGAGAATCTTACCAGTTCTGCAGCTGATCCAAGCAAGCATTGGGCGGCCCCCCAATACAGGCGCTCTGCTGTCTCCGCTTCCACTCCACTAGTTCATCATTAATCAGGGCATTCTGGGTAAGTTCAGTGACATTCAGCAACTCTATTATTTTGTGAACTACTTCCTAAAGGCAATAGAAGAAACAAAGTGAAATAAATTCATTTTTAATCACTGAATTTTAAAATATTTTTTAAAAGAAAAGCAAATATCATTTCATTCTCAACTGGGGCTCTAAGCCAGGTGGCTATAATTTTTCCTCTCTTCTAAACTTTGAGTCCATTATTTACAGTGTATAACAAAAGTGGCATGCTATTCTGGAAAGTAAATAACTACCTTTCTCTTATTGTCAAGCATTAAATACATCTTCTTGAGTAACAGCTGTTCTTGTTTCTGATCACTCTTTGCCACACCATTGGTCTCGTGTTCTATAAATTGAGAGACAGCCAGTAAATATATAAAGAAGACAAAACCAACAAAAGCCAAGATTCATATAAATTTAGGATAAATATGACACAAATGCTGCCTAGTGACAGGTCAAAGTTTGGCTTTCTTCGATCTTTAATGAACATGAAAAAAAGTCCTAAGTATAACAACTAGACACACTGAAACAAAATACTTGTTTTCAAAAATTAGCCGGGCGCAGTGGCAGACGCCTGTAGTCCCAGCTACTCGGGAGGCTGAGGCAGGAGAACAGCATGAACCCGGGAGGCGGAGCTTGGAGTGAGCCGAGATCTCGCCACTGCACTCTAGCCTGGGCGACAGAGCGAGACTCCGTCTCCAAAAAAAAACAAAAAAAACAAAAAAAAAACAAAAAAAACTTGTTTTCAGTGACCCATGTAAATCAGACATAGTAGTATCTGCCACTTAAGACACTGTCAGGTAATTACCTAAATAAATGTAAATAACATTAATAATAATGTTATTATTATTATAAAAATAAATGTAAATAATAAAATGTTTTATCTGAACAGAATTCAGATAAAAAATGTATACAAAGCATAGCTGTAGCTTTCAAAGAGAAGTAGATGAGTAGGAAGTGGTAGTTGAAGTTGCTGTCTCTTATACTTTCTACCCAAATCATACTGATAATCTCTGCCTATGAACCATGGTATACCCCAGATGATGAATAGAGTAACAGCAGTACCCTACGTGTCCTACACAATGTACATTCTTGAGATCTTTTCTGTTGCTACTCTCATTAAAAACACGCAACAGTAAGAAAATACAGTAAAACTGCTTTAAAACATGAGAAAAATACTGAGCTTATCTGCTGTGTATACACGTGGCCCTGCAACGTTTGAAGAAACCTGAGATATTAGGGCAGGGGAACTCCACATATCTATCGCTCTGTGTCAGTCAGTGGGCTAGGCGCAATAAATATGGTGAGTAACACATAACCAGTGGTTATCAAGTAGGGGTCACTGACCCCTAGGGGACTTTTGGCAATCTCTGGAGACAGTTTTGGTTGTCACTAGTGAGGGCTCCTGGGTAGTGCTACTGGCATCTGGTGGGTAAAAGTCGGGGATGCTGTTAAACACGCTACAATGCCAGGACAGCCCCAACAACAAATTAGCCCGAAATGTCAATAATATTGGATGTTGAGAAGCCCTGGCCTGGGTTATCAAGGAAGAATTCAGAGTCATAAAATACTCGGCAAATAGAAAGGAGTAATCATCTTCGTTATCTAGTGTGAACAGAAAAAATTGCAGCCAACGGGCACCACTTCAGTTGTGAACCCTTACCTCTGTTCTGCAAGGTTTTGCATTTGAAGTCATATTCATCTTGTAAATCTTCCAGGCTCTTGATTTCATGCTCTATACACTACAAACAAAGATGTAAACATGTTTTCTACTGATCAGCAACTTCCAAAGACTTTAGGCAACAGAGTATTGCTTCTATGGAACCCAGAGAAACACGAAAACAATTCCATCTCCCCCAAAAAGAGATCTGACTTGGACAGTTCTAATCATATACATGAAATAATTTCGGTTTCATTAATAAGTATGTCATAACATTTTTAAAAAAGCAAACGTACAATAATTCTCAAACTGATTTGTATGTCCTTAACCTGGTTCCAGCGCCTAAATTTTGATTCTTCCTCATCATTTTTGAGACTACCTCTGAGATATGATTTAAGAACTCCACTGTGAAGCCCACAGCAGGCGGGGAAAAAGCTCACAGAAAATTTCCTCATTCCTTCCAAGTAAGAAAAGTGACCATACATCCCTGCTTTACCGGGATAGACCTGGTTTCATACTTGCTGTAATTATAAACAGTGCCCTCTTGGCGGCTCAAATGCATCTCCATCTGGACAATAAATTGTATGTTCATTCTACAAATAAGCCTCATTTGTTTGGGATTTGGTCACATTTCCACATATTCTTCTCTGGATTTCCATGGCTATTTCTGGACTGGGCTCACTCGGTTTCTACTTTAATGAAATGTTTCCCTAGGAGACCGCAAGATGAAGTTGCTCCAAAGAATGTGGAGTTTGGAAAGATGCTGTCTGAAGCATGTAAGTCAAGGCCATACTGCTATTACCCAGAGATCCACAGAGGACCAAACCCCTAAGCTGGAAGGCCTTTTCCACAAACACAGGCCTCTGTGAAAAAGAACTCCTCAAACCCTCCCCACACCAGCCCTAACAGTGGAGAGGAGTAAATGCGCACCATCGAGGACGCCAGAGCAGCCCTCTGCTTCCATAAATTGACTTGGAAGTTGTATCCTAAAATTGCTGTGGATGTCTTAATCAGAAATGTATCCAAATTTCTTTCAATAAAATGTATTTTTGTTCCTCTTCCAAGTCTTAGGATAAAACAGATGACTGGGAAGGATGGGCCATGTTTATCCTGGGGCACTGTGATTTGAGAGGTGTGGACATAAAGGCCCATTTAGAGCAGCAACATCTCATTTACTGGGTACTGGGCAAAGTCAACATTTACTGCATGATCTTTCAGGGAAGAAAAAGCTAAACTCAATGTTTGGCAGTTATAAGAGGCCATTCAAAAAGTCTATCTGGTCATTGATTTTGCCAATTTGTTTACTTATAGCTTGAGACTTCTGCAAAATTTTTCTTCCCAACTACTTAAAAGACTGAACTCAGTTACGAGGTTTACACCCCAAGCAATTGAAACCTTTTTTCCCCTACAGAAAGTTTCAGAATAAATGCATGTGTTTACTCAATACTCACCATAACCTTGTCCTTCACATTTCTGACTTTACTGTCAAGCTCTTTCTGTTTGTCTAACATCACTGTGCTCTGAATATTCCCCGACTGAGCCTGTAATGGGAAGGGCATGATTATAGCCATCGTTTTCTTCAGGGTGTGTACTTGCTGGTTACACTCCAAAGTCAAGTCCCCACTTGCCTTCCAGATCTTCTGACATGTACTACAGGCTTCCTGCTTATGTGTCAATATGAAATTTTTCCCAAGGCCCTGGAAAATGCTGGCAAACTGTTAACAAGGTTACAAAAAAACTAGGCTCAATTCATGTCTAAAATAAACAGTATTTCTGGGAGTTTCCATTAATTCATACAGTTGCATGGTACCACGCTGGAATTTAGTTCACGGTTTCTCAGATACTATACACAAGATTACTCTCATTAACTCAGTCCTTATTTATCTTAAAGCTTTCTGATTCAAAGTGTGGTCCTCAGACCAGCAGCATCTCACCACCTAGGATCTTGTTGGAAAATCTCAAGGGCTAATATGATTAGGCAATCAGAAAACCCTATTTTAACACAATTCCGGGTGATCCAGAGGTATACTGAAATATGAAATCACTCCATTAAGGCCATCAATGAAAATCTGCTACTATAAAGTCAATAATGAATATAAACCCAGACTTGCCTGGGAGTATTCAGTCCTATTTTTGATAATCAGAACACTCAGAAGTGACAGGGTCTCTACTTGCTTCATACACCAGATGTACCCTGCACATACTAGGTACTAAGTAAATGTCAGGCAATGCTCTAGGCTCGGGTGTTAGAGTGGTAACCAGTGATCCCTGTTCTCATAGAGATTAAATTCTAGAAAGATGTTATTTTTTTAGAGTTAAATCCCCCACACAGCAAAAACTGTGCTTGTCAACCTTTCTTACACAGTGCCCTATACAGCACAGATTCTACGGGGGTGTTTTTATATGTGCAATTGTATCATCTTTTCTTCATGTCTGGAATTTTCCTTATATTAGAAAGCCTTTCCCTATTGACATTACATCATTCACTCATTTCCCTAGCACTTGCAAGGTTTCCTTTTTTTCTTTTTAACTTTTAGATCGCTGATATATTTGTTTATTCTCATGATCAGAGTGAAGTATGGGTCCACTTTTTGCTTTCACTTTTTTTCCAGTTAGCTTTCCATTTGTCTTAACAGCATTTACTGAAAAGTCCATTATTTTCCCCAGTGCTCTGAGCTGCCAACTTTATCACATGAATTTCCATATGCACACGGGTTTCCTTCTAGATTTTTCTCTTCTTTCCCATTGGCCTTTTTATTCATAAGCCTGAACCCTTGAAGGATGTTTGACTATAGAGGATTTATAGTCTGTCTAGTAGGGCCAGTCCCATTTCATTGCTCTACTTGTTCAGAAGTTGCCTCGCTACTCTTGCATGTTTATTTTTCATAAATTTCAGAACAAATTTGTGTAGCTCCAGAAAACAACTTGTTGGTATTTTTATTGGAATAACATTAAAATTACAAGTTAACTCAGGGAGAGCTAACATCTTTATGATGTTGTTTTTAATTCTTATGCTTCTAATGGTTTTCTCTTGTCTAATTGCATTGGCCAATACCACCAATACGATGCTAAATAGCAGTGGAAACACAGCATCCTTGCTGTGTTTCTGACTTACTGGAGTTTTCCCAGTTAGGTAAGATACTGTCTCTAGAATGGAGATATATATATTTTTTTGTGTTAAAGAGGTACCCATCAATTCCTATCTTATTCAATGTTTTTATGAGGAATGAGTATTGAATTCTGTTAGATCTTTTCAGCTTCTGTGGAAGGAAGTAAATGCTTTTTTCTCCTTGTAGCTATTAATTTAGTGAATTGCATTAATAGGTTGCCCAGTCATGGACTACCCTTGTAACCTATAATAAATCATATTTGGTCATGTCCTTTCTTAATGTAGTATTTAATTCTGATCCCTAATATCTTATTGAGGACTTTTATATTGATACTCATAAGTAAAATTGGTCCATAATTTTTTGTTTTATCTTTATCAGGCATACGTCATCAAAGTTATTCTCTCTTCATAGGAAGTTTTCCTTCATGTTACATATTCTCCAACAGCAGAAGTTCAAAGCATGTGAATTGTATCAGCTGTAAAGTGTGTATTAGAAATACATGAATGTTACTGGTATCCTCTGTAAGTCCAAGGTGCCACATATCACTCAGTGACAAAAGGGGTTTCTCTGGGCGGTTGGAATAAGTTGTCACTTTGAGGAGTTCCATACAGCTTTCTGCCTGTGCAGGGAAATCTTTGCTGTTGTCTAATTCTGACATGGTTTGGATCTGTGTCCCCACCCAAATCTCATGAATTGTAATCCCCATTGTTGGAGGTGGGGCCTGGTGGAAGGTGACTGGATCACGGGGACAGTTTCTCATGAATAGTTTAGCACCATCCTCTTGGTACTATCCTTGTGATCACGAGTTCTCACAAGATCTGGTTAAGTGTGGAGCACCTCTCCCCTGCTTCCTCCTGCTCTGGCCATGTGATATGTGTGCTTCCCCTTCACCTGCTGCTATGACTGTAAGTTTCCTGAGGCCTCCCCAGAAACTGAGCAGATGCCAGCACCATGCTTCCTGTAACAGCCTGCAGAACCATAAGTCAATTAAACCTCTTTTCTTATAAATTACCCAGTCTCAGGTATTTCTTTATAGCCATGCAAGAACAGACTAATACAACTTCTAAGCCAGCAGGATGTGGGCACGGTGTCCTGTGGGCTTTGTAACAGCTGGGACACTACACCTAGAGAGAGGGACCAGGCCACTGGAGAATTCTGACTTCCCAGGCCTCCTCCCAAATGACCAAGGCTCGGTTTAGAGAACAGGGATATAAACAATGGCTGTAAAACAGCAGCTACATCCCCAGCTTCTACATCCCCTTTCTACTGACTTGCTGGGAGATGCTTGGTGGAAAAACCTGGTGACTGTGGCAGGGCCTAAGAAATCTCCTGCTTCCAACTTGGGCAGTAGTCCCTCCAAGTCACTCAAACCCTTGGTGCTCTCTTACCCCTTCCACTCATCCCTCCCTGCTTCCCTCCACCCTGCCCCCATCTGCTAAGCAGATGCTTGGCTGCTCCTGTACACTTTAGTACTGATACCACTTTCACAGTGAGTCCTTAACTTTTTAACTTTCTAAGAAACCAGGAGTACTGAAACCACGGGAATTTCAAACACTGAAGTTGGAAGGGACTTCGGCTGTCATTGACTCTTACTTTCTCGTTTCACTACTGTACCTCTAGAGACCTTGTTTGGATGGGAACTTGGTTACTCCAGACCCCAGAGCAAAGAAAAGTCTTCTGCTCAGGAAGGGGGTCCTTTCCAATGGAGTGAGCAGTTGTCCAAGTAAGGGAATAGGCACTCCATGGGTGTGAGAAGTTCCAGCCAGAAAGCCCTCATATCCCATCCCACAGATTAGAAAACTGAAAAGTGACTTCTCCAGTGAACTAGTTTTAGAGTTGGACAATACTGGGTTTAAATTCCAAACCTACTTCTCATTAGCTCTGTGGCTCTGAGTGAAGTACCTGACCTCTAAACCTTAGTTTTCTCATCTTTAAAATGGGGATAAGAATACCTAACTTCAGTGATAGTTTCGAAAGTATTTACTCAAATGAAATAATGTTTATAAAGTGCTTAGCACAGGGCCTGAAACATGATAAGCACTCAGCATATGGTAACCATTAGTCCTTAAGAACACAAAGATGGAACAGCAAAGGAAGCTTAGAATCCACCTCATGTCTTTCCCTCCCACCTGAAAGAAATTCTCCCCATCCCTTCAGACCCTATGGACCTAAATTTTTGTCTAGACATGCAACTAGCTTTTTCACCACAAAGAAAAAAAGAAAGAAAAAAACTTAGTGTGCTGTAAGACAGCACACGAAACATTTATAGTCTACTACAGTGTGTATAGCATAATATTCTCTTAAATGTATTTTCTAAAAGCTCTTATATTAAAAAACAATGGGAACAATAATTTCCCATCTCGGCATGTCTATAGAATTTTGTGGTCTCTAAATGATCTGAACTAACTCGGAATTTTGCATGTTTTTAACTTGTTGAATCTGTTGAATCCCCATGTACCTATCACAGTTTCAACAATTAGCATTCATGGATGGCCTTGTTTCATCCCTATTCTCCTTACTCTTCTAGTCCCCAAATGGGATTATTTGAAGCAAATACCAGACATCACACCATTCCATACACATATACTTTAGCATGAATAGAATATACACAGTCATGTACCACATAACAATGGTTCAGTCAACGATGGACCGCGTATATGACAGTGGCCCCATAAGATTAGAATGGAGCTTTATGGGGGTACCACCTTTTATCTTTTACACACTATCTGTACTGTACCTTTTCTATGTTTAGATACACAAATAACATTGTGTTACAATTGCCCATAGCGTTCAGTACAACTTCATATTGTACAGGTTTGTAGCCTAGGAGCAATAGGCTTTACCATATAGTGTAGGTGTATGGTAGGTTATACCACCTGGGTTTGTGTAAGTGCACTCTATAATGTTTGCACAAAAACGCGATCACCTAGTGGTGCATTTCTCAGAATGTATCTGTGTCATTAAGTGATGCATGTCTGTATTAATAAAATAAAGTTACTTCAACAAGGGGGGAAATGGTGAAGAAATGTTTCTGACCTACCTAGCCAATAGTTGGCTGGATAACTTTGGAAAGGAGGCACCTATTGTGCCTTTTCCCTTTCCCTGACATCCCCAGACACCCAGAAACTTCCCTCACACCCCAAGAAGGCTTTGCAAAGGTGTTCACGGACTCAGGTGTCCTCTGAGAGGCTCAAAACAATCCCCAGATTACCTACATTTTTAATGGGGAGGGAGCTCAAAAGCTGGTAAACCTTCAAGATCCAAAGCCAGGGGATGAGGTTCATGTGGGAGAGCAGGGGTCACCTACTCTGCTGCCAATGCCATCTCTGGGCCAAGGGGCCAAATGTGAGGATGACATGCTTGCAGCTGGGGGAAACAGGTTGTCCTTCTGCCCATCTTTGCTCCTGGCTGTCCTTTCAAGTCTATTAGAAATACAGAGGAGGCCCACGCATACTACTTTTAGGATGGAAGCCCCATATAATCAAAACTGCCGGCTGAAAATCTCCCAGGTATATGCCAGGTTAGAGACAGGCACACCTCTTTCAGAGGAGACAACCTGGCCAGCTTCTCCTCCAGCGTTGATATACACCTTTGTTCCCTAGGCTGGGTACCAGATGAGCTAGCCAGCTTGAGTTTAGAATAAGCAATATGTATCTTTACATGCTCAGTTCAGCAAGATGCTATCAGTGTGACAAGAAGATGGGAACTATACGCCTAGGGAAGTGACAGGATTACAAGGACTGGGACAAATGCTCAGGCAGTGTGTGGAGAATGGCATCCTCCACCACACCTAAACTCCCTCCCTCTCCACTGTCACACAGTTCACTTCGGTAGTTATTTGTTGGTGAAATGCACACAGGATGCATACTGTGTCCTCTGGCATCCATATAGCAATGGGCTCCTCCAGAACAATCCATAACATGGTGGCTTCACACTGCCTGCCTGTTGGCTTGTTGTCACCACCCCAGTGCTCAAGAAAGGAATACTAAATGCCATAGCAAATTCAAAACTCTGCTGAACCCTGACAACTAGGAAGGTTTGTATTAGGATTAATAAAACAATGATCAAAAATCTTGATACTAGTACAACTCTGACTCATTTACTGTTTGATGCCTTGAATATTTAATAGGTATCTTGATGTTGCTCAAAACAAAGCCCTTGATTTTCCCATCAGCCTCCTTTTCTCTCCACAAACCTATTGAGTCCTACAAAACTCCTGCCCCTGCCCCCTCCTTGCCTTCCCAGCTCCGTGTACAGCATTACCATTTTTCAAGGGGTTCTAGTAGCTGCTGTAGAGCCATCCTTGACTTTCTGCTCTCACTCCTGCATCTAATCCTTCAACATAAGGATCCTTCTATATTGGTATCACATCCAAAGCATAACCTGAATCTGTCCACCTCTTCCTACCTCCACTGATTCTACTGAGCGCAAGCTTCCACTGCCTCTACCTTGGACAGCTGCAAGAACCCTCTATCTGCCTGCTTCCATTCCTGTGCCAGCAACTCAGAGGCCTTTCCTGACCCTGATCTAAAGGAACAACCCCACTCCCAGCCACTCCATGAATTCAGCATGTTATCTTCTCAGCACTTTATGCTACCCAGAAGTATCTTGTTTATATGTTCTCTCTCCTCGTTAGAACTTAATTCCATTAGATTAGGATCTTTCTTAAAGCCTGGTTCTATAAAATCTCTAAATCTGATTCTCCCACTTCTTGGGGCTATAAAATTAGAGAGATATTCATCATTGCTTTGACATGGGCCCTAATAGTATTTGATGAATGAATACATTTTTATTTTATTACAGTTTATGTGTTCAATGAGAAAAAAGTACCTGATTAAATCTCTGGGCGTTTTCCAGAATTTTCCTTTCTTCCTTCAGACAGCTGTAAATGATCATAGACATCTGGATTGGGTCTTCCTGAAAATTATCCTAGATTTGAGTGGTTAGAACAAAAATAAATTAAAATGCAGAATGTTTACTTTATTGTGTATTGTAAGTTGATATGAATTTGTTTATATTCTCCGGGAAACCTCATCTCTCATCTATTAAATTCTATATAAGCTATGTTTGTTAAAATCAAAATATTTCTTTCACGAATTATGACAAAAATTGCTTTAACTTTCTAAGTGCAGGTACCTAACGTACTTTTTGATTTAAAAACAAGTATTTTCACATATGGTTCACATAATATTTTTACTTTAATATCTTTCCATATTTCTTAAGGCCAATTATCTTTGGTTAGGATCCCGAGACAATGCAAATGATATAAAAACTATACATGACATTCCTCAATGAATGCATCTGTTGGTCTAAGCTTTGAACTAGACCAAAGATATTCATCTAGGGTTTTCTGTTGCCATTGTCAAAGCTAGTTTGCAAAACACTACCAATAGCAATAATGGCTCTTTATACAGGTACATTCATGCAAGGTCTGTATGAGAACAAATTTCTGTAAAGTTAATTTGATTTCCCCACTCGTAAATAAAATCATAAATACATTCACAAAGGAAAAAAAACAACTTCCAATTACCTAAGCTGAAAAGTTCAGTTGTATTGTATGAAAGAAGAAAATGATAGCTTTCACCTCCATTAAAACAGAAAAGTTCTGTTATTACACAACATAAATATGATAGCCACCCCAAGGGCATGCTGGGAGTACATCTGAAGAACCCCTAAAACTCTATAGCATGTTCTCTCATGTCTGGATCTTTCTTTGACTTTCTCTTCCAGGAGAGGCCAACTCCACCAGAAGCAAGGCAAGGTGGAGTCTAGTTCCTGAAGTCACCTGACTTCCTTAGGTGAAAGTCAAACCTTTCCTGTTTTATTCCTCATTTGCATAGCAAGGACCTGAACCTAACCACTAATGTTCCCTGGAGCTTTAATGTATTACTATAGATCATTGCTCTTAAAATGTAGCCCCTTTTCTTTGGTTTAAATATTGACAATTTTTAGTAAAACAAAATTATAGCATCACATTTTTCTCAGGATTACTGATACCTAAGAGGTGATACATTTAACCCTAAAAATTCCTTCTGTGTTTATAAAATAAATTGGTATCTTATTTTACTTATGCTATATTTACTGATGCTGTAGAAAACATAAATGGAGTTAGTCTCTATTACTTCTCTAAATACCAATAAGTGTGTGCTCAATTGTATTTGCTGAATGAAGAAAACTGCCTTCCATAAACATGAGAACATTTCAACTAAAATACAAAAACCAGGTCATACCTGAAGATTACGCTTGCTTTTCCTTATGTTATGCTGTAGCAAGAAGTTATTCTCCAAAGAAAAGCGACTATATTGATCATCCAGCTGTGACAGGAGGTCATGAAAACGGATGGTGGCAAATGAAACATCATTGGCAGCGTGCTCCCTAGGAGATTTAACATTTACACATTTCATTCTAGAACTAAATGTCTATGTAAAACAGACAAAACAAATGTTGGTTTCCTTATTGAAATTATTAAAAATAATTTAAGTATTTTCTTAGGTTTATTTTCTTCTTTTGAAACTGACATTGCTTTTAGCAGCAGTTTATGTGGTATTTCTCTTATGTGCAATTAGCACAAAAAATTCTAAACTCTAAGAGATTGTGCATGACAGTGTTCATGGTGACTATCTCTGAAGGGGGAAAAGTCAACAGGGGACCCTTCACTTTCTATGTCAAATACTTTCAGGACGTTTTTAAATTAGCAAATAATAAATTTTAAAGTAGAACACCTATCAGTTAAAAAAAATCCCCTTAATTTTACTACCTTCTTCATATTTCTAATCAATGTTTAACCATTAATTTGGCTTTATTTCTTTTAAATTACTTCTTTCTATAGTCTGGATCCTAAGTTGGAAAATAATCGGTGTCAGTATTCCGTAACTTGTCCAAAGCATTTAGGAATATCTATCATAAATTAAATTTGGCAAAACTGTATAAAAGTGCTTAATGACTAATATACTTAACTTTGTTGAGACACTTTTTGGCTCAACTTTGTTGAGTCATTTTTTAAATCAACAAACTTTTCTACAACAAATAATTCCAGTGGCCATTGATGGAATTCATCTTCCAGTAAACATGGCCCCAAGTCACTTAATCAACCAGTACTTTTAAGGTGTAAACTTCTTCTTCTGTCTAGTGAATTTTCCTTACCAGTCTTGCTTTTCTAACCACTGTGCCAGGTACTGTCTGATTTCCATGGGAAAACTGTCATCATAAAGCTGGTGAACCTGCTCCAGGAATTTTGAGTCAAGCTGCTGAAGTTCGTACCACTGAGACATCCTATAGGGAAAAAGAATATACATTCTTTCTATGTATATGGAAACCATAGCTCCAAAGAAAGCCTTCCTAGCATCAGGTTGTACTCTTAAATATCTTGCTTAATCCAAAACATAGTTTGTCCCAGGAATATTTTATTTAAATGGCATTTATAGTCTAAAGCCTGTTTTTAATTGAGTTTGGGGATGAACTTTTTTTCTCCTCCACGAAACACATCTTCATGTCTTTGCTTATTGTCAACATATCAGGGCAGCCTTCTCTGGCCTCTTTTATTTAAACTGCAACCACCTCCCACCCTGGAAACATGCTCTCTCTTTTCCCTGGTTTATTTTTCTTCATAGTACTTACACCACCATCTGACCTACCACATATTTTATTTTCATTATTGTCTGTTTTCACCACTTGAAGGGATGGATGTTGGTGGAGGATTCTGTGCACTGGTGTATCCCTAGAACAATGTCAACCACATAGTAGGTATCCAATAAATATGCCTTTAAAATGAGTTTGTGATTTTATCAAATAAATACATGAAAAACATTATTTTAATTAGACTTGCTTTAAGACAAATCACAAGACTCTCCCAAAATTGCTCTCCTACAAATCACAGTACATTTGTAATTTAACTCAAATATTTTCAAACTTCTGTTTTATATTTATGATTCATATGGTAAAATTCATTATTTTTCTTATACACATTTAAAAAGATATATTTTCTTCTTTGCCTACTACAAACAATAAATCTGGCATAAAGAAGTAATGATTTTTAAAGATTAAAACATCATTAAATGTAATTTAAAAGGATAAAGTAACACTTAGCTTTTTGGATAACTGTTAAGTCCATTTTTACATAGTGATCCTAAAGATTCAAAATCACAACAAAAACTTGATATAAGCAAGTCCTAAAATTCATTAGGAAAACGGAGAGTCTCCCATGACCATCATGTAACTTAGGATTTATATCAGCACACAGGTGGCAATATGCAGAGCAGACACAAGTGAATCTTGTCCTGCCAGACCTCTGGGGAAGGAGTCTGGATTTTCAAGTAGGGCATGGAAGAGTGTGTATGCATACTTGTAGCCGAGCACATGTATGCAGGCATGAGGTCACGCCTACTCCACAAATGTCCTTCCAAAGGAGTGTGAGGAAATGTCTGGCCTATAAAGCTAGTTATCCTCATATATACCAGTAGAAACGGACCCAAGCCCAGCCCCTTGGCACTCCTGCTGAAGCAATTTGATTTTTCAGTTCAGTTTTATTTTACCTGAGTGGAAAAATCTGTGGCTGTCTCCCTCCCTGCTTGGTAACTAATAAGGATCTACCTAAAGCAGATATGCTGGACCGTCAGGCAATGGGAGCTGCAACGCCTCTTATTAGCCAAGCGAACCCAGGTAACTTACTCCCCTATCAACAAGGTGTGTGTGTGTGTGTTTAGTAGACAGGAACTTGCTCTGTCATCCAGGTTGGAGCGCAGTGGCAGTGGAGCGCAGTTCACTGCAGCCTCCAACCCCTGGACTAGAGCAATCCTCCCACCTCAGCCTCCCAAGGAGCTCAGACTGCAAGTGATATGGTTTGGCTCTATGCCCCCACCCAAATCTTACCTCGAATTGTAATATAATTCCCATGTGTTAAGGGCGGGACCAGTGGAGGTAACTGAATCATGGGGGCAGTCTCCCCCATGCTGTTCTCGTGATAATGAGTGAGCCTCATGACATCTGATGGTTTTATAAGCCACTGGCATTTCCCCTGCTTGCATCTATTCTCTCTCCTGCTGCCCCGTGAAGAGATGCCTTCTGCCATGCAGAACTGTGAGTCAATTAAACCTCTTCACTTTATAAATTACCTAGTCTCGGGCAGTTCTTTATAGCAGCATGAGAACAGACTAATACAATAAACACGAGCCAAGAAGCCTGGCTAATTTTTAAATTTTCTGTAGAGACAGCCTCTCGTTATGTTTCTGAGGCTGGTCTCAAACACCTGACCTCAGGCAATCCTTCCACCTCAGCCTCCCAAAGTGCTGGGATTACAGGCGTGAGCTTCCGCACCCTGCCACAGTTGGTTCTTAAGGCTGGTTGAGCTAGTACATATGTAGCACCTGGCACAGAAGAGGTGAATTAATAAGCTCATGTTTGGGCTGGCCAGGTGGCTCACGCCTGTAATCCCAGCACTTTCGGAGGCCAAGGTGGGCGGATTGCCTGAGCTCCGGAGTTCAAGACCAGCCTGGGCAACATGGTGAAACCTTGTCTCTACTAAAATACAAAAAAAAATTAGCAGGGCATGGTGGTGTGCACCTGTAGTCCCAACTACTCGTGAGGCTGAGGCAGGGGAATTGCTTGAACCCAGGAGGCGGAGGTTGCAGTGAGCTGAGATCGCGCCACTGTACTCCAGCCTGGGAGACAGAGAGAGACTCTGTCTCTAAAAAAAAAAAACAATGAATAAATAAGCTCATGTTCACAAATCTGGAGTCAGTCTCATCTACTCACAAAACCTGTTACCAACTCAGGGAGTGGCATGGCCATCTCCCAGTCACTGAGCTCAAATCTCAGATTTAGGGTTGATTCCTTCCACTCCATCCCAAGACCTGCTCCTTCCTGTCTCCAACATTCTACCTTCCCAGTCCAGCCTCTGCTGCCCACAGATTGGACCACATCAATCTCCTGTGCAAAAATCCTATGATCTGTCCATTCCTAGGCAGATTTCCACCCCACCCCATCTTCATCCATCAACAAAGCAACCCAGTCACCAAATCATTTACTGTTTTTCAACTGTGCCCAACATTTCTGCTTTGCTCCAGCTACTCGCCCTTGGAAACAGCCTCTCCACAAATTTTTGCGTCTCTAAATCCTATAGCATTCAAAGCTATGTACAAAAGCCCCTTCTTTCATAAAGTTGTCTGAGACTTACTCACAATTAAGCTTTCTTTGACTTGCGTCTCACTGAATTCTGTACCTCTATTAGAGCATCGGTTCCAGTTTTCCTTGTAAAGCTCTGTGATGCCTCCAGAGTCCCCGGCGGGGGAAGGTGGGTGGGGAGGGGGTAGAGTAGTGGGGTATTTTGCTTTTTAACATCTTATGGACCTTGGACAGTGCCCTGCATATACTATGTGCTCGAAACAGTTTGTTGAATTGAAATTATGTATATTTCAGACGGAATTAGAAAGTAAAAAGCAAACCATATTATGATCTCACAAGTGTGAGTCCAGCATCCTCATTAAGCAATGGTTGCACAATGGACTGTGCTGGAGGCTCAAGTCCTGTTTCTGTTCTATGAAAATAACTCCTTATCTATACAAACAACATTCAAAGCACAATCAACCACACCTCTGCATACCTACCACAGAACTCTTCAGTACCGGCCAGAAATTTTTTTAAGACTATATTATTTTGGGGTGGGGGGTCTGCAAAAACTAAACATCACTTTTAAACTCTAGGAAGACATTAAGCCCTTCCATCTTTGAACATAGAAACATAATTAAGATTCCGAAGTCATGTACTCATTCATCTGATTCCATGAACATTTACTGACCTGCCACCTTGTGCCCCAACAAGGGCCTGGGGATTCAACCAAAGGAGCAGCTACGCACAGCACGTTAGGTGCCAAGACTGTCGAGGTTATATACACAGAGTGCGAACGTTAACCTAGACAGCTCTCGAGGATGGCATACAGCAAATGAAACTTTCTGCGAAAAGAAGAAAACGTGACTGATGGAAAGGGGTGGAAACGGGAGAAAGTGACGGTAAATGGGAAGGTGCAGTGCCTTCTAGAGGAAAATTATATTTCACAAGTCCTCTTCACTGCCAGAGCACGACTGGCAAGGACAATCGTGCTGAGCAGTGCCATCTCCGAGAACAGGTGGCACTGCTCGCACTTGGAATACTCAGGACGCGTTCTTCCTCTGGGATCACTATTCGCGGGTCAGCACAGACGGCCCGTCCTCGCCCGGCGTCCAACTGCACGGCCCGAGGACTCTGTCCCTGCGCGTCCCACCCCCGGCACCCGGAACCTCACGGCCACTCACTCTGCGCGCAGGATCCGGAAGGGCTAGGCGGGGGCGCGGCGGTGCAGCCTCTCCCGAGCGCGCTGGGTCGCCTCTGCTCGGTCTGGGGTCTGCCAGGCGCGATCCCCCCGGTGCAGCCGAGCCCCTCCGCAGACTCTGCGCAGGAAAGCGAAACTACCCGGCAGGAGAAAAGGCAGCGCTGGCGCCCGGCCCCCTTCCGCCCCCACCAATCACCGGGCGGCTCCGCGCTCAGCCAATTAGACGCGGCTGTTCCGTGGGCGCCACCGCCTCCCTCTGCGGGCCGCTGCTCCGCCCACGCGCTGGGGTATTTCCGCCGGCTTCCGGCGGGGGCCGCCGGCTGGGTGAGCTGCAGCCCAGTCCCGTGTTGCCACGCTGGGAACTGGCGTTCTGTTTACATATCTTAGAGAACGATCAGAAGGACGTGCTGTGTTTGCAGAAGCCCAAACTTGGAGGTCTCTGTAGTAGTTTCATCGCCGAGAATCCAGGCAGAGGACAGATTTGGCGACGTCGTCATTCTAGAAGCTCCCTTTAGCAACTGACCTCCGTGTTGCTAAACCCAGGGAACGCTTTTCTGTTTTTCTCACTTTACTTGACAGCTCGGAAGCATGGGGCAGAGTTGACGCCTTTGTTCTTGAAACACGTTTCTTCCTTGGTCATGATGATAACACATCCTTCTTGCTTTTTCCTGCCTCTGGCATTCTTTCTACATTGCCTCCACCTCCACTATCAAACCATTATATGTTAAGGTTGTCAGGGTCCAGACATTCGTCAGCTTCTTTACCTGGGCTTCTCCTAAACGCTGTGCTGTGATGACCTCACCCACAGCTTCAGTTTCCTTCTAGATGGAGGAGTCTTAAATGCTTATCCCGTCCACACCTCTCCTCTGGGCTTCACACCTACAACTCCCACTTGCCTCTCCACTTGTATGTGCAGTGAGCTCTACAAACTATGTTCAGAACCAAACATCTTTCTCCTCAAACCTGCTCTTTTTCTAGAAATGGCACATGACAGATACCTAGGATTCATAGTTGACATTGCCTTCTCCCTCACCTCGCAACACCTGATCCTCAAATCTTAATTGATTCTTCCTCCTAAATATTTCCCAAGTCTCATTTACTCTGCTCCATCTCTTCTGCTGCCTCCTTCTGCAGTAGATTCCCGAATGGCTGCCTCACTTCAGCCCTTATCTACCTTTTAATCCATTCTCCATACAAGAGTTTGAGTGTTTTTTTTTTTAATTGAAAAGCAGATCATGTCATTTGCCAACCTGAAAATCCTTCCATGGCTTTTCTTTGCTCTTATAAAATTCAGTTTCTTAATACATACTATAAAGCCCTGGTTGCCCGATCTCTTTGTCCAACCCCATAATGTGCCACTCTGCTTTGCTTACTTCAGCATTTAGTTCTTCAAATAAACCACACTCTCCAAACTCAGGGACTTCTCACCCTGAGTTTGGAAAACCCCTTGAGCCAACATCTGCTTCACCCAACTCTTCGCTGGCTAACTCATCTTTTAGATCTTAGTTTAAAAATCTCAGCTTAAATGTCACTTCTCCAGGTAGGCATTGCTGAAGCCAGACAAACTAAATCTTTTTGGACTATATGCTCATAAAATCAATTAGTTCCTTCAAGTAGACGGGATTTGAGTCAAGCCTTGAATAATTAGGCACTTTGGGGTAGGAGAAGGATCTGAATAATTTCCCATGGATATGCCTATATGTGTGTGTATGAGTTTTTTTTCTTTGCACATCTATTTGTTCTTCTTGTCACAAATGCACCCTCACAAAGCAAGTTAGCAGTGAAATTAGACTTCTCTGCCAAGAGATGCCACGGCACCAAAAGTGTCCCTTCTGCTCTTACTCACCCAAGAACCAAGACAATGTTTTACTGTTCTCTGAAAAAAGCTGTATTAATCCATTTTTAACGCTGCTAATAAAGACCTGAGACTGGGCAATTTACAAAATAAAGAGGTTTAATGGACTTACAGTTCCACATGGCTGGGGAGGCCTCACAATCATGGCGGGAGGCAAGGAGGAACAAGTCACATCTTTCATTGATGGCGGCAGGCAAAGAGCTTGTGCAGGGAAACTCCCATTTTTAAAATGATCGGATCCTCGAGACTCATTCACTATCACAAAAACAGCGCAGGAAAGTCTCGCCCCCATAATTTAATCACCTCCCACCAGTTTCCTCCCATGACAGGTGGGAATTGTGGGAGTTATCATTCAAGATGAGATTTGGGTGGGGACACAGCCAAACTATATCAAAAGTTGACTCTAGGAAGGGTAGATTACATGTTAAAAATTTTTTTTCTGGTACTATAAAACTTGCACAGATATTAGCTTCAATATTGATGAAGGAATGGAATAATCCTAACATCTGCAAATAGGATTATTTGGCACTCCAAATCCCAATTTGGATCATCAAGATCTGTGGATGCTTCCTTCCCTACCCCCCTTTATTTTAGCATCCACAGCAATACCTACCATAAGCCTTCATCACTTGAGAATTGGAATGCTATGCTAATCTCTAGGTATACTACCTTTTTCTTGTCTCTTTCTCCTTCACTATATTTGCCAAATTCAATTCCTTAAAATACTGCATTGATATAGTCATTCCCTGCTCAAAAGCCTTAACAACTCTCCTTGCACATATGATAAACACAAATGTTGTCTGCTAGTCTGGATCCTCCACAAAATGTTTCTTTCCTTCTTTCCAGCCTTTTCTATCATTGTCGCATTTCCCAACTAACCTCGTCTAGCTCCAGCACTCCCCCCATGCTTTTAATTTCCTGATTTCTGCCCCTTTGTACATACTGAATGGCAAGTCTTGCTCCTCACTCTCTTCACTTACCAAATTCTTATTCACCTGTTAAAGCCCAGCCCAAATACTATATTCTCTTTCTAGAACCACCTCAACCTGTAGCAATTAATCTGGGGTCTCTGAATGACCAAATAATATATGTGTCTCTATTTATTTGGACAATAACTATACACTCTCTAATATTATGGTTTTTGAAGTGTCCAATCCTTATGCCTCCAAGATTCAATATTCCTGAAGGATAAACTATTTATATTTTCTTACTGTATAACATATTGACTGCTTCAAAAAGCAATCAAACCAAAGCCAAACAAAAACCTAGAAATCCAGAATTTGACAGATACAAATGTGTGACGGTTGCCTTATAACAGTCAGCTTGGAAAGCTATATCTATATATCAACAATGTCAGATTTGCAAAAGACACAAAACTAGAAAAAACAGCTAACACTATGTCTGTAGATTGTACTATTTTCAAATCTCTTCTGTCCCTTCCCACTGCTTGCCATGGTTCACTAAGGGTGGAGTATACCTCTCTGTGTGCTGTAACTCTGACCTTGGCTATGTGACTTGTTCTGGATAAAGGAATATGAACAGTTGTGATGTATATACCATCTGTCCTGAAACTGCGTGTTCTTTGTAATCAACTTGTTCTTGTGTGCTCCTTCCCTCTGCTAGGAGACAGCATGCCTCAGGTTCCCACGCTAAATCAAAATTCTAAATAATCTAAATATTCTAACGGACTGCTGCTGGTCTGAAACCAACTGGATACTATGTATGTATGTATATATGTATGTATGTATGTATTGATGACAGAGTCTCGCTCTGTCGCCCAGGCTGGAGTGCATTGGTGCAATCTCGGCTCACTGCAACCACCGCCTCCTGAGTTCAAGCGATTCTCATTCTTTAGCCTCCCAAGTAGCTGGGATTATAGGCCTACATCACCAAACCCGTCAAATTTTTTGTATTTTTAGTAGAGTCAGGGTTTTGCCATGTTGGCCAGACTGGTCTCACACTCCCGGCCTCAGGTGATCTGTCTGCCTTGACCTCCCAAAGTGCTGGGATTACAGGTGTCAACCACTGTGCCTGGCCTCAACTGGATAACTTTTTTTTTTTTTGAGACCAAGTGTCACTCTGTCGCCCAGGCTGGAGTGCAGTGGCGCGATCTTGGCTCACTGCAACCTCCCCCTCCTAGGTTCAAACGATTCTCCTCCCTCAGCCTCCCATCAACTGGACAACATTTAAAACAATAAATGCAACTACTTGTATTGGATTTAAAAGAGCAACAAATGACAGGGTACACTGTCACCAGCAATCAATCAGAAGCAACAGGTAAGGTGAAATTTCCTATTTGCCACCCCTGAACTGGTGTACAGACAAAGGAGAGTCAAGGACAGTGAGGAATCCAGAAAATACTATTATATGATGAGTAACTGATGTGAAGTCACCGGAGTAACTCATAAGTTCACATGATGTTACAGTAGAAAGACTTAAGAACTACTCCACACTTCCCATTTGGAGGAACTGTATTTTGCTTGGAGAAAAGACAGTATCATTCCTATTCTTCACTCACTGTTTCTTTTATACCCAAATCATCCAGTTCTATTTACTTAGTTTATCTGCCTTGTTGCACAAAGCATTTTAAAGCAACTTATAGCAGAAATATCTACAATAACTAGATAAAGAATACAGTACAGCCTGCAAACCAGGGCAAAAAGATATCAGTTACGTAGTTTTCATTATATGAAACTGAAACTAAGAAGGCTCTCCTGATCAATGATTTTCAATAATGGCCAGATTATTCCCTGCTCTGTTATTTCCCCACCTTGCAGCAGATGTGACATTGTGACATTTAGAGTCTAGGCCTCAAGAGGCCTTACACACTCCGCTCTCAAAACCCTGCCCAGCCTCCATGAGAAGTCCGGCTAGCTTGCAGGAGCATGAGAGACCACACAGACCACAGTTGAATCACAGTAGTTGTTCAAGTTTAGACCTCAGATTTATGAGAGAACCCAGGCAAGATAAAGTGGGGGCCTGACCCAGGTGAACTGAACTCCCCAGCATACCCTAGACTCACAAGCACTGATAAATGGTTGATGTTTTACCAAAGTTTTGGGAATAGTTTCGTCTGTTATGCAGCAATAGATCACTCATAAAGAATTTATGAAATGAAGCAAAACATCCTACAACTGAATTCTAAAACAAGTAAGTGGAACTTAATTAAGTGGAACAGGTCCATTGCCCTTCCCAACCATGGGAATTTCCCCTGGAGTCTCTCATCCTTAAGGAATACTTTATCTGTGTCCTTACCACATTCCTATTAAAAAAAACTTACTGGCTCTGTGCTTTCTTTACAGCCTTGATCTATTTCAAAATGACAGCTACAAATCTGATGAACCAATCTGTAGTAATATGTTTTAACTTTCCCTCTCCTTCCAGCTACCATTTTGCATTTCAGCTATATTGTCCCAATGTTTCTAATAATGTTATAAGCTAAATATCTGATAGTAGGAATTTCTAAAAATTCCAGTCAATGCCTCTTCACCTCTCCTCCTTTCTGTAAGGCTTGCTATTATACTGTGAATGTCACTTCATCAGTGTAAACTGTATTTGTTCATCTGTAATATAATAGAATTGAAATAAAAGATTTCTATCATTTCTTGTAGTTCTCTGGATTTGGGTTTTGTACAGTCACTTACCTGTCTTGGTGTGTGTATTTTCTTTCCAGTTAATAAGTACAAGAGGCCTCCTACATAGCAGCTGGTTAAAATGCAGGGATGCATATCACGGTTTGAACAAAACTGCAATATGTACATGACATATTTCATCCCAATATGGAGGAAAGCTATGAATACTTTTAGGAAAATGGCCATATGCAAGCAAGCTGTGTTCTTTACATGAAGGAAAAATAACACATCGACCAGAATTATATTGACGATTATAATGTAGGGAACACAATCTTTTTTTGGAAGTTTTTATAATATTCTTGAACTTACAGAAATCTGCTATAAGGAAGTGATCAGATATAGATGAAAGATTTATGCAGAATGATGTTCATAGCAGCTTCATTAGTAACAGTGAAAAATCAGAAACTGAATTTTCCAACTGTCAGTTAAAGCACAATTCATATAGTAGAATATCAAAGTTAGGCTCTCAAAGACTATTTAATTTCACATTGGAAAATATCCACGTATAAAATTAAATGAAAATGAAGGAAAGAAAACATAGACAGTATTATCCTATTATTGTAATAATATATAGAAATGTAAATAAATGGAAACAGAGAGGGAGAAGGAAAAATACTCTAAAATGTTAATGTGTCTGGGTAGTAAGATATGTCTATGTAATTTATTTTCAGTGTTTACCATGAGCACTATCACATTCGCGGTCAAAAACCGCTCAGGAACGCTTTGGAGCCCTAGCTTTCCGAGCGCAGGTAGAGCAGCCCGGGCCCGCCCACGCCCCTGGCTTTGCGCGGTGCAGTTTGAACCGCTTCGGAAACAGCTGGCCCGGCGCGCGCGGCGGGAGGGACGCGAGTGCTCGGAAGAGCCGCCCCACGTGCTTTCGGGGAAACTGCCCGGGAGCGAGAAGGACTGGGATTGAGAGGAAACCGAAAAGCGAAAGTTAGAGCCTGCGGGAGCAGTACGCAGGCGCAGCACGCAGGCGCAGCGGGGCTTTCCCGCAGCCCGCTTCCTCCCAACGGTTTCTCCCTGGCGGCGGGCGCACTGCTCGCACGCTCGCCCTGGGGCTGCAGATCGGCTTGCGGGACGGGGTCCCAGAGAGGCCGGTCCACGCGGCCCGCACGCGCGAGTGTTAGCTCTGCACACGACGGAAGGCGGAGGCGCGGGTGGCTGCCGTTTCACCTTAGAGGGAGGGAGGGAAACGTGTCCTGATTTCTGCACCTAAGGTGCTGGAAACCTTACCCTTGCACTTCCACCGTTTCTTTCCTTGTCCTGAAAAGGTCTCTTTTACCCGCTTCACTTCGCTATCTACACAGTTTGCACTTGCACTGACTCAGATCTTGTCCTGTCTGGTAAGCTGTGACCCTCAGCCAGCCTGGGTAGCTGCCCTTGAACCAGAGGTTGGGGTCTGGCAGTTTCTATAGGCGTCCTCAGGCTCGGTCTGCAAGGGGCTTGCCTCTTTCTTCTGGGGTCTTCTCGCCCCCATGCCTTCTCAGTTGTGGTGATTATACCAGAAGGAACGTGGGAGAAGTATAATGGAGAATGCTTAGTCACTGGACAATGATTTCGAAAGTTCGGCTGGCTGAGGAAACAAGAGTTTTGTGTAATGTCTGTGACTTACTCAATGGTTCTAGGAGGCACGAGACTGAGTTTCTTTGGGCTCTGCTCGCCTACTCTTAAGGGGCTCTACCTTCTTAGGGTGAACTCGGCACCCACCTAGAACCTCCAGTGTGTGAAAGGGCCTACCTACCTCATTGGGCCCCAACCTCCAGCCTCTTGTGAGAGTGACGACCAGCCCCAAAATGGCTGCACACAAACAAGACCCTAAGGTACAGAGTCCTACTATGCAAATAGACGTTTATTTTCCCCTGTTAGAACAACACAGGACCAGCTATGTAATTTGCAGGGAGGGCCCGTTGCAAAATGAAAATGTGGGGTCCCTTACTCAAAATTAATGAAGAATTTCAAGAAGGCAACAGGAGAGCATGAAGCCAAGCGTGGAGCCCTTCTGAGTGCCTGCCCTGTGGAAGCCAGACCTAGGTGGGGAATTTGGGGGCATTTCTTGTATAGCAACCTTGTTCGATGTTCACTTAAATGAAGAAACAAATTTTATAACACCACTCACCTGTTTAAAAGCCTCTGCTGGCTTCAATTTGCAATAAGAATCCAGGGCCCGCCAATTTGGGCTCACCTACCCCTCTTACTCATCTTATCTCACCCCATACTTCACTAGGCTCCCCTCAATCCCCTTAGCCTCTTTCTGTTCCTCAGATACCCCAAGTTTTTACCTGCCTGAGCCCTATGCATACATACACTGGTCTTTTGGGATGCTGTTTTCCTGACTGTGTTCATGGACTGCCTCCTTCCCATTCTCTAGGTCTCAGTTCAGTCATCATCTCCTCAAAGACACCCTCATTGATTGCTTCTTCCAGTGACTGTATCACACTTGCAATCCTCATAACACTTGTTAAACCTATCCCTGTTTATTATTTGTCTGTTTTCATCTCTCCTCGCCAGCGTGTAAGTTCACAACAGGAGGGAGTTTGTTCTGTGTTAACAGCCTTTTCCATCCAGTATTCCATGAGACAATTCAGTCTAATCCCCCAGGGTATCTATGTGTGTAATGAATTCCCTGCTCTCCTGTATATCTAGAATGTCACTGTATGCCATCCCTGGGAGAACTGAGAAAATCGTCAAGCAAATCACTTTCTGTGTCTTGTGGTTCAGAAACCCTGGTTAAGCAAAGCAATGCCTGATACAGGCATTTTCAAATATTTCAAAAATATTTTTTGAATGAATAAATGAACGTCACTGACCAACACTGAGATCAGGAATCACAGGTTAATTCAGCCATTCAGATCTCAGCACTGGCTCTAAGACCTATCGAGCCACAATTGAGGGGGGAAGAGAATAATGAGCATGCATAGCGCAAAAAACTTCCCTAAAGGACTTTTAATGAGAGCTCTACTCCTTCACACCCCTTCCAACCTCTCCCCTCTCTCTGCCCTCTCTGGACGGCAGAGTTCTTTCCGTTTGCGGCAGTCTATCAGTCTGTGAGATGTCTAAGAAGATGACTGTCAAGCCTGACATAAGAGTGTTGTGGAGGACTTTTTTTTTTTTTGAGTCGGAGTCTTGCTCTGTCGCCCAGACTGTAGTGCAGTGGTGCCATCTCGGCTCACTGCAAGCTCTGCCTCCCGGGTTCATGCCATTCTTTGTGGAGGACTTTTACTAGGGGCAGAAGTAGTAATGCCCTTGAGTGTAATGGAGAGTTTAGGGGAAATTTCAGGAACACTTGGTTCATCTATGAGTAGGTAGATGTCTAGGATGTTAGGCATGCATGAGATAATACCTAGCATCAAAGGGAAGTTAGAGTGAGCTTATAAACTGTAATTCTAGACAATGTCTATTGGAAGTTCAGGGTGAGGTAGGGAGGAAGTCCTCTCTGTGTGATCAAAAGCAAGTGTGTTTTGGTTAATCAGGATGAAGCATAACATTGGGGGCTGTTTCATGATTTTAGAGTTTGGAGCTGTTAGGAAGAGAATTTCAGCTTAGTTTTGCAGGCAGCCCAAGGAGCAAAGGAAAGGAAGGAACTAATGACTGTTCTTGATGTGTCCAAACACCAAATCATTAATAAATATTTATTCAGGGCCAGATTGTACTAGATTCCAGGGATATAACTGTGAGCAGGGCTGTCTTGGTCCATGTACATACAGAGCTTGCTTAGAGTCTATTGAGGAAAATAGATGATATCATTTACACCAAAGGAGATAAGCACTGTGCCGGGGATGTAGAGGATGCTATGGAGGAAGCGTGGCATGACCTGAGCCATGCGCACACATGCGTGTGTGTGTGTGTGTGTATGTATGTGTGTGTGTTTGGCAGGAAGGCTTTCCAGAGCCTGAAGAATGCGTAAACATTATCCAGGTGCAGGGATATATGGGATGGGGTTGGAGAATTGAGAGGATGTGGCAGGGGAAACAGAGAGAACATGGGCCATCAAAGAAACTGAAAGTAGTTCAGTCAGTCTTGTGTGCAGATGTTTTGGTGGATAAGAAGCTGTTGGGGAGGAGTGAAGAGAGATGAGTTGAAGACTAAGAGGGGACTAAATAATACGTGACTTTGGAAAGATCTGTTGCGAATTGTGGTCTTTATCCAAAGCTGGGATTCTTAACTAGTTTTTGTGACATGGACCTCTTTGGCAGTCTGATGAAACCTGTAAGTTTTTCAGAAAATAATGTTTTTAGTTGAATAAGATAAGATGCATAAGATTCAAAAGAAAACCAATTACATTGAAATACTGATATCGGGCCAACTTTGTGATATATTAAAACCAACTTTGTGACATAGTAATATAAATGATTCTTTTTTTTTCTTTTTTTTGAGACAGAGTCTCACTCTGTCACCCAGGCTGGAGTGAAGTGGCATGAGCACGGTTGGCTGCAGCCAAGACCTCCTGGGCGATCCTCTCACCTCAGCCTCCAGAGTAGCTGGGACCATAGGTGCATACCACCACACCTGGCTAATTTAAAAAAAAATTCTATATATATATATATATATATATTCTGAGTAGAGATGGGGTCTCCTTGTGTTTCCTGGACTGGTCTCAAACCCTGAGGCTCAAGTGATCCTCCCACCTCAGCCTCCTAAAGTGTTGGAATTACAGGCATGAGCCACTGCACCTAGCCATGCACTTATTTACTAATGGCATTAAATAATAGGATTTAGCAGTGGGTCCAATTAATGCAATTTCAAAATTGTGCTTAGCATAAACAATATTTTGAGATGACTTTAATAATTATAATATGATATAAACGTGGTATGGGTTATGGTTTGCTGCCCATATAATTGAAGGAAATTAACTGTAGTTAGAAGTTAGTGGAAGTAAAACTGTAACTTTTGCCATCTAAATTCATGAGCCCTTTGAATTCTGTCCATACACCCCAGACAAGAACTGCTAATGCAGAGCATCATGAGCCATTCAAAAATTTTAAGTAGGGAGTGAAATTATCCAATTTAAGTAGAGCCCTCTGTCTACATATGAAGCTGCATGAAATTGTTTTTTATATTTACTGTAAGGAAAGAGAGAATGTCCTTCCCCATGTTTTTATGGCATCCTCTTTGTGAGTGCTCTTGTAGAAATCTTCTGTCTTATAGTGGTGGTTATACAACTATATGAGTTTGTCAGAATTCATAAGCTGACACACCCAAAAGGGTGAATTTTACTGTATGTAAATTATATGCCAATAAACCAGACTTTAAAAAGTGCATCAATAAAATCAATAAATGTTCCTGGTCAATTTGGAAAAAAAGATATCTTTACTCTGTGTCAGAAATTGGAGTATGTGTGCACAGAGGCCAAATGCTAAGCGTGGACTGTCTGTCTACAGCTAGAGCAGAATACTGGGATGGCTTGACTTTTAATTCTGTTTCTTTTACTGTGGAGAGTTGCATGGGCCTCCCAAACTGCATGAGGTAAAGAAAAATCCCTTGAATTTGCCAGAGGTATATTCATTCTTTATGATTCTTTGGTGGGGTGGGGTTCTTGCCACCTTAGATTTTGATGAAATTCATTGGCTAGTTGCCTTCTTTCAGCATTTATTACAGATGAAGGCATTGATAATCAGAACAATTAGTTAAAGTGATTCTTTAAAATAAATTTGAATAGTCATTAGCAAAATATGTATCTGTGATTGATCTGGGATGAGTGAAAGGAGAGGTGAAAATGTGATTAATATTTTGAAACTAAGAAAACCACGTGCCTTCCCTACTCATTGCTTCCTCTCTCACCATGTGATCTCTGCATATCCCAGCTTCCCTTCCCCTTCCTCCATAAGTGGAATCAGCCTAAGGCCTTCATCAGATGCAGGTACCAGTGCCATGCTTCTTGTAGAGCCTGCAGAACCATAAGCAAAATAAAGCTCTATTGTTTATAAATTACCTAGCTTTGGGTATTCCTTTAGAGTAACACAACACAGACTAAGACAGAAAATTGATACTGAGGACTGGGGGTTGCATTAAGGATACTTGCAAATGTGAAAGTGGCTTGAAACTGAATAACGGGCAGAGGTTTGGAAGAGTTTGGAGGACTCAGAAGAAGTTTGGAACTTCTTTTTTTCTTTTTTTTCAGATGGAGTCTCGCTCTGTTGCCAGGCTGGAGTGCAGTGGCACGATTTTGGCTCACTGCAACCTCTGCCTCCTGGATTCAAGTGATCCTCCTGCCTCAGACTCCCAAGACTGAGACTACAGCTGTGTGCCACCACACCTGGCTAATTTTGTATTTTTTAGTAGAGACAGGGTTTCACCATGTTGGCCAGGATAGTCTCGATCTCCTGACCTCGTGATGCACCCGTCTCGGCCTCCCAAAGTGCTGGGATTACAGGTGTGAGCCACCGTGCCTGGTTGGAACTTCTTAGAGATTGATTTAGTGGTTGTGACCAAAATGCTGATAGAAATATAGACAATAAAGGTCATGCTGAGGAAGTCTCAGATGGAAATGAAGAACTTATTGAAAACTGGAGCAAAGGTCACCCTTGTTAAACAGTAGCAAAGAACTTGGCTGCATTGTGTCTAGGCCCTATGGCTTTATAGAAGGCTGAACTTAAGAATGATGACCTAGGGTATCTGGCAGAAGAAATTGCTAAGCAACAAAGTACTCAAGAAGTGGTGTGGCTACTTTTAAAAGCCTATGCTAAATTATGGGAGCTAAGGAATGACTAGAAAGTGGAATTTATAATTAAAAGGGAAGCAAAGTGTAAAAATTTGGAAATTTCATAGCCTGGCCATGTGATAGAGAAGGAAAGAGCATTTGTAGGCAAGGAATCCAAGAGTTTGAGGAATCTGAGGGTGCTACAGAGCAACCATTGCTAAAGAGATTAGTGTGACTAAACCAGAGCCAAGTGTTACTAGTCAAGACGATGTGAAAAAGGCCCTGAAGGCATTTCAGAAAACTTTGAGGCTGACCCCTCCATCATAGGCCCAGAATCCTAGGATGACAGAATGGTTTGGGTAGAGGACAGGCCTAGAGACTGCTCCCCTGTGACCAGTCTGCTGCTTCCTGTATCCCCACCACTCCGGATGGCACAGCCATGGCTCACATGGCCTCAGTGGCCCCAGGTGTGAGTCATGTCACAGCTCTGGAGGGCATAAGCCATAAGTCTTGCTGGTGTCTACACAGTATTAAGTCTGCAGGTGCCCAGAATGCAAAAGTCATGGAGGCTTGGCAGCTTCCACTTAGATTTCAGAGGATGTATTGGAAAGCCTGGATGCCCAGGCAGAAGTCTGCTGCGGGGCAGAGCCAACACAGAGTGTCCTCTCTGGGGTAATGCCTAGGGGAGCCATGGGATTGGGGCTGCTGCTGCAAGGACCCAAGAATTATAGTCATCAGCAGTGTGCAGCCTCAGCCTGGAAAAGCCATGGGCATTCAACTCCAACCTGTGAGAGCAGCCAGTGGCCTTGGGAGTAGGGCTGCTTGAGACTGTGGGAGTCCACTCCTCATACCAGTGTACCCAGGATGCAAGACATACAGTCAAGGATTATTTTGGAGCTTTAAAATTTAACATCTGTCCTGCTGGGTTTTGGACTTGATGGGGACTGTTACTCCTTTTTTTTTGGAATGATTTCTCCCTTTTGGGATGGGACTGTTTATCCAATACATGTACCACCATTGTATCTTGGAAGGAAACAACTTGTTTTTGATTTCACAGTTAATTCGCCTTGAGTCTCAGATGGGACTTTGGATTTTGAAGTTGATGCTGGAACAAGTTAAGACTTTTGGAACTATTGAGAAGGGATGATTATATTTTGCAGCATGAAGAAGACATGAGTTTTGGGGGGCCAGGGGAGGAATGCTATGGTTTGGATGTTTGTCTCCCCAAATCACATGTTGAAATTTGATCCCAATGTTAGAGGTGAGACCTAGTGGCGGGTGTTTGAGTCAGAGGGTGGACTTATGAATAGATTAATACCCTCCTATGGTGCAGGGCATGAATACAATTCTTACTCTGTTGGTTCTTTTAAGAGCTGGTTGTTATAAAGAGCCTGGCACCTCCCCACTCTCTCTCTTGCTTCGCTTCTTGCCATGTGATCTCTACATACACCGGCTTCCCTTTGCCTTCTGCCATGAGTAGAAGCAGCCTAAGGGCCTCACATGCAGATGCAGGTTCCATGCTTCTTGTGCACTCTGCAAAACCAAATAAATCTCTTTATGAATTACCCAGCCTCAGGTATTCCTTTATAGCAACACAAAATGAAATAAGACACCCCCACAAAAATGATTTTTGGAGTACAAGATTCACAATCTTGAGAAATAACTCTTAACTCTGGGGTCAATAATTTAGTTTTGATTTTCTGAATCTAAATAAAAATAGCCACTTATTGAACTTTTATAACGTGGCCATTGTCCATATTATGGAAAATGAACTACAGATGTCCTTCATTTTGTACCCCCAAATAACAATGATGACTGTGATCACATAGAAAACCTTGGCATTCTGCTACCAGGCTCTAAATTGACAAGTTTTTAAAACTTCTGTGAAATAGGTAGGAGTCCATTGTACTTTTGATAAATTCCAGGGAGCAAAGAGCTTCTGCAATCTATTTTGTCTAAATCCAATTGTTTAAGAGCACTTCCTGGTAGGAAATTACTTCTTTAAAGATAAAACTGTAATAGTCATGCTCCAGTTTAAATTATTTCATCCAATTCTGCTGCCAGTTGATACACGTGTCAGGCAAATTTTAGAAAACCGGGTTTTGTGGAGAGAAGTAGAGACTGGGAGGATGCACCTCCAGTTAGATGCACCCTTCCATCAAACAGATGCCTCCACCCTAAAAGCATTTAGGCGCTCACAAAGGAGTAAAGGAACTGGCCTTGGGGCAGGTGGAGAGTTTGTTCCATAGGAATAATCTAGGAGCCAGTTGGGCACATGTGGGTGGGATGAGATTGCTCAGATGGAATCTCTCTAAGGGAAAGGGCAGGTTATAGTAAAAGCTTTTATTCCTTTGAACTCTTTTCCATCAAACATTAGCCTCTGCCTATTTGGTTTGCCTGGAGGACAGGAGGTGGGCAGAAGGAATGAAATAAGAGCCCTTCAGAGGGGGCTGCCATCTCTGACTCTGCAGTCAGGGCTCATCTTGAAACCTGGTTCTGGATTTTTCTGCAGCTGGCATGGCAGATGCCTCAGTAGCATTACTTGCTCAACAGATTCAGCAGCATCCCCAGGGCTCAGCAGGCATAGAGAGCTCTCCAGGTCTTGAGCACTGGAGAGCTCCATGCTATTACTAAGGACAGCAGCTGGGCAATGGCACCACTAAACATCCAGTAGGGGTGAGGCAAGGACCAAAATAGACTTGCAATTCACATACATTACTATCCAGGAAACCAACTACCCTTCCTCTTTACTAGAGAAAATTGAAGGAATGGAACATCTCATCCTAAACCTCTTTCCCCAGTCTCAGGTTGGATTCTTAGGACCAGAGAGACTATTAGAGCTGGGAAAGATCATAGAACCCACATAGTCTTACCTCTTCTAGAGATGAAGAATGAGCAACCTATGAATAAAATCAGTTACCCAAGGCCAGAGTTGTTATTCTCCTAGTCCTCATTTCATCCTCCTAGTCCTCATGAGTTTTTTTAAATTATTATTTTTTTAACCCATGTGTCTGCTTACAATACCTGTAAAATCAGTGCAGTTTGCCCAAGATACCACCAGGAATGACTCTGGATCCCTCCTCCTTTGGAACCAGCAGCTGTTGAACCCCATAGTTGGAATAACGTTGACATGGCACTAAGGAGGCTTCATAATTCAACCCTGGATGCCCCGTGAATTTCTGCTAATGTCCCATCACGACTTTCCTCTTGGATCTACTGTGATCACCATGCCTGCTAGCGTTCATCATACTGATTGGCTTATTTGGCTTTTCCCTCACGCCTTCTTGCTGAGGTGTAGGTGTGACTTTATTATTCTTGACCTACCCTGAAACATTAACACTTACATCTTCTAGCTAAAATCGTAGTAACACCAGAGAGACAAAATGAGAAATAAACCAAACACAGGCAAGCGAGTCTTCTGTTAATATTGTTATTAACACTGGTTTCTTAAAGTTGTCTTATCTTGCAAGTTTATCTGAAGCTTTGGTTTCAAGCATTTCAGTCACAACACTCCCAATTGAGGAGTGCCACGGGAGTGTGAAGAGAGCTTCAGATGTCAAACATTTCCTAGAACCTGGTATTTACAAAGCTGAAGAAATAAAATGTGGTTATTGGGCAAAGAACAGTCTTTAAACTTTTTCATTTGCTTCCTTTCTTGGTGCGTCAGAGTTTATCCTGTCATTCAGCAGAATAAGGAGACTTCATCTAAAATTAAAAATGAAAATAATCTTTGAGGAAACTACTGGTTTTCAAATCAATCACTATTTCTTGGGCAAATAAACGTCCTCTTTTCTACGAATTACTCCATAATTTTTCTATTACCTAGTTAAAATACTTAAACTAAGTATTTGCAAAAGTAATTGGGGTTGATCAGTCTAAAATAAAAGGTACCTTTCAAGGAGACAGAAAAGTGTTTTAAGAAAAAGGCCTGTTTATCCACCAAAAACATAATGAGGAAATGGGTGCAAAATGTAGCAAATGTTCAGTTAGACATAAATAACTTGACGATTTAAGGGAACTAACATTAGAATAAGCTATCAAAGTAAAGTGAATTTTTCATCTATGGAAATCTTCAAGAGAAGGACTAAAAGCCAGCCAGATAAAAATTTTTTGAGGCTTAGGGTCTCTCCAAGTTTCTATTATATTATTCTGATGTATGTTCACTTTCATGTAAATTGGGGGTTTGAACCCATTGACAGTATTGGTGGATAAGAGCAAATAGCATGCATCCCAAATAACATTATTGCATTAAAGATTATGACTCATTTCTCAAAAAGGAGAGCATTATTATGCCATTGACTGTTATTCATATATTATTGATGAGGCTCCGGGTTCTAGAAATGCAAGTCACAATCAAGAAAAATTGCAATTTGTGATGTTTGCACTGTTAAGATAGCAAACTGGGTTTACTAGATAGTAAGTAACTAGTAAACTAGATAGTATACTAGGTTTATAAATATTGACCAATAAATGGTGTTTGCTAAAGTAGAGAGTGGTGGGGAGTGAGGGGGCCCATGGTGCAAGCAGCGATAGTGTGCTTGAGTAGGGTATAGGAATATTTTGCCCTCTGGTGGTTTCTGGTGGAAACAACGTAAAGCAGTTTAAGTAACTGAAGGTGTCTGCTTTCAATACGCATAATATCAGCAACACGCAGGACCATCCAGACACCTTTTGTGTTATGCTCATGAATTTGTTCCAATAAATGTGTTTTCTCCCTACCCAGGCAGTATTTCAGCCCCTTTGATTCACACACCACCTTTGCATCGTTGGAAACACCTTTGACCAGCAATGGAAAATAAAGGGAACATACTGCAGTTTCAATTGTTGTGGGACTCAGGTTTTCTCTCAACACCGCATACACACTTGGAGACATGGGAAGAAGGTCTGATGGAGAATGTGGCTCTGTTGAATCACTTCGGCTTAAAGAGATAACAAGGTCAATATGGACAAGGATTAAAAAATAATAATAGTTCACGGTGACTTACTATGTCAGGAACTCATTTCTAGGGCTTCATCTATTTGTGACATTGAGTTATCTAATTCATCATTTCATATCAGAACACTCAACTTACTGTGGCATATATGGCATATAAAAGGGGAATTTTATAATTTTAGGCACAATAGATTGTGGTAAGTGTGCCCTGAAGGCTAGCCTTATGTATTAAAGGAAATGGGACATTGCACATTACAATGCTTTGTTCTCAGTTATGTGTACTCTGCTCTACCTTTAAATCTCCTATAGGAAAGCTTTTTATAAAAATATTTCACATGTGACTAACATTACTCACATTGTTGAGATGGGGATAAAAACAGAAGGAACATAACCTTTGTCACCCCTTTCTGTTGGTCTTGAAACTGGAAAACAAAAAGGCACAATGTTGGGGAAAAAAATGTCAATATTATCAATAAAACTGGGGAAAAAAGAGTCTAGAAAAATATTAACAATGATAAGAGGAAGAGAGATAACGCAGTTGTTCGGTGATACACAGAAATGTTTTGTTAAATAGGGGACACAATCTTTTAGATAAGCATAAAATGTGCAAGAAGAGAAAAACAAATCTCTTGGCAGGCCTAATCTGACTTTACATATTAATGCCTCTAAACTGTGTGGGAAAAATTGAGAATCAACTCTATTACCTGTTTTCTACGTTTCATTTATGTTTGATTATAAGGACTGATTGAGTCATGTTTTGGGAGATATAATAACCCAGTTCTTTTCATTAAAATTGACACCAATCAGAATCTTATGATTGCAAACGTTCTTGAAGTACAGATGTCAGTGTTCCCAAAAGTATCATTGTACTGTAGTAACAGTCATGTGCAAACCTCACCTTGGAAAAATTCCCCAAACTTCTCTGGTATACCATGTTGAACTAGTATTTGTTCCAATTTTCCAACCCTAATTTGTTGCATTGATATTTGTTATTTCATTTTTATCAGTTGTTGAAAGTCACTGAAAAGCCACAGGTTTGTTTGATTTTATTTTCTTTTGTATTTTTGTTTATTTCAGAGGGCATGAAGTCAGGTGGCTGCAAGTCTGTGAGTGACAACTGTAGGATATTCTACATGATGGTGCCCAAAGATTTAGTGCTATAGATGAAGATTTTTATGGATTGTATACACTTTCATTAAAGAAACAGAATGGTGAACGTACCTTAAAATTGCATAGTAATTTAACAAATTTTCTTTTATGTATTCAACAAATATTTACTGAATCCCTCTTTTAGCCAGACATTGCTCTAGGTCCTAGGATACAACCAGGAAAGGTAGGCTGGGAGTGTGGGGGAGGGAGAGGATGAAGCAGAGATCCACAGGTCCCCTCCCTAGCAAATGAACAAATACCCTGAGTTGTAAGACTACAGTAAGGTTAAAAATATAAAACTTATAAACCCTGGGGTTCCTTTGCAATATACAGACTTGTTTTACTATTAAAAGCTTCTCATCATTACCCCCTCTTTCTTTTCCTTTCCCTCAGTCATAGACATGAAGCCTGCACCACTTCTGTCTTACAAAGGAGAAAACTGAAGCTCTCCAAGTGGCTATGAGAGGCCCCCATGGCCATGGTGAAGTTTAGTTACAGCTGCTTATTACTCGCTAGTGTTAGAAAGCCCAGCGGTCCCTTTTCAGGAACTGCTGACATACCACTTCATTTCTAAGGCTTTGACCTCCACATGCCCTTAGATCTTACAGAAATCAGAGTAAACAAGAAGGGGAACTTCATTTACTTTGCTCCAATATGAGGTTATTTTCCAAAATCTTAAGGAAAAAAAAACAAAAACAAACAGAAAAACCTAACCTTCGCAAGGCTGAGAGCTGTAGTGTTTACCGAAGGCTTTGTCTTTGGGAATGTCAGGATATAGGTACTTCAGAGGGTTTTCAGGAATGTTTTCAGCCATAATAACTTTGTAGTCTCGCAGGATGTCAGCGAATGGCAGAGCAGACAACCGGCCTTTATTGTAGGGTTCTACAGAGTGGAATCTCACTTCCCCTTGAAAAACAGAAATTGGAGAAATATACAGGTTCCTGTACACATTCCTTGTGACCATTTCTTCCCTGCCCACATTATCTTCATGCCACTGGAGTGACTTGTCAGTTCATGTCACTTCAATGTCAGACCTTCTGCTGTCTGGACAGTATAGATTGTGCATACGATAGACTTTTTGGAATTCATAGGTACCCTGTTCTGAGACAACTGCAACTACTAATATTCAAGCCCACTGAATACATCACAGACAGATCAACACACCATACACTTCCAAAAACTGAAATCCCAGTAACCAAATTTAAGAAAACTAATTTCACATGAATAAACATTAGTGAGTATATACCACTTTCAGAATGGTCCACCCAGGTGAAAGTTATTCCTCCGAGATGGCTTTCACTGAATCTTAATAAAAAGGTGCCAGGCATTTTATCCTTTAGCAACAGCCGTTCCTTCTCTTTGCTAACAAAGCCCATGACATACCTAAAAATAGAACATGCATTATTTCATCTGATCATTATTGGATTTTCACTTATTGCATTTACAAAGACCTACAGTTTGTTTTGAGTGTAATCAAAAGTCATTCTTACCTGAAATACTCATATATAGATTAATATACATAGTGCCACTCCACAAAGAATAAGAAATTGCAACTATTTTTTTCTGTGGTACTAAACATGCTTAAGAGAAAAAGAAAGAAGAAAACCAATAACAACAGAAAAAAAGAACATAATTAACTCATATGAAAAATATAGCCTATAACTTACCCATCAATCCAAAGGGGAAGAATGTGTTTCTTAATTAGATCCAATATTGCTTCAAGCCATGTCCAAAAGGTAAATGATTTACCAGGTAAATGTTCCTACAGGAATAGACAAGCACATTAAGACAATGATTATTTAAGTAATAATGTTGATATAATAATTTAAGTTCAATTTTTCACCAAAATATTATCTTTAAACTGGACAACACCTTAATTTCTTTAAAAAATATTCTTGGCCTGGTGTGGTGGCTCATGCCTGTAATCCCAGCACTTTGGGAGGCCAAGGCGGGCAGATTATGAGGTCAGGAGATTGAGACCATCCTGACTAACACGGTGAAACCCCACCTCTACTAAAAATATGAAAAAATTAGCCGGGCGTGGTGGTGGGTGCCTGTAGTCCCAGCTAATCAGGAGGCTGAGGCAGGAGAATGGCATGAACCCGGGAGGCAGAGCTTGCAGTGAGCCGAGATTGCGCCACTGCACTCCAGCCTGGGTGACAGAGCAAGACTCTATCTCAAAAAAAAAAAAAAAAGAAAAATTCTTATCTGGGAAATTCTCAAAACCCCATGTAGTAATAGACTTAGAAAGGAACATTGTATTAAAAAAATGTATCTAAATGATGTTTCCCCGACCGTTTGTACCTTGCAGAACTTGGCCCAGGTGAGGTGACCATCACTGTAGCTAGATTGGACTGAAATGAAAGAAAAGAATGAAATTTTTCACTGGACAATGAGATGCTTCAATTTTGTGCTCAATTTAGATATTTTGCCTCTTCCCTTTCAAGCATTTCTTAAGCACTTGATATGGGTTTGCAATGTACTGAGTGCTAGGTACAGTACAAATACAAGACATCATCCTTGTTCCTAAGAAATTTATTATCTAGAAAATAAGCTTTTTGGTGGAGGAGCTAACAATGGCTTTAGAAAGCAGGTGGGTATCTAGGATATGTATGGGTAGAATATAAATTGTCAGAGGAGATGAAGGAGGCCACTCCAGAGAGCAAGAGTAATATAGGACGAAGCATGATGGACATGGAGAAGGCTCACGTTGGAGACAGGAAGAGCTGCCTAATGTCGGTAAATGAACATTATAAAACAAATTTGTGTAAGTTAGGTATAGCTAGATTACCAGGAATGTTGCCTATTAAGATGGAAAGAATGGACTAGAAATCTATTAGATAGTAGCCATTGGCTGTTTTGATCCAGAGCAGTGAAAGGATGCAAGAGTTTCCATCTAAATTTTTAAGGACATTATACTCATAAGAATAATTTGATAAAGGTCTGAAAGGATATGGTTTCTATCTATACTACATGTTTAAAAGCTTTAGTCACTCTAACAAATGTTTATTGAATGCTATTGCTGCTTATGAATTAAATAAGGATCAAAACATGTATTTCCATTAAGTAAATTTTGTGATGTTTTCCAAAGTCCTAATGTATTTAGGTACCTATTGATCCAAGAGTAGATGCAAGTGGCAAGCATCCCAGCACCATGTGAGTCAAGCTTAAATCACACATGATTCTACTTCTGCACAAATGGATCTTTGGCCCTAATTTAACTAGAAACGCATATAGATCTAATTTTAACTCTTTTTTTGGTGTTAAATATGTTAAACCCTGACTTGTCAAAATACAGATCTCTTAGAGACTTTTTAGAAAATGTTTGGATTATAGTTGGCACATGTAGTACCAGTGACTCTATTTTGCAAACTTTAGAAATCTCAGTCAAAGCTGAAACTTTCTTGGTATGCAGAATTAAGTATTGCCCAGGTAGTTTAAAACTTCTATTACATTTCCTAGACCTAGTGAAGAAATCAGTCATTTTCCAGTTGGTTAATGTCAATTGAGACGTTCGTATGAACGATCATATGAGGCACCATTAAGGGTTCACCTCATATTTAGTGGAAATATACCCTGGAGACTGGGGTGGGGAATAGACAAGGAGGGGCTTTAGACCTGGACAGGTCTGGCCTGTGGCTTGGTGCTGCTGTGTACTAGCCATGCAGCCGTGGCAAGTCACTTGACTTCTGCACTCCAATCCAGTCATTTATAAAATTGGTAGAATAAGCTGAGCTTTGCAGGACTTTCCTGAGAATTAAAAATAATATAACACTTAGTTCTGTGCCTGGCAATATAGTAGGCATTGAATAAATTATGATTATCATCTTTATTATTAGTAGTAGTAATAGCGTCCTGGTTATTTAAAATGCCTGAGGGCCAAAAACAGAGGCAAATCCTCTCTATCTACCAGCTCTCACCTGTAAGCTTCTCTGCCAGCATATGGAGTTGATCTGAGTTAAGACCACGACCAACGTACGATGAAAACTGCCAGCTCATCACCTCCAGTAGTTGACTCAATGTGGCAGGTGGAGGATTATTAAAGAAAACCAAGTTCTGAAATAGAGTCAAGATGATAATTTGTTAATTATCTTACAGTGGGTAGCTAGTGAGGTGTGAGCAGGGCAAGAGAGGTCTCCCCCTCTCCCCACACACATACTAGGAGTGTTGGGTGACTATTAGGTGATAGTCAGGCAGTTAACTGTTTCTCTAAAGTCATAATTGGTCACAGCTGGTGCCAGGGAACAAGCGTGTCCTAATAGAAAACACCTAAAACTGTTCAGCAGCTTCCCAGTATGATCTCAGGAGTGGAGAGAAGTAACAAGACTTCTGAAGAATGCCAACCCCAAATCAAGAGGTCAAGCTGCACACTTGGCTTCTCAAGTTGCCCGCTTGGCCCTCTTCCAAGTTGTACTTTCCTTTCCTTCCTTTTCTTACTGTTCTAAAGCTTTTTAATAAACTTTCACTCCTGCTCTGAAGCTTGCCTTGGTCACTCCTTCTGTCCTATACTCCTCAGTTGAATTCTTTCTTCTGAGGAGGCAAGAATTGAGGTTGCTGCAGATCCATACATATTTGCCACCAGTAACAATTACGCTTATGACACTGTAATTCAATATATAGGATTCCTAATTTAAAGTCTTTTGGCCAACCTAAGTAAACATAAAATATCATCTCATCTCTGTTGTTCTTAAGACTGATGTGGTCTTTTCCTAAAAGTCTCCTTGTTCTTTGAGTATAATATAATCAGGGCTCCATCTTTCTTCAGAAGCATCGCTTGACATCTCTTTAACTTTTCCGTATCAGTCTACTCATGCAAGAACTTAACATTGTCCAAAAAGTAATTTGACAGATACTCTTTTCTAAAACAATATTCATCCTAAACAAAACTTATATCATATTATTTAATTGGTTTATCGTGGGGTTGGCACAAATTTTACCTTGACCAGACCAATCATCCCAAAGTGCTAGAAATGGTAAAGTCCCAGGCTAGGGAAGGTGACCCTACAATATTATGATTAACCTCAAATACCTATTTTATGGACACCATAGTAGTCTTTTCTTATTTGCTCTACATAATTAAAAAAAACAAAAACAGAGAAATGATCTCGCTCTGTTGCTCAAGCTGGACTTGAACTCCTGGGTTCAAGAAACTCTCTTGCCTCAACCTCTCAAGTAGCTGAAACTACAGGTGTGTACCATTGTGCCCAGCTAAATAAGAGAATATTCTGTGTGATCGACTACAAACGAGATTGTGCCAGAAACCAGGTCAACAATAGTGAAACATAAGACTCTGTCCCAGATTACTGGAAAACAGATGTGTGAAACTCAAGAAACATGTTTCAAGAAGAGGAAAGGAAGAATTCAGAAATCCAGTGCGGTGCCTGGAAAAGGCCGTTGTGAACAAGAGCTAAATTGGGCTTAGATTAATCAAGAAAAAGAACCAATTCAAGAGATTTCAGAAGGTGGGAATGAAAGAGGACACAGCATCCAACAAGGAATGGGCAATAGGAAGAGGAGGAATGAAGAGAAAGAATTTCTAGGGAGATGGTTTTTTGTGAACCTGAGAATGGTGCCTGGAAAAGTGACCAGAAAGCACAGAATACAATCAAGGCCTAAGGGCTTAGGTTTCAAAGCAGGATAGAATTAAGAGGAGAAACCAGGATTAGTTGTTTAGACTGGTTCTGTAACTAGGCTGTGAATCTGTGTTTTAGGAGCTGTATATTATCTATAGCTCTAGATTCTCATCCTAGAGCCATGTAAATTTGGGATGATGGGTGTGACGACTTTGGTGCCTTTCTTACAGAAGGAGGTTGCTGAAGAAAGCTAAGTGCAGCACTTCTCTGTGAGGCTGGAGGACAGAGAAGTATCCCATCACTCCTTCTACTCCCTGGAGTTGGAAGAAAGCTGAACATGTGTAGATCTAATGGGGATCAGCATTTAATCTCAGGGGCATTGGCTGTCCTTTGCCTTAAAGATCAGGCGATTTCTCTGGTAAGTTCTGCTCTTTTTGGGGCACCCTGCACAGTCTTCCTCTCTGCAATTAATTTGTCTCAGATGCTAGGGCACTTGAGGAGGAGAAGGAGTAGGCCTGAGTCATTTTCCTCGTTGTTTCCTTATTAGAACATTGAATCAAAGAGAAAGAACACTAACAGCTGATTCATTATGATCTTGTTCTTACTACTGGGATCTAAAGTAGAAGAATTCTTCCCTTTGGAGGGAACATTTGCTCTGAATTAAGAAGAAATGTTGTTATTTACATCTGACCTATTTTCTCTAGACCTCAGTGGTTTCCAGGACAACACACTGAGGTTTTGAAGGAGGGGTGCAAGGGGAAGTGCTGACTCATCTTTTTTGCCACTCCCTTCCCTGGTTGTCTTATAAGAAGAACACCTATTCACTGCTTGCTTTGTGACTTGAGGCCAATTTTGGGTCAGTGTCACAACGACCAGATAGCATTAAAACCCAGCTTGAGCCTAGGATGGATGAAATCTGTAATCCACTTGAAAATGTGCACTGTCAGAATACGATTAGGCAAGATTGATGAATATTCTACTTACTTACTTGGAAACCAATTCTCTACCTTTGTAGAAGAGACTGCATGGACAAGGTGGGACCAGAGCAGCTGGGGAGGTAAGAAGTTTCCTTCAGCTTAGTTAACAGAGTCATAGGATGGCCCTGGAACTCTCTGGTACGCACATAGTTGGCAGCTGACCAGACCCTCAGAAATAACAAATCCCTGTTACTTTTGCTAGCAGAATTCTCTCAGGGTCCACATATATCAGAACATACTACTTTAAATATGACATGAGAGGAAACATACAACTAGAAATACTACAAATAAAGCAACTCTCACCCCACACCCCACTGGCACACACATGTTTTGATGCAGATGTGTTTGTTGGCAATAAAACAAATCGAATAGCATTAAAGAAGTTGAGGTAGAAATAGAGTCTACCTGGGAATCGTTGGTTGACACGTTGTACCAAATGATGGATGCCCAAGCATTAGGTAACTGACTGACATTGGAAATCATCACCACAGGCAATGAGCTGGTCTGGTTTGGGGGGAAAAAAGCATAGTTATTACAGGTAGTCCCACCTTACATTGATCTTATGCTTGACCCTCGCCTCTAAAGGGCCAATCTCAAGCCAGCCCCACACCTCCAGTCCTGATGTCCATGGTGCCCTGGTCACTGAAATGACTTGTGAAGGCCATGGAACTTTCTGAGCATGCATAAGTAAGGGCACAGAGAGGAAAGAGCAGGAATCCTTTCAGAGTGCTCAGTCAGGCAGCTTCCCAGTATCTCCCCTGACATTGCGGACACATTTATACTTTTTAAATGTCACCCACTGTCTCAAGTGCAATATATTAGAGAGTCTATTGAATTAGCAACAATCTTCTCTATAAGTTAAATAAAAGAATCTATTTTAAGTTTATCTCTGGAATGAATCAGTACCTTCAAATTATGACCTAACACCTAATTAACATAAACACTGGAAGTGGGAGGTTTCTATTGTAAAAATAGGAGAGATAAGCTATGGGAGATAGAGCCGTCTGTGCTATTGTTACAGAACTAACTCAATTTAATACTCTTGGTTCTGTGGTTTTCTACTTTATGAGATAAACAGGCTTTTACAAATTAGCTTGGGAAACTAATCAACTTACAGTACTCTTTTCCCAATAACAGACATCAGATTCCTGTAGATGGTAAAATACCCATTTGAGGAACTTTAACAACTCATAAAAACAGAGGTTTAGGGAAAGGAGGTGAGGAAGGAATCTATGAAAGCTTTTGCAAACATATTACCATCATTAAGATAAAAGAGCAAAGGCAGAATTCTAAAACAATATACTCCACAATAGGATCATATTCAGGGTGTGTGAGATTGTGTTTGTTCATTCATGCACTGATTCATTCACGGTGTCCTGCCTTCAAGGAGCGCATAGTCAATTCATGTTCAATTTAATTCCAAAAGTTTCTTTATTCTTTCTTTGAGTTTAGTGGTGATTGTTTTATGAGGATCAAAGCAACATACTGTAATGTTCCTATTATTTGTCTTTGCTCATTATGTTAGATAAATCTTCCTTCTGTGAGTTTTTATGTAAAGTTAAATTTTTGAAAATATATTACTACAAAAAAAAGAAAATATATCACTACATGACATAAGCTCAAGGATACTTATTTCTCTTTAGGCTTTCCACTGAGTGTTCATGACTCAGGAAATCCCAGAAAACAAACAAACAAGAACTTGAGCAACAAATTATTTAATGTATATAAAGTTCGTAATACTCTTGAGCTTTTTATTTTCTTTTATTTTTTATTTATTTATTTTTTTGAGACTAGGTCTCACTCTGTCACCCAGGCTGGAGTGCAGTGGCATGATCAGCACTCACCGCAGCCTCCACCTCCTGGGCTCAATCAATCCTCCTGCCTCTGCCTCCTGAGTAGCTGGGACTACAGGCACATGCCACCACACCCAGCAAATTTTTGTATTTTTAGTAGAGGTGGGGGTTTTCACCCTGTTGCCCAGGCTGGTCTCAAATTCCAGGGCTCAAGCAATCCACCCACCTTGGCCTACCAAAGTGCTGGGATTACAGATGTGAGCCACTGCACCCAGCTACCCACAAGCTTTTATCATATATATTTAACCAAAATATTATGTTAACTAGTGAATATTTGACATATTGACTTTCTAAATTAAAACAAAATAATGAATATGGAATGTACTAAAACCTAGAAAAGACTGAGCTTACATCTATTAATGCTGACCAATTCTTGCAAATGCCATTAGTAAATAGTGTATGTTCTTGAAACACCTACCTCCAAATCTATGGTCAGGCCATAGAGGCAGATCTGTGTTTCAAACGTTATGGAATGAAGTTCTTCAGTCACCATGTGACAGCCCTAAGGAAGAGAGAAATAAATTGTTACCTCACAAATGCATACTCACTATCTAATAGAAGACTTGTTTCTATATAAATTAATATATTTATTAATAAATTAATAAAGTAAATACCCCCAAACAGTCTCTATTATTGAACATTCCCTCTTATTGTTTTAAAAGTTATATACAGTTTGGAAAATCTTCATTTCCCCAAACAGAATGATTTTAAGTCTTCAAAACAAGATAATTTCTGGCTTTAAAAATTCTGGCATAGTTTTTTTTCAGTTGAAATTTAGACAAGTTTTTCCTTATTTTAATGTTTGAAAATTGGTACTTTTGATTTACCAAATGTTAATAAAAGCAATCCATATATGCATAGGTATACAGATACAAGTCTTAGTGTCACAATGAATCTGTTCAAAAAGAATGCAAGACCTCCTTCTGGTTTAACATGGTAGGTGGAGTACATGTATTTTCCTCTGTTCCCTCCAGACACTCCAATAAGGTAATAGCTGGAGTTTTATTCACTTTCCAATAAAGTAAAACTGTAATCTAGATCCCTGAGTGAAAGGTAGGGGAGTGTAGAGTAAGGGTAGAAGAAAGAACCCAGAGGTTGAAAGCACTGAGCTCCCTGAGGCTGCAGAAAAGAAGACTGCAGACCAGGATGTGCTGTAAGAGCCCCAGCTCAGGCAGTGAGGTCTCCACCCCTCCAGACCTGGGCACAGGAGGGAGGTTTGCTCTTTGGAGTGGATGAGTCAGAGGAATTACAGAGGCTCTCTACATTCTGGGAACAAGGTCAAGCTGCAGTCAGGGGTTAGGTGCTGTGTGTGCTAAAGAGTGGAAGGTCCTGTTAAAGTTTACGGTTAAGCCCATGCTTGCCCCTTCTCCGACATCTAGAGCCAGGCTTAAAAGCTCCTGGAAAGGTATCTGGGAAGTTTGCCAGACCAAGGGAGGTAACATACAGCTACTGCCTTCTATACCCAACACCGTCCTCCAACACCCCTTTGAAACAGCCAGATTCTAATAATCACCCTAAGTCTACAGTTCTCAACACGCACATAGAATTTTCAGGCTGTTTTTTAATGCCCTTCTCTTAATTATTAACAGCAAGCTAATGATCATCAGGCATTTGACAAAGACTTTCACATGAAATAAGAATGCAAAAACAAAAAACTCAGAGGAAAAGCAAAAAGTAAAAATAAATAAATAAATAAAAGAATAAAAAAACAGTGAAAAAAGTCTACTGTATTCAGCTCAGTTTATTCAATAAATATATGGCATGTTGAAGGCGCAGATCAACCGTTTGTAATGGGAAGATAGTGCTTAGATACTGATTTGAACAAACCAACTGTCAAATGGCCTTTTTTGAGACAATAGAGGAATTTGAACAAAAAATAGGATTTTATTAAGGAAGCATTTTAAAAAAATTATTATTTTGGTTTTTGTGATAAGTGTATTGTGGTTAGGTTTAAACATTTCTTATATTCTAAAGATACCTGCTGAAGTATCTATATTATACTGTACTATCTAGAATTTGAGAACTCCAGGAAAAATGTATGTATAGGTGAAAAATAGGTTAAATAAGATAGGCAAAATATTAATCATTGTTGAAGTTAGGTGATGCTTAAATTCATTCATTGTATTCTCTCTTTTTTTTTTTTCTTTTTTGAGATGCAGTTTTGCTCTTGTTGCCCAGGCTGGAGTGCAGTGGCACAATCTCGGCTCACTGCAACCTCCGCCTCCTGGGTCCAAGTGATTCTCCTGCCTCAGCCTTCTGAGTAGCTGGGATTACAGGCATGCGCCACCATGCCTGGCTAATTTTGTATTTTTAGTAGAGATGGGGTTTCTCCATGTTGGTCAAGCTGGGCTCGAACTCCCGACCTCAGGTGATCCACCCGCCTTGGCCTCCCAAAGTGCTGGGATTACAGGCGTGAGCCACTGCGCCCGGCCGTATTCTCTATTCCTGTATATATTTGAAAATGCACATTAAAACACTTTTTAAAAACTATATAAAACAAAGATTACATCAGTGTAACAAGAATAGAATATTATTGTAAGAAACATTCTGAAAATAATAAAGAACCACTTAAAATATAATAAGAGAAATAGACAAGTCAGTAAAAAGATTGGACATAAAGTAGAGGAAATTTCCCAGAATGTAAAACAAACAAAAAAATCCCACAAAGACGTCAAAAATAGAATAGAAAAGATAGCAAATAAAGAATTAATATATGAACTGCAGCAACAAACTAACACAAGTTCTGGAAAGAGAACAGAGAAAATGGAGTAGAGGAAATGTCAAAGACATAAACAAATTGTAATTCTTATATACCACTTATGCAATTGTTACAATCACTTTGGAGAACAATTCCTCAGTATCTAGAAAAGTAGAAGATGCACATTACCTATACGTAACAATTCTTGTTGAATCATCTGATTCTGACTCATCTGCTACCAAATATATATAGGTCAAAGATTTTTTGCACTCATTAAAAAAAAAAGACATGTAGAAGAATGTTAATTGAAGAATGTTTATAGTAGAACTGCTTAGAATGCTAAAATGATTCATCAATAGGAGAATAGCTAGCTATACTGTGTATATTTATAGAGCAAAAAACTATACAGCGTTGGAATAAATGATCCACAGCAACATGAATCAACGTAGGAATGAGTCTCAGAAAATATTTTGTTGAGCAAGAAAAGCAAGTTGTGATAAAATATATACATAAGGATGCCATTTATGTAAAATCTAAATTTATAATACAGAATAATATAAAGTATATAGAAACATATTCATTCATAGAAAAAGTATAAAGGCATTCTTGAAAACAATAAACATCAAAATTCAAGGCAATGGTTATTGGGAGGTGGGTGGGTACAGAGAGGAAAAGGATTAAAGGCGGGGGTGGGGTGGGGGTACCAGGTGTCTTCAACTATATTTGCAAAGTTTGAATTTTTAAGCTATTTGATGGGTGTTCATGCTATTATTCTTTATGTTTTTACATGTTTTCAATAGTCTATAAAAATGAATAATACAAGAAAACTTCTCAAAGTAAAGGACATGAATGTTCAAATTGGAAGGACCCATGAATGGCTGGCACAATAAATAAATGAAGGACCACACCAAAACTCATTGCTGTAAAATTGCAGGAAACCAGTTTAAAAGTTTCAGGAGTGCAGGAATAAAAAGGCATTTATAAATGATTAAGAATCAGAATACAAGATAAGTAGAAGACAATGGAAAAGTGCTTTAAGAATTTGGGGGAATAATGATTTCTAACCCAGAATTCTATATCCAGCCAAACTATCAGTCAACTATGGATGGGAAACACTTTTTCAGATATGCAAGTCCTCTGGAAATTTGGCTCCCTAGTACTTTTTCTCTGGAAACTACTGAAAGAGTCTCTCCAATAAAAAGGAGACAGTAACCTAAGAAAGAGGAAGACATGAACCCAGCCAGGAGAAGGGGGTGGGACTCCCTAGGATAACGGTGAAAGGGAGTTTCAAAAACAAACGAACAAAACAATAAACAAAAAACAACTACCCCACAATTGCACAACAGGATCAGAGGGCAAGTAGCCAGGACTGGAGCCAGAAGATAGAGTGCTCCCAGAGCGATGTTGCCAAGAAAAAAGGAAGAAAGGAACTCATAGATGGACATGTTTGACCAAATTGTAAGGAGTTTTCTAGTTCTGATGGAAAGTTTGGGGCTTAATTAGTGACAAGTATGTAAATTAATCAAATAAAAAACTCAGGGAAACTATTAAATCCAGAGAAAACTAAAAGTAATACAAGAATGGAAATACAATCATAGTATGCTATATGGCTTAGCTGTTAACAATTTTTATATAATCATAGTAAGGTAAACATCGAATACATTGAGTAAACGAAAATATGTTATATAATGATATTGTGAAGATGGGGCAGAATTTCTACATATGGAGAGCTGTAATAAGAAAGACATAGCTTAACCTTTTATAGAAAATCAGAAGTTAGACATATAAAATTTAAAAAAATCAAGAGATATCAGTATTAGCATGATATTTACAGCTCAAAAAATAATCACCTCTGGGGAGGAGTTTGACATAGAAAGAAGTAGGAAATTGCAGTTAGTCCCTGATGAAATTTTATAGTAGGTAAAAAAGGACCAGCAGTATTGCCATCGCCTAAAAGTTTGTAAGAAAAACAGGATCTCTGACTTCATTCCAGGCTTACTGAATCAGACTCTGCATTTTAACAAGAATCCTGGGTGGAATTTGGGAGGAATTATTCTCAATGTGTGTATCCTCATTGTGTTTAATCTCAAAAAGGAGGTGGAAAATTTGGAGATATAAAGCTTCAACAATTTATAAAATGAGCCATGGGAACATGTGAACAAGTAGGATTATCTACACCAGAAAAGTCAGGGTGGGGGGTTGGAGGTGGCAGGGTCACCTGAAAAGAAAGGAAGGTCAACACTAAATATGCATTACTAAGTCAGAATCCTGTTTGCATTTGAAATCAGAAATAATAAAAACAGTCTAATGTGATGATATGAATAACAATTCTGTGATTATGTGGGAAGACTTCCTTGATAATGAGAATGCTACATTTAAGATTCGTTATTGAGAAGGAAGTAGATCTTTGTGATACCTTACATTGCCTGCAGATAGTTATATTGACAAGGGTGGAATCACTTCTTACTGGGTTAGTAGAAAGTTATGTTTAATAAACATTCTGCTTAAAAATCCCTAAACCACCCCTAAAAGTACTCCCAGCACGTCAACACATCAAACAGCCAGTTCCTCTTCCTCAGCCCCTTTATGTTAAATAAGTTGCTCTTTCTTTGGTTGCGCTTGAGACGGACTAGTTGTCTTGAGTATAGGCACCAAGAAGGTGTATTTTTGAACAATAGAAAATCTCACTGCCCACTAGGGAGGGGATGCTTACACTATGCAAAACACGAGACAACTGAAGAATCTACAACTTCCACTTCATGTTCACTAATGGGGGTGCCTTTCACATTATCTCTGAGTTCAATGGTGCAGAACATTTGAGAGGCCTCAGGCAAGTGCACAGATAGAGACCCAATACTGTATATAAAACATTTAACCATTATCAATCAAGTTAACAAACTGTTAACATATGTTCTAGCCTCCTGCCTTGACATATCCTTCACATAACCGAATTGGCCAGGTTTTAGCTCCTTGAAGTCTTACTGGAACATGGTGGCATGGGTAAAGATAGCACAGCCATCTTGAGCCATTGCCTGTCCCCTTTGCTTCTACCTCTGTGAAGGGCCTCGCATGACCAGTGTGGCCTCTAGGTCTCTCCTGTGCCTAGATATGTTTGCACTGAAGGTGTCATCTGTGCTTGGGAGAGTAGACCTGGAGAGGCCTACACAGACCCTGGAAGTGGGCTTGAGGTCTTCTGGGCTAAGAATTCTGGGGTCCTGGATTCTGGGTGAGCACATTGCCTTAACCCCACAGAAGACTTTCTTTGTAGGGAGGACTGCAGCTGGAGGATGGTTGAAGGAAAACTTTCGGAGTGAGGTGCTATGATATTGTGATATAATAAGAAATCTATATTTGGTCCCTGCACCTGGTTACTGAGACAGAGCTCCTAAGACCTTTCTAGATGGAGATGCCAGGTGAGTCTTCTGTTCTAAAAATTTGGTCTTTGATCCTGGTTCCTGACACGGGTTCCTAAGACCTTTGTAATTTCCTTAGTGATAGGATTGTCTGACACAGAGCTCCTAAATTCCTGGAATTTTCTGGCATTTTCTGTCCTAATGAAGTGTATCTTGGTGGGCTTCTAAATAGCCTCAGGATGAGAGTTGGTTGCTAGGGGAACCAATCATGTGATTAGGAGTTGGAACTTCTACCCCACTCCCTGACCTCTGGGAAGGGGAGAGGGATTGAAAGTTGAATTCACCTACAATGGCAAAGGTGATCAACTTTGTAATGAACTGTATGTAATGAAGCTTCCATAAAAACCTCAAAGAACAGATTTTGGGAAGCTTCTGGGTTGCTAAAGACATGGAGGTGCTAGGAGGGTGGCGCACCTGGACAGGGCATGGGAGCTCCACACCCCTTCTCCATGCCTTGCCCTGTGCATCTCTTCCACTTGGCTGTTCATCTGTATTCTTTGTACTATCCTTGATAGTAAACCAGAAAATATAAGTGAAATGTTCCCCTGAGTTTTGTGAACTGCTTTAGCAAATTCATTGAACCTGAGGAGGGAATTGTGGGAACCCTCAATTTATTGCTGGTTGGTCAGAAGTGCAGATCACAACCTGGGACTTGCAATGGGCATCTGAATTGGGGGCAGACTTGTGGGACTAAGTCCTTAGCCTGTGGGTTAAGGTAAAGAGTGTTAGAATTGGGTTAAATTGTAGATGCCCAGTTTGTGTCTGCTGGAGAACTGGTTGTTAGTGGAGAGAAATCCCCACACATATTTAGGTGACCAGAAGGGAGGTATGGAGAGTAAGAGTAGAAAAAAGTTTAGTGTTTCCTCTTATAGGTCCCATCACTCTCACATTCCAGCCTCTATAGTTTAATTTCTTTTTTTCTTTTTGAGACAGAGTCTTGCTCTGTCACCCAGGCAGGAGTGCAGTGGCATGATCTTGGCTCACTGCAACCTCCACCTCCCGGGTTCAAGCGATTCTCCTGCCTCAGCCTCCTGAGTAGCTGGGACTATGGGCGTGCGCCATTATGCCCAGCTAATTTTTGTATTTTTAGTAGGGACAGGGTTTTATCATATTGGCCAGGCTGGTCTTGAACTCCTGAGCTCAAGTGATCTGCCTGTCTCGGACTCCCAAAGTGCTGGGATTACAGGCATGAGCCAACACGCCTGGTCTATAGTTTAATTTCTATGAATAAATATACATACGATAATTCAGTACTGATAGCTTCCTCAGCTCTTTGAGTTATGGAACCTGTGTGTTCACCACCAAATATCAGGGTCTTAAAAGTGTGAGAAACCAGGATTCCACAGACAGAGCAATGACACTCAGTGTTGTCCATTACCTTTGGAAAAAGACTTTACGCTTTATATAATACTTTACTGAACTGAAATGTGGGTGGTGAGAGGGTGATTATTTTCTCAGTGATTCAAAATAATGTCTAATGTTTACTTTAAATCTCTGATGCAATTGTGAGGCACATTTAGAACAAAATCCAGCAAGGAAGCTGACATACTATACACAAGACTGGAGGAAAGACGCTCTGACCAAATAAAGCATTATTAATTTTCACAGCTTGCATGACTGTCATAGTCTTCATTATTTCATCAGTGTAGTCTAAGCTAGAACACTATTCAGTCTCACATTCGCAGGTTCCATTCCTCACAGAATGGAAAAACATCATAGATAAGATGCACCATTAGGGCCGGGCACAGTGGCTCACGCCTGTAATCCCAGCACTTTGGGAGGTTGAGGTGGGTGGATCATCTGAGGTCAGGAGTTCAAGACCAGCCTGGCCAACATGGTGAAACCCCGTCTCTACCAAAAAAAAAAAAAATGCAAACAATTAGCTGGGCATGGTGGCGGGCGCTTGTAGTCCCAGCTACTCAGGAGGCTGAGGCAGGAGAATTGCTTGAACCCTGGAGGCGGAGGTTGCAGTGAGCTGAGATCACGCCGCTGCACTCCAGCCTGGGCAACAAGAGTGAGAAACTCCATCTCAAAAAAAAAAAAAAAAAAAAAAAAAAAAAAGATGCACCATTAATGTTTGTATCAAAGCCATCCTAATCATCCAAGATGATTACAGATACAAAATATCCATATTAATGATATTTACATTATATGGTACATCACATTATATGACACTGAATATAATAGCTGGATTGACTGTATTGTACTTCTAAAGAAAAATACCCATTGGAAAATCTGCTAAGAAACTAGAAAACTGGACAACCAACTTAACCAGGGCTTCACTTGGAAAAAAAAAATACAATCCGATGAAAGGTAGGTCTAGATGTCACCATAGTCTTCTCTGTCTCCTCTGCTCAGTGTCTAATAATACACCTTAGAAACCAAGAATATATTAACAAATGGTAATAGCTTTTTTTTTTTTTTTTTTTTTTTGAGAGATGGAGTCTCGCTCTGTCACCCAGGCTGGAGTGCAGTGGCGAAATTTCAGCTCACTGCAAGCTCTGCCTCCCGGGTTCATGCCATTCTCTTGCCTCAGCCTCCTGAGTAGCTGGGACTACAGGCAACCCGCCACCACTCCTGGCTAATTTTTTGTATTTTTTAGTAGAGACGGGGTTTCACTGTGTTAGCCAGGATGGTCTCACTCTCCTGACCTCGTGATCTGCCCACCTCGGCCTCCCAAAGTGCTGGGATTACAGGCGTGAGCCACCATGCCTGGCCAACAAATGGTAATAGCTTTTAACTTGACAGAAACCTCTGCTAAGAAAAATATGACTGGGATATAGGGTGATTTTCATCCAAATTTCTTGGTCATCTCTTAACAATCCATAATTTATTGTAATGTCCCCCATGGAAAACTATGTGGAATAGAAACAATTAAAATAACCCTTTCATTTAGTGAATATTTATTGAGCATCTATTATGTGCTAGACAGTGGGTTAGATCCTGGGAAACAATAAGAAGAGAGGGAAACAGTGGTCTAATCACATGAGAGATAGCCTTTAATCACAGAATCACAGAATCAGAAGAGAGGAATGTAAAATGACAGCACTGCTTAGCTCATAAAGCCCTCTGCTGCATTCTACAAAGTCTAAGGTTTTAGTAATATTTTTGTACAATTTCTCCCTCAAAAAAGTGTTGCAACTCTTTAAATTAGTTCAGCGAGAAATCAACTTGCTGTGCAAATGCTTGGGCTAGCTGGGGTGTGAGTAGCGCGTCTGTGTTTGAGAACACTGAACCTTGAAAGAACATCTGTTTGGCTATTTTGTTAAATGAAACTCAAGTCACCCAGGCTTTACTAATAGCTTCATTGTGCTTCATGACTTTCCACCACATAAACAAAATTACCTAACACCTCAGTCTGTGGCTAAAACTGTCATTTATCAGTTAAAGCCCACTGACAAAGAGCAAACTGGAGAAACTGCAATTCCAGCTTCTCTATTCAAACAGTTTTCACATTTCAATAATCACTCTCTAGCTGGCTCCCTGCTAGATAAGTACCTCCAGGGAAAGGTTGCTTCCTGGGAATGTTTATTTTACAGGAACAGATTGATGGCCTCAAAGTCTGGCCACTTTCTAGGTGATGAAATTGTTTATTCACATTGACTCTTCCCAGGAGAGAATAGAGTGGAGAGAAAGGCAGTGATTGCTAAAGTTGATTTTATGATAGCGTGTCTACAGATTCCTCAAGGAATGTTGTGAAATTCCAAAGCAAATTCTTAAAGTTAAATTCATTTTTAAAAATCTAAAGCTCCTACCCTATGTTGCACTTCTGAGGATTAAAGAATCTTAGTCAAAGGGACTTCAGAGATTGTCTAGTCCAATGAGTCCAAATGTTTTTTTTTTTTGACCTTGGTACATATTCTTGAAAGTAAACTTCCCACCAGAGTTTCCATCTGTAAATATATAAAATAAAGCTGCCTTGATAGAAACAGGCATGAGGGAGCCAGAGCTCCACATTTCCCCAACCCCCAGGGCAAATGGGGTTCCTGAGGTACCTCTTTGGCATCTCTGGGTTTTCTGGGAAGAAAATGGGTCTTGTGCAACTTCTTCCTTTCACCCAATCCTAAAGCCAGGAGCCCCTGTACGTCCTGACAGCTCAGCTCTTCTTGGGTAATCTCAAACAGTCACAGGGTGCTGCAAATCTAGGGAGGTCTGGAATGGCAACTTAGTGAAACTATCATTTATGACATCTTTGTCCATTGTCAATCATTTAATAACTATCTGATACAAAGTCTTACAACCAAAAAGTAGAATGGAGCGACCCAAAATTGTGTGTGTGCGTGTGGGTGTGTGTGTGATGGAGGTGAAGAGCATTGGAGTGGTAGCAGGAATTCCAGACATGAAATCCCATAAAGGGGCATACACAAATGGTGACCTGAGGTTTCAAGGAACTGGAGCTGGAAGAGGGAAGTGCCAGGGTCCCCTGAAAGGGACCACATCTCCAGCAGAGCACTTGACAGGTGAGCAGAGAAGGAGAAAGATCAGCAGTTGTCTGAAGTTAGGTATCACGTTTTAGAGCCCAGTTTTCCCATCTGTGTAGACACCTGCTCCCTCGAGAGGAGGCTGATCTGTAAATGCCATCACCAACATCTACACAGCCCACCACCACTGACTCACACACAGCTCATTCAGTCCTCACAACAACCCTTAGAAGTGTAGGTTAACATTAGCACCATTTTGTAGATAAGGAAATTGGGAGTTAGAGAGGCTAAGTGGCTTGTGCAAGCTCAGATTGCCTGAAGAGGCAAAAACCAACACTGCTAACTCCACTATGCCACTGAGGCACGACACAAGTGCAAAAGGAGACACAGTAGACAAGAGAGGTCAACAACATTTTCTGAGGAAGCATTATTTTAAATTATGGTGTGAGACAGACATGATTTCGGAGCAGGTGGGTGAGGTGCAGACACTCTGTGAGATAGATGGGGTGAGGTGACGGGGCAGTAGGAGTGCCAACCAGCTCGCCTCTCCCAGGGAAGGTTCTGCGACCCAGAGGCAGCATAGCAGAGGGGCCAGGAGCAGGGACACGGGATCAGACTGCCACGGTTTTATCTTGGCCCTGCCATCAACTGCCCCCACTATCTTGAGTAAGCTGTGTGACCACTCTGTGCCTCAGTTTCCATAACTGAAATAAGTATGAAGCTAATAGTACCTACTTCACAGTCTTGTTGCAAGAGTTACAGAAATCAGTATTAGTGAAGCTCTTAGTGTCCAGTATATAGTAAATGCCACACGAGGATTGTTGAAGACATTCTTAGCAGGCTACAGGTGCTCACAGATAAGCAATAGCAACTTTTTGAAACTTGAAAACGAGGTTACGATATTCTAGCTTCCTGTTTTCCTGTAATTTGTGACCACAATCCCTGGCCTCATGACTTTATGAACTTCACTTTATTGCCCGTTCTTTCCTCACTCTTTCCTAACCTTTGTGTGATCATCCCTACTGAATGGCCAAGCCCCTGATTCCCGGTTTATCTTCCTTCATGTACTTCATGACTAGTCAACTGTTACTGCTGCACACAAGACACGGTTCAATCTGTGGTTTGTTTTTAAATGTACCTAGGAGTCATACTAAAATTCTGCCAACAGGTGGAGCTCAAAGAATAGCTTAAAATAAAATTAACCCGATTCGGCAAACCTGGAAAAAAAGGGAAGAAATAAAATCATTCTGATACGACTGTATGATTTTGCTATTCATCAGAAAATAAGAGGAAATAAATTGAAGGCAATATAAGTAGACAGTGTTAATAACACAGTGGTTGGTTTTTCTACAGTGGAAGATGATTTACCTAGATTTCCGTCTCTAGGGAAATTCAAGTGAAGATTTTCATTTTACATTCATAAAGATGACAATATACTACAAGAGTTGAGCTATTTGGATTTATTTGATTTGCTTTACTTAAGACAAGTTCAGGATAATGATGCTTAGTCTGTTCAGATTCATAAATAATACTCAAGATGTCAAACTGAATGAAATGTTGCAACTCTAGCCAGAATTCCAAGGAGATGTGTGAAATGAGCTTTTATTTAAAATGTGCCAATGTTTAACTAGGAAGTTTAGAAAACCTTTATGGGTTTCTATAAGCTGGGAAGAATATCTTCCACTCAATCGTTTTACTAGAATCTCCTTAAACCCCAAAACTCTGCTCCTGTGATTTCTTTGACTGCAGAGACCTGCTTAGGGAGCTGTGCCCTGAGCAGCGATTCTACCCTGGAAGACTGAGCTCATCTTTGGTGAGGCTATGATGTTTGGCAAATGATCTTTAAGACACAATTAAGGGAATGAAGAATTCTTGGAGGGCAAAATGGTAGGGCATTAAATCTTTTGTGATGGATCTTTATGGTTTTGTGAGGTGTGATAAATTGGATGTCATTGGATGCTGGATTTATAAAGTGCTTTTCCTCCAAACAATTCAAAGATCTTTTTCATGGGAGCTGTGACTATAAAGCCAAGAGTTTGGATCCATATGAACCACCCCAGAAATAAACCTCACTGCTTCAAAACTGCATCACGTAGGTGGTTTTACACCTGCAGCACCTCTGAGCACGGGCTGTTGAGCATGACTATCCTGCTCTCTTAGAGGAAAAAAATGCAGTATTTCCTCATCAGTTCATTTGCCAAACGTCACATTTTCAGGCCCTGGCAGAGCATGTACTCAAACCCAGGTTTTCTAGTTCCAAATATATAGGTCATTGACTTATGCCTTAGTTTCGAGGTCAGCTCAATAGATGTTCTCCAAGGTCATGTCCAGTTCATGATTTGACTACTCTATCATCAACTCAACGGAGTACTCAGACTGCATCAGTTTGTTCTTTCATTCAATTTGTCTAGTGAAATGCAAACATTAGAGAGCGAGGTAATTGATATCTCAAAATAATAGGGTTGTTTTTTACCCCACATATCATAATTTTTCAGCCTGACTTCATATATGTGAGAAAATGAGTGAACAAAAATGAAGAATGACAAAGATATTTCTTGATAATGGACTGACTAAAGAAACTATGGCACACCTATAAAATGTAATGTAATGCAAGCAATGTAAATCATGTTCTCCAAGAGTATTTAAAATTATGGAAAACTGTTCTCCGGGCTGGGCACGGTGGCTCACGCCTATAATCCCAGCATTTTGGGAGACAAGGTGGGTGGATCACTTGAGCCAAGGGGTTCAAGACCAGCCTGGGAAACATGGTGGGACTCTGTCTCTACGAAAAATACAAAAACTAGCCAGGTATGGTGGCACATGCCTATAGTCCCAGCTACTTGCAAGGCTGAGGTGGGAGGTTCACTTGAGCCTGGGAGGCGAAAGCTGCAGTGAACCAAGATCTCACCGCTGCACTCCAGCCTGGGCAACAGAGTGAGACCCTTCTCAAAAAAAAAAAAAAAAAGAAAGAAAAAAAAGATACATTGCTATGTGAAAAAAGCAGGCTATGAAGCAATGAGTATCATATATTTTTAAAGTAATATATAGATAAATAAAAGACTGGAATGATGTATACCAAGATGTTAATAGTTATTTTCTTTGGAGGGTGTTGATAACATATAATATGTTATTTTCATTTTCTCTTTTTGAAAAACTTCCTCATATTGTCTGCAATTATCAAGCTTTACATCTATAATGAGAAAAACATGAATTTGATTTTATATGAAGTCAAGCAGTTTAAAAGCTTTGTAAAAATAAGATATTATAAGATCTGTTTCCAGAAAAATTCTATAGGAGAAAACATTTCCTACCTCATTTCCTTTACCTCCAGCACTGGACTTCATTTCCTTTGGTTGCTTTGTAAAAGAAAACAACAATATTTAGATGGAAAAGCATTATCAGCTACATATTAAGTTGGTCGTACCTGTTGCGGTCATTTTCTTGGCCACAGTTTTGACTTCTAGAACAGCAACATATTTTCAAACTCATTGAAACCTGACACAACTGCCCAGATTTGACAGAGAGGAGTTTCCTGTCTCACCCCATGGGATGCCACTTTAGAAACTTGGAGTTGGCATATCACTAAGACTTTAGCTTTCAGTCAACATTTTCGAAAAAGGAAATCATGCTGGGAACTTTCAGAATCTATACAGCACTCCTTGGCGCCTGGAAAGCATCATTTTAGCTAAGCTGTAGGTGATGATTCCCAATCCCTGAGAAACCAAGTCTAACGAAGACTAGAAAAATAAACTACAGGGCAGTGTGTACCATATAGCATAGTAAGCTATTAAATGACATTACAGGGGAAGAAGACTTACTGACACAAAATAAATGTGCATTGATGTAGATTACTGAATGAAAAAAAGAGGCAGAAAACAAATTTTATAGTGTGTATTATTTGATCCCACTTTTAAAATACATATATAATTATTTTAGAAAAAAGAATGAAATTATAAAAATGAAGAAGTTAATAGCGTTGCAAAGTGGTGGAATTATAGGTGACAATTTTTAAAATTTTTCTTTTTTTTCTTTTTTTTTGAGATGGAGTCTGGTTCTGTCACCCAGGCTGGAGTGCAGTGGCACAATCTCGGCTCACTGCAAGCTCCACCTCCAGGGTTCATGCCATTTTCCTGCCTCAGCCTCCAGAGTATCTGGGACTACAGGCGCCCACCACCAAGCCTGGCTAATTTTTTTTTTTTTTTTTTTTTTTTTTTGTATTTTTAGTAGAGACGGGGTTTCACTGTGTTAGCCAGGATGGTCTCGATCTCCTGACTTCGTGATCCACCCGCCTCGGCCTCCCAAAGTGCTGGGATTACAGGCGTGAGCCACTGCGCCAGGCTAATTTTCTGTATTTTTAGTAGAGACGGGATTTCACCGTGTTAGCCAGGATGCTCTTGATCTCTTGACCCTGTGATCCACCCTCCTCGGCCTCCCAAAGTGTTGGGATTACAGGCGTGAGCCACCACGCCCAGCTGATTTTTATTTTCTATATTTATTTTTGTATTAAAAAGCAAAGTTATTATGCAGAAGATAACCAATGTGAAAACGCTTTGCAAGAGCAAAAGACCACTGTAAAAACTGAGGTTTTGTTATTTTATATATTGTACCTGCTGAAATAAAGACCTAACTGATTTTTGGTGTGTTCCTTGTTCTTCCTTTTCCATGTGACTTTTTTGGGAGACAGACATTTCTAAGTTAAGGGCTCTTCCTACTTTACTTATTACTAAACATGGCCCCTTGTTGAAAGTTCCTGGATGGTAGGAATTGAGCCTAACAAAAAAGAGTGCTAGTTACAAGGATGTTTATAATACATTATTCTTTATTACATTTTATTTATTTGGCAGTTTATTTGACAGGAAGGATTAAAAACAAAACAAAACATACTCCTCAATACTAAAAACCAAACATTTTATCTTTTAGAAAGTAGACATTTTATCTTTTAGAAACATTTTATCTTTTAGAAAGTAGACTTTTATCATTTTAACATTTTATCTTTTAGAAAGTAGACTTTTTGAGGCAGATTCAGTGGCGCCCAAACATTCAGTGAGGCAATTGCTAAATGTTAATAAGCAGAAGGAGTAACATGGTTTCTGGCGAGAAAAATAGTAGGGTCTTTGGGAATCTTAAGAATTATGCAGAATTAGAAAGAAGGCAGAAAGAGAACTCTAGGTCAAGAGGAAGTGGTAAAAGCAAGAAGCAACAGGATGAGGCTGGGTCAGAGCTTTCTAGACATGACAAGGTGAACTGTGTACAGCAGCTATACCAAGGAACATCCTATTTCCCCAAGCTAGCCTCCTAAAATGAAAGCGCTTTTAGCCAGACATGGTTTTGGAGATGTAAAAATGAAACCAGGAATGCCTATCCATTATTGCATGTGTGTATGTGTGTGTGTGTGCCTTTGTACTTCTGTATTTATATATCATAGTTGTACATATTTTTGTGGTACATGTGATATTTTGATACATGTATACAGTGTGTAATGATCAAATTTGGGTAATTGAGATATCTGTAACCTATCTTTTCTTTGTGGTAGGATCATTACAATTCTTCTCTTCCTGCTATTTAAAAATATACAATAAATTATTGTTCCCTTCTACACTATTTTTTTTTTTTTTTTTTTTGGAGACTGAGTCTTGCTCTGTCACACAGGCTGGAATGCAGTGGTGCTATCTCAGCTCACTGCAAACTCCGCCTCCCGGGTTCAAGCGATTCTCCTCCCTCAGCCTCCTGAGTAGCTGGGATTACAGGCAGTTGCCACCATGCCGGGCTACTATTTGTATTTTTAGTAGAGACGAGGTTTCACCATGTTGGCCAGGCTGGTCTCGAATTCCTGACCTCAGGTGATCTGCCTGCCTCAGCCTCCCAAAGTGCTGGGATTAGAGGCGTGAGCCACCGTGCCCGGCCCCTTCTACGCTACTGAATATCAGAATTTATTCCTTTTATCTAACTGTATCTTTGTATCCATTAACCAACTTTCTCTTATCCCCCTGCCCTGCTTCCTTTCCTAGCCTCTGGTAACTACCATTCGACTGTCTGCCTCTAAGAGATCTACTTTTTTAGTTCCCACATGAGTGAGAACATGAAATATTTATCTTTCTGTGCCTGGCTTATTTCATTTAACATAATGACCTCCAATTCCATCCATGTTGCTGCGTATGACACAATTTCATTCTTTCAATGGCTGAATAATATATTCCATTGTGTAACACCTCTCCATTTTAAGACAGATTATCTTTGTAATTATCAGCAAAATATACTGACCAACTACTATGTATACTTAGGTACTATGTCTTCATTGTTTAGAACTCAGACCTTCTGAGTCAAGGTTCAGTGCTCTTTCTACCATTTTAATTCTTCACTGATGGCATGTTTTATTTCTCAGCATGGTTCCTAATTTCTTTTCTTTTTTTTTTTTTTCTTTTTCTTTTTTTTTTTTTTGAGATGCAGTCTCGCATTGTGGCCTGGGCTGGAGTGCACTGGCACGATCTCAGCTCACTGCAACCTCCGTCTGCCGGGTTCAAGTGATTCTCCTGCCTCAGCCTCCAGAATAGCTGGGATTACAGGCGCCTGCCACCATGCCTGGCTAATTTTTTGTATTTTTAGTATAGACGGGGTTTCACTATGTTGGGCAGGCTGGTCTTGAACTCCTGACCTTGTGATCCACCCACCTTGGCCTCCCAAAATGCTGGGATTACAGACATGAGCCACCGTGCCCGGCCGGTTCCTAATTTCAAATAAGAAATATTTAAGCACAAAACATACTGAATTATAAGGCGTATTAGTAAAGATGTCTGATTTTGGGGAAAAAAAAGCCTGTTTAACTTTACTGCCAAACTTACCAAATGTCGAAATTCTACTGAGAGACTCCCATTGGAAGATTCTTCAATAGACATGGCTTTGACATTAGTTCCACAAAGTACAAATCTTCGGTTGCTGGAGAGGAAATCTTAGCTATTTACATGGTCTCAGGTAAAATAAATTTACAAGAGCAGCAACAAAGTTTCCACAAAGTAAATGTCTTACCTTAGAGTTGAAACATTCCTGTAAAACCAAGAAGATTCTTTAAAACAAGCTATTTAATAGATCTAGGAATAACTTTCTATGATAGTTTATTTTATTTATTTATTTATTTATTTTGAGACAGAGTCTCGCTCTGTCGTCCAGGCTGGAGTGCAGTGGTGCAATCTTGGCTCACTACAACCTCTGCCCCCTGGGTTCAAGCGATTCTCCTGCCTCAGCCTCCTGAGTAGCTGGGATTACAGGCATGAGCCGCCGCACCCGGTCTCTATGATACTTTAAAGGATAGTATATAAAATTGATTTCAAGTTTTTATAGTAAAATTTTAAATTTAGGATACCATTGAATTTTGTTAAATGTTTGAACTTCAAAGTCAAATATTTGAAGTACATTCATTATATAATGTTAGATAAGTAAATTTAAAAGTTCAAAATTATTCTATAAAATAAAGGCCATTCATTTTTAAAAGTCTTACATTTGGAATTGTAATTCAAAACGAAATTAGAAAACTTACTTGTCAATTGATGCCTTAACCTTTACCTGATAGTTTAGTTCTGGCAATTTTATTAGTAGCCTGGAAAGAGATATCAATAAAAAAAATCAAAGATAAAAATTAAAAGTGTTTAAAAACCCTTTTTTATATTTAAACATTTAAATATACTATGAAATATGCATATAAATAAACCTTACATTATCTACAGTTATATGTTAGTGTGTTTTAAAAATGTATAATGCCTCTTTAGTTTGCCATGTAACTAATGTTGACATCAGTCACTTAATAGCATTATTGGCAAACATTTGGAAGTGTTTCCATATTGCTTCAGTTGATGTTTGCTGGATAATACGTTGGCCAGGTCAGAAAAAAAAAAGCTATATATTTTGGCTAAAGCTCAAATGTGGGTTAAATGTACAGATATAAAAAAATTCTTATATGGCTTCATTTTATCCTCATATTACAAAAAAGCACTTTGTGAGCTTTAATGATAAGTGTTTTATGGTGAACATACTAAGACAGAACTGTAGTAAAATATGGAAAATCCCAACTTGAATACATTTGAAACACTTTCAAAACACTATATTTAAGTAACAGCAAAAACGTTCATTAAAAAAACAAACTTCAAATGAACAAGTAATTGAAGTTCAGTATAAAAATTCCTTTAATTCCTTCTGGTGTCAGCCCATCCTTTATTCTTTTGCTTTCTCCAGCTCCTCAGATTTCTGTCCTGTGATGTAACCTACCTGTGGGTTCAGTGCAGTTTCAGAGATAGTCATTCAATCCCTCACACATTCATTCATTTACTCATGCCCTCATCCTAAACTTTGCTCATTCACTCAGCATGCACTGAGCTCCTCATATTTATGCAGTACACCCTTAGGTACTAGAGAACTGATGTAGCAAAGACTGCAGAAGGGAGAAACGTGGACGTGGCTCTACATAAAAGGAGGGAGTCCAGGCACACAAATGGAAAACAGAGAATATGGCGATAAGCAGCTCACTGGCATTAGAGAAATGAAATCATAGCTCATGGGCAGCCCAAACAAAAGGGTGGGTAGAATGTTGCAAAGGCTCTTTAAAAGTCCTGTACAAGGCACAAGATTGGTTCAGGATCTGGAGTATGTTGAGTGTGCAGTCATTGGTGGTGAATGGTGAGAAGGGGGCATAGTCACATAAAATCAGGCCAGATGTTTTTCCTCTCCACCTTCCTTTTTATACCACTTCAGGAAGGATCTGATTCACTGCAAGATGCTGACAAGTGCCATGGAGTCCAAGGTCATTCTTCCTTTTGAAACAGGAGGATGCAAAAGTATGGCAAAGAGGGGTTTTAGGAAAACCTTGAGTAAAGGATCACCTATCAAGATGGTGGGGAATAGGGTGCAGAGGAGGAGGATGGGTACCCAATAGGTAGAAGAGGAAGACAGAGCCTTCAACCAGGGGCTAATGTTCTATGTCCCTGGCCATCAGTTCACACAACATGCAAGTGGTGCTGATTCAGAGTGCCTCTTCCACTTAGAATTTTTTTGCTAGGCAATCCCTACTCATCTCCCCTTTTGTCCCAGAGAGCATCTTAGACTTACTATATCATCTATAGGAGTGTCTCAAGGAAAAGTAGAATGTCCACCACTTCTCCATCTTATTTCACTCTCCTCCGAGTTATACAGAGATGTCGGAATGAGGAAGGAACAATTTTTGAGAAGAATGCTTATTTTTTATTTTACTTTATTATTCTGTTTTATTTTTTGAGATGGAGTCTTGCTGTTGTTGCCCAGCCTGAAGTGCAGTGGCGTGAGTGCAGTGTACTGCAACCTCTACCTACTGGGTTCAAGCGATTCTCCTGCCTCAGCCTCTTAAGTAGCTGGGATTACAGGCATGAGCCAACATGCTCAGCTAATTTTTCTATTTTTAGTAGAGATGGGGTATTGCCATGTTGTCCAGGCTGGTCTTGAACTCCTGACCTCAGGTGATCTGCCTTCCTCAGGCTCCCAAAGTGCTGGGATTATAGGCGTGAGCCACCATGCCTGGCCAACAGTGCAATTTAAAAAGGAACCTGGCCTCTGCCTTTTGTTTTCAGTTCTTAAATCTTGGTGCAAAATTCATACAAAGAAACTGATTAAGAAGTTAATGGTGTCTTAAAAATGCAAACCGAAGACAAATGCCTTCTCTTTAAAAATGGAGTTCCAATAGTGATATGTGATCAGCAACCTTATCATAGAACCCTAAACTGCTCTGTACCATGGCATCACCACCTCTTGACCTGTTAGTCTGTGGTTTCAGCTTTCCAGAGGTGACCTAGTGATTAGGCCTTTAAAACTTTAGTGCTTGGAGTTTCAGGCATGATGAGAACCTTTGAAAGTAAGAACTCAAACTCATTGTTCTCAGCATCATTAGGGAAAACTGTAAGTTTTGACGCTAATGCTAATAGGATCAAATTCACAGAGAAAGCAACAATAACACAAAAGTTATGTCTTTAAATCAGGTACACAATAGGGACATATGGAAAACTGTGGTATTGGGAGTTTTTGTGGAAAGTCTAATAAGCCAGTTACTGGGTAATCTCAGGAGATGAATGTGCCACTGTGTTTCCTGGATAGGATATTCAAAGCCTTCCAGAATCTGTCCCCAATCTGTCCTCTCAATTCTGTCTCTTCCCTGCTCCCCACGATTACCAGACAGAGCCAGGAAGCCATTATTTCTGTATTCTCACTCTCCTACAATCCTCCTCCCCTCTCCCAATCTCTCCAGTCTTTTCTCAAGTCAACCTTTTCAGCAATTAATTTCATTGTGCCTGATATTATGATTCCATACTTTCAGGCTAATATCCCTTATGTCCTCATCTGCACTGTCATGCTCTTGACAAGCAGGGCTCTCATCTTCACATTTCTGTGGGTATTTCCCCAAGCTCAGAGCTGGGCACACAGCAGATGGTTCAATAAAGAACAGCTGAATGCAAGCCACAATGAGAGAAATTGGCCTTGATCATCCAGAGACTATAGCTCCACAAACACACGAAATAGTAGAAAATGTTTTTGCCTACCTTAGTTTTACAGTGAACTGAATTAGGGTTTTAAGTACCAACGGCCTCTGAGGGTGGGTTGGCATACATGGCTGTCGCTCAACCACAAATGAGCTAGATGAAAAGGAAATAAAGCGCATCATTTGAAAACACTGAAAATATTGAGACTGAAAACCACAGAGGAACAGGATGCTATCCACTCAAAGTCCAAATTTTCTACACTTAGAAGATATTCAAACCCCCAATTAAACTCAAATCTTTACAATGACTTTTTATAAATCATTTCACAGCAGTAAATGATTCTTAATTGTTATAATTGAGTCATGAATAAAAGCCCCAGTCCATTTAGTAATTTTTTTTTCTTTTGAGAAGGGTCTCCCTCTGTTGCCCAGGCTGAAGTGCAGTGGCACGATCATAGCTCACTGCAGTCTCAACCTCCTGAGCTCAAGTGATCCTCCTGCCTTGGCCTCCTGAGTATCTAGGACTATAGGGATGTGCCACCATGCCTGGATACATTTTTTATTTTTCTGTAGAGATGGGGGTCTTTTTATGCTGTCCAGGCTGTTCTACAACTCCTGAGCTCAAGCAACCCCTTGCCTCAGCCTCCCAAGGTGCTGAGATTACAGGTGTGAGCCACCATACCTGGCCAAAAATAAATTTCATGACTTTTTTTGGACTAAATATTAGGATTTCTGGTACATATTAGTATTTTTTCTTTAGCTTATAAACATGAAAATGTTCTCCATCCTTCATTTCATGGATATGCACATAAGAAAAAACCCTTGAAATTTTTTCTAAGATGTGAAAACTGAGCTGTAGGTGAATGACATGACTTAGCTTGTGGAAAACTGAGCCAGTTGGTGAGAGAAGTGTTGATGAATAAATAGTGAAGAGTAGAAATGTGGTTTCTAAAACTTTCTGGGGTTCTATTCACTTCTCCCTGAGGCTCGTTGTTGAATACTTCCCTGCCACTCTTCCACCTAAACACCAAAACCTTAGGAAGGGTGTTCTTACTTCACAGAATGGAGGATGCCATTGATAGCACTTCACTTACTTCTTGAAAAGGTTGTAGATCAAGAAGGTGACTCTTTCTAGCATGTGAGTTCTTTGCATTGGAATGGGATCACCTTCATATGTCATTTTGGTAGATTGCTCCTCTAGTTTCTCCAATTGCCTTCTCAGTTGGAAAAGACTTTCTGCCAATAGTGTAAAGCTATTGAACAGAAAATGAAAATCAAAGATAGTTTTTCCACTTAATAATAAAAAAGCATTGTAACAATGGGTCATAGTTAATAAACATTAAATTATTAAGTAATTATTAAATTAATTAAATGAATCACTTAATTTGATTTAGGTTAGAGACAGTTTTTATTTTTATTTTCCTAACCCATTTTTTTCTTGAATATGCATATGTTAAATGTTTTCAATGTTTTCTTATTTAAACCTTCAATTATATATGTCATCATTTATGAAATTTTATCAACATTTGGAACTAAATCCCTTTTAATCATTCTTTGTTTAAGCTTATTAAGCATCTATATGTTAAAAATGTGGCGCTCACTAAAGGGCAAAAAAAGAGCAAATTTAAAGCCATAAAAAAATGCCATGATTAATGTTTTCTTATGTAAGCATACTGAAAGAAAAACATATGTAACCGATCTTCCCACACAATATATATTTTTACAAGTCCTAAGTACTAGCCAAAAGTGATCAATGACTCTCTTTAGAGTAAGGTATATTTAGAAATGCTTGCCTCTGATAACTGCTTGGAATTTTATTCACTATGTGGTGATCTCACCTCAGAAACGGAGGTGGCAGTGTGGGCCAGAAGCCTAGGAAAGAGTAAGATTGAAATGGACACGGAAGGGACTTCCAACCACAGGAGACAGAACATCTTATCAGACTTGGAAAGTCCACCTCGCCATACAGTAACTCTTTCTACTTTAAGTATTCCACATATAAGACTATGGCAAGAGTGGTTGAATCCCTGCTGATTTGGGGTATGAGCTCCATTATAGGTTAAGATCTTTATTGCTCCCTTTATTATTGTTTTCACAACAGAGTACAGTGAGTTGTAAAATCAAAGTGTCTTCCCAAGGAAAATCAATGTTTTAAAATGAGTCAAACTCCTTACATTTCTTGACAAGTAGGCCTGGCAGGGCAGAGCTTTTAGTGAGGGGGTCCCCAGTTACTACATATTCCATTGTTTTGACTTGTTCTCTTAAGAATCAATTTTAGATTTTAACTGAACAGTTTCTTTCTTTTTCATATTTTCCAATTGTTCCTTCAATCAAATAGTTTTATTTTGCATTTATGACATGGAAAACCCTATGAACATTTTAATCTTCTAATGCAAAGGATAGTATCTACATTTCATTGCATGTGTGCATACATAGATCGGGAATGCCAGCTTGTATTAACCATTTGTGATTTTTAAAAATTGACACATAAAAATTGTATATATTTGTGGTATACAACATGATGTTTTGATGTATGTAAACATTTGTTGAATAGTTACATCAACGGAATAACATGCATTATTACCTCACATACTTACTTTTCTGTGGTAAGAGCTATTAAAATCTACTTTCTTAGTAATTTTCAAGTATACAATAAATTGTTATTAACTACAGTCACCATGATGTACAATGGATCTCTTGAACTTATTCCTCCTGTCTAACTGAAATTTTCTATCCCTGACCCACATCTTTAACAAAAGAAATCACTATGTTGAAAACACAGAACTAACATTTAAAGTTGAGATATCTATTTTCAAGATTTTGAAACTAGTGCTTCTTTATTCTGTCCTTAAAGAAAGTATATTGCTGGTTTCAAAATTTATTCGAGTCTTTTACGATTGATATCTTGCATGTGAAAATTAAGCATTCAATGGACGCTTTCCTTGATTTCCCCATGAGAATGAAAACTAAGAACACTTATACTATTTGTTTTCAACTGTAGATTTCTCAGCTGCTAATAAGCCATCAATAAACTGAATGAACTGATGTTGCAGTCTAAACCTGCGTTCTCTGGCTGAGTGACACTGAAGTTTTGTGTTTCCTGTGGTTTTCACTAGAAACTGCAGTCGATTCGTTTTACCAGTTCTGAAGCTGGTCGAGCCCATTGTGGAGTGGACCCCCGATGCAGGCGATTTGCTGCCGCCGCTTCCAGTCTTGCAGCTCTTCTATGAGCATGGTGTTCATTAACAGGTCTGTCTCATGGATGATTTGGGTCATTTTACTGAGAGCCTCCTAAAAACAAAGGGGACTACTGAAGAGAGTTTCATAAGAAATAAGTCACTTAGAATTCAATTTACAAAACTATTTGACCTGGTAGACAAAGGCTTGGTTAAAATTTTGACCAAATATTTTACTAAATGCTAGCTTCTATTTGCCAGGCCTTTTCAAACAATTAAATTATTGACAATAAATGATGTCATGAGAAAAGAAGAATGGCCACAGTTTAACATTCTCATCGTGTTTCAGTATAAATATATTGAATGTGTAACTCCTGCGGCAACAATATTGAATCTTGTAGTAACAAAACTGTATAGTTGCTTATTAAAAGGATATTTATATATGTAATTTATTTTTTAATAAAGATGGTTATTCATTTATATTAAAATGAGCTGACTAAAATTTGAGCCTTTCTGTGTTAATTTTTCTTAGGACTTTTTCTGGGTTTTGGGAGGCATAATGGAGAATTATAACTTTCAAAGGGCTAGGGGTTAGAAGATATGAATTTCTGTTCTGGCATTATTGTAAGCTATATGAACATGAACAAAGTATTTAATCTTGCTTAAACTTGGTATTCTCATTTATACAACCAGTTGAATGAACTGAATTATTGTCAAAGTTCCTTCTCTTTTTAAAATGTTATTCCTAAAGTAGAATAAGATGTCATGCATAAAAATATATAGCATAGATTTATTATGCATAAAAACATTAAATTTTTTCTTGGATTAACTACTTGCATACTTAAAATCTGATATATAACTAAGTTTATAATTAATTTAGGGTGAAAATAAATGTTATACTTGTTTGTGCTCACCCAAATTCCTGCACAAAAAATTGAGCCGAACTTTTAGAAATGAACTACTGATTTATCAGTGACTGGTTAAATTTCAATTGCATGTATTTTTCAAGAGAGGTAGAAAAGTGAAATAGAGATGTTTCCCCTCCCTAAAAATATTTCATTAAACCAGAAAAAAAGTTCTTGCTCTCCTTGGAAGAAGTTAGATTGAGTATGTTCAGTTGCCAATGAACTATTTTGAAATCTAGGAAATTGCTTAACACTACGTCATTTCTCAGAGTAGAAACTAGAACACTTATTTTTCCAATAAAATTTTAGTAGTCATCAAATACTATATTAATTATATATGTGCAGTGGAACCCATCTCAGCATATTAAGTACAGCAACTGAAACAGCCACGTCTGAAATAATGACAAATAAAAATTGGGTAAAATTTCCACCTTGAAATTAATGTTAGCTACAGTAAATGTATCACATAAGCAAGATAAATAGGCTCTAAAGGGGTCCAGCATTGTAAACTCATGAAGAGAAGCATGGCAAACAGCGTGGGACTGTTCCTAGAAACCTTGCCGTTTCTTCATTCAGTAAATGGAACTGATAAAATCTGACAGCTTGATTATTTTCAGTTAGTCTAAGTTTAGAAAAAAGGAGAAAAATAGGCAAAAGCCCAAATTAAAATTCTTCACTAACCTTTCTCTTGAAATCGAGGCTGTTAAGCATTTCCTGCAGTGTCAAAACTTCCTGATTCACCATGGCACTATTCTTGTCACTCTGATCTGCAAAGGTAAAGAGATCAGATTTAGAGTTCTCTCTATTCCTGAAAGTCAAGTCAGCCTCAATCCACCATCCTAAAACAGCCCTGGCCCGGAGAACTTATGTGGTAAGAGACTAATTGGGTTCACTAGAGGTGAGCTTGGAAGTCTGTCTGCTCATTTTGCCAGGGAGAATCACATCCAAGCATGCAAAAAAGGACCTCTTTATTTTAGAGCTTCAGGAAAAACCATTCTGCACTGGGTGTTTTGTTTTGTTTTGTTTTGGTGGTGGTGGACAGAGGAGATAAAGTTGCTGTAATGGATGCCTTACTATATACCTCCACATTAATTATATACTTGGTTATTTGGTAAAAGTAAGGAAAGCAGGGATCACCCTTTGTGCCCCTGATTAAATCATATTTGACTCTCTGTTGCCTTCACATACCCCTCCCTGCTCTGCTTCATATGCAGGTTTTATGAGAAACTGCCTGATAGAGTTACAGTCTTATCTACCTAGTCTCATGAACTAATAAAGACTAAGTTCTTTACTTTCCCCCACTTTTTTTTCTTTTTTTTTTTTTCAAAATGCGCTCGCCTCATCGTAAAACTAGCAGTGGGCCAGAGTTGTAACTTAGAAAAATATCTGACTGAAAAAAAAGATTTATCCTTTTTTACAGGGTGATACATGCAATAAATAAACATTATATTATTTAATTTGAACATTAAACTTTATTGACATAGTGGTGGGGCTCAGAAAATGACACCCCAAAATAATGGAACTAAAGCAGCAGCCTCAAGGTCTCTCTCAATCTTTCGTCTCTCCATAGCACACGTGAAGTGCTCGGAAGCTCCCTGATCTACCTAGAAACTGGACCCCTAAGAGGAACACAATTGCCTTTGATCCCTTCCCTGAAATTTCATTAACCAGAGAAACTTAAAACTCATATCACAGAGGAAAAGTCTGAAAATTAAACACCACACCTAGAGCCCAAACTTCGTCCCAAACCGTTGTTTGTTCTCCAGTCAGTTCTCCAAGAATACTATTTATTAACCACTGCCTGAGCATTGGGTCCATTCATTAACTTTAAAAATAATTTGCTTCTACATTTCCAATCTCCCTTTCCCTTATGAAGAAGGGCATATAAGTATCTGTACCTCACTGGATTACTGGGTAACCACTCTCCTGCTATTCTCCCATGCTGTGCATGTTAAATTAATTTGCATGCCTTTTTCTCCTACTGATCTACATTTTATTAGTCCATATTCAATCAACCTTCAGAGGGTGAAGGGAGAAGATTCCCTTTTTGCTCCTACAATGGCAAGTGCCTGTTCATACCAACCATTCATGTTCATGAAAAATGGGGGCTGGGAATGCTGATTTGACTTGTGTAATTGTGAAAAAGAGGCCCCAGAACAACACTGTGGCAAATTTCTCTACAAATTAGGACTAATCTCCAGGAACTCATTTCTGGTTGTAATGATTCACAAATTCACTAACTCCTAGATCCCATACATAGCAAAATCTTGTTTATGTAGCATTTTGGCAACTGAAAACTTCTTTAGCTAACCTTTCCCGTCTTCACCAAGGATATAATAGCTTGTTTCCCTTGTATTTTTCTTTTCACTTACAACTGGATGGGACAAACAAAATAAATATTTGTGGATTCAGGTGATAAAAATGATCATTTTAATTCATAATGGACATGAAGCACTGAAAAAGTGACTCAAATCATAACAAATTAAGTTCAAATAATCTAATTCTTAAAATTAGTAGTTTGCATATAAAATTTGGAATAAGGCTGCCTTCAATGAACATCACTTGATTAAATTTACAGTTGTTCTAAACCCTTTTAGGGTTATGGACTCCCCTTTGATAATGAAACCCATGTTTGTGCCATTTCTTCTGAATGGAAAAGTTGTATGTACAAATAATTGTGAACATTTTGAATAATATTTCCTGGAAGTCAAGGCATCTTAAGTATATCAGGAGAAGAACCCAAAACATCTCATCTTCATGTATGAAAAGTTAAATGTTTGGCCACAATCATTCATATTTCCTTCAAGATACATTTTAGGCCAACATTTGAATAGTCGAAGATGATTCTGTAAATGGAAAGTTTATATCTGATTATTTTTTTGAATTATTTTGAAATAATTTTAGAGGTACAAAAATGTTGCACAAATAGCACAGAGTTCTCATATATCCTTCACCTAGTTTCTTCTGTTCTCTTACATAAACATAGTAAGCACAATGATCAAAACAAGTAAATTAACATCAGCACAATTCCATCAACTAAACTAGACCTAATTAGAATCTTGTCAATTGTCCCATTAATTGCAACATACTTTAAACTATTCTTCTATTATTATTTGTAAATCTTAGGACTTGTAAATGTTCTCTTCCCCTTCATTTTTAAAAAACACCTAGTTGTAAACAATTTCAGTGTTTAACCACAGAAAAAATAGTAAAATAAATTGCAGTGACCTTACATTTTGACATTTATGCAATTACTGAAATTATGTTTTTGGAGACTTTTTGACATGAGGAAATACTTAAAAAATAAAACGTTAAATGCAGTACACAAAATTATATACAATATGATTTCATTTTTTGAAAATAAATACATAGATGTGTATGTGTGTGAACATACAGAGAAAAGGCTGGAAGGAAATATATTTTGACAGTATTTATCTGTAGATAGTGCGATTTCACGAGATTTTTATTTTTTTAATGCTTTTGCCTATATTTTAGGCTTTCTCCTATGAAACACATTTCTATTTTATAATCTTAGAAAATTATATTATTAAAATACTACTTGTAATTCTCTGATCATGTTAGGCAATTATTACTTTTGTTTCTGTGATAATTATATTTTGATTCTATAGGAGAAGGTTTTTATTTTTTAGAGACCTATGCTGAAGTAGGGGTAATTCCTCATGCAGTTTGAAATTTATGTTGAATTTGTTGGTAATTTACTTGGAATTGGTTGGATATAGATGGGTACACACACAGTTAAACACGCACACACAGACATATTTATATGCAGAGATAAGGAAGAAGCAAAACAAGAAAATACTCCCTGTATTTCCCTAGGCTCACCTAAGGAAGTAGATCAAATTTATCCACTCTGTCAGTGAGAAAACTCTACTCAAGATGCCTTTTTGTCTCTATGCATAATTATAGAAAAAACAAAAACTTACCCATTGTCTGAATTGTTTTATACCTGTAGTCAAATTCGTCTTGCAGATCTTCTAAGTATTTGGTATCTTGTTCTGTCATCTTTTCACAAAAGAAAACATACTCACTCTGCTGTCACAATTAAGCATGTCAATCAAACAACATCATAAGTATTTTAAAAAACTGCTTGGTGCTTCCAATCTCCAACAGCAACCAAAGACCATAATGAACGCACGCTTCTAAAGAGCTAATTCATATAAAAGTTGGATAATGTTGGAAGAACCAGATTGAACTTGCCCTTCCAGCTATTCTCTCTTTTTACTTGCCTGGAAGTCTTTCAGCATCTACCTGCTCATTTCTTAATTACTTCCAAATGATGCTATGCATATAATCTTTTTTTAATTGGAGAATATGAATATTTTTGCCCTTTTAGAACCCTTGGGTATTTCATATAACTCTGTACTAATGTATCAATGATCACTTTTTGCTGAAATCTTCATTTAAATATGCTGTAGCTTATGACAATTCAGCTTAAATATTTTTTTCTTTCTATTTCCTGAAATATGCCTATGCTTCTTCTGTGTCTCCCGTTATTCTGTCTTTGAGATTTTTACTTTACTTTTCCCCAAACCTGGTGATGTTTTCCTGTTCAGATATAATAGTAAATGTCAAGATCTGGGCTAAAGGCTTTTTTATATTATCTCCTTTAGTCTTCACAACACCCATGAAGTGGGTTATCCTCACTTTTACAGAGGAAGAAGCAGAGGCCACGAGATGTGAAGTAACTCACTTGTCCAAGGTCACTCAGGTGCTCAGTGAGAAGTCTGTGGGAAGTCCAGCAGTTTAACCTTGACCCCACCCTTAACCAAAGATAGACCCACTGCACTTCCTAGATTCAGACTACTGTACTTCCTTTTCTTCTTAGAAAAGTCAAACTTTCTACTGCCTGCTTATTCCAAGAAGTCTTCTCTAAGGAAACATATATCTACCACAGCAATGCTCTCATCACAAATTTTAAATTTTAATCAGAATAACATTTAATCCAAATTTTAAATGATTGGTTACAAAAAGTATAGAATTTGGAGGAAGAGAGTCTGAATTTGTGTCCCAACTCTATGACTTATTAGCTGCATGGACTTGGGCAAATGTCTTTGCATTTTAGCTTCTTTGCCTGTAAAAAGGGGTGTGGGGGTGGGACGAAGAAGGATAACAGTATCTACTTCAAGGAGTTGTTATAAGGATTACATTAGTTCGACTGCTTAAAACAGTGCCTGGTACCAAATATATGCTTCATAAGTAGTAGCTATTATTACTCTTCTAATCCCTGTTATCTCATTCTCTTAATGACATTCTCCATACTTATAAACCTTAGAAAAGAAACAAAGTAGTAGCTATTGACTACATGATACACTGTCTACCCACCCGTAGTAATAACAGCTACCAATTTTGAGCAACCTGTGCTGTGCCTATACCTTACATAGATTATCCTTTCGGCAACCTGCAAAGTAAACTATTTCCATTTTTCATGTGAGGAAACTGAGGCCCAAAGTCATATAATAATACATACTCAAGCTAGAATTCAAATCTAGTCTAGTCTAGCTTCAGTCTTTACTCTTTCTTTTCAGTATACCCCAATACCACTTGTAGCATTTTACTTTGATGCTAAGTTTCTGCAGAACAAAGTCTCATGGAAGGCTCTGAGCTACTAAACTCATGGAACCTACATGCATGAGAAAATGTACAAAATAAAATATGATAGCTTTAAAGCAGAGATATACTGTGGTTCCATCTTTTGATCTCAAAATTAATTAAAAGCTAAAAGAAGGCAGTATCTTGCAGAATCTTCTAATGAAAAGTGTATTAAACCAATGCCAGATCTCTGAAAAGTCAATGCTATGGTAAGTAATTAAGGGGCTTCTAGAGTATATTGTCATCAGTAATTGCAAAAGGTGAAAATACCCAGCAATAATCTTCAAAAGCTCTCTGAATGATCTGAGAGCTACATTCCAAATGTTCCGTAGAGAAACTGAGGTTATGGCATAAGTGGGGGAATTACATTGATTGAAAAGCATTGCTTTGCCTAAAAGTCAGGCCAGGCTTCCTGGAATCAGGCCCTGGGACAGGGATCAGCTACAAGGGATTTGTTGAAGGAGTCCTCTTAGCAGAAAGGACATACAAGAGAGGGAAAAGGAAGGGGATGGAGCTAAGTGAGCATGTGGTCTTCACTTAGGTCTAACTTTGGTTTGAGAAACCCAGGAGCATAACATGCACCAAAGGTTAACCCCAACTTGAGGCAAGATGTCGGGCCTCTCTCCCCACAACCCCCTGTCACTCAGTCATTGTCTGAAGGCAGCCAAAGTCTCCCCGTAGAGTCAATTCACCAGAGAAGCCATTGGCTGTCAATACTCAAAACAGTTGGGGATCCATGTACAGGCCTGGTAAAGATCTGCTCGGGGGTCCAAAAAATGTTGGCCTCTGCTGCATCCTACTCCTTAGGATTTTAAAAGGAATTTGTGCTGGATGCAAAACCCATCTGTGCACTTGATTAATGTGCTTAAGTATTCTTACTGTAGTAAAATAATAATCTCCTGCCTTGCATGGCAGATTATTAATAATGGTAGATTATTAATCTACACACTTGCAGAGTGAGTAGAGCCATTGGTTTTGACATTATAATGTGCCAAGGTATTTTGTCCTAGGTCTGTCTGATTCTTTCTCACAACAGTGTAAGCCCAGACTTTTGCATTCATGTTTTACTTGTTATGGAGGATCACTAAATCAGAAGTCTGAAAATAAATTTAAACCCTCTGCCTACTATTCAGATAATATATGGGACTGTTGATCTTTAAATATTTATAGTTTATTTTGATGGAATTATTATTTTTATAAATGGCAAGGAAATGAATGCTATGTAAGTTTTGGAAGGGAAATTAACATCCTATTTTATATACAACATGGCAGAAAGTCTTATTTAAGACATCTTCACTAGATCAATAAAATTGATAAATCTCTAGATAGACTGATTATGGAAAAAAGAGAAAAAAATTTATCAATATTAAATGAGAGATGTGATGTTACTACGGATTCTACAGATATTCAAATGACAATAAACATTATGAACAACTTTATGCCAATAAAACAACTTAGATCAAATGCACACATTTCTGGAAAAACACAAATTACCAAAGCTCATTCAAGAAGAAATAGATAACCTGAATAGCCCCATATCAAAGAAGTTCAAGGTGAAGTTAAAATGTTTCCCATAAAGAAATATTCTTATATAAACATAGTATGTGAGAGATATTTATCTTATTAACAAATTGCCCTATGATTTCTGTATACATTAACTTTGGGTGCATGGGAGAATGGTGCATAGTTATATGGGGACAGTATCTAGACTTTCTAGGTATCTGTATAAAAGCACTTACCTGCACACTGTTTTTAATGGCAGCCACTTTGTGCTCCACATTCCTCTGTCTTTCTGAAACTGAAGAACTTTGTAAGGATTTCTCTAGAGGCCCCTGGAAAAAGAATGTCTTGAAATCTCTCTGGTTTTGAAAAGGTTTATGATGAATGCAATACATACCGCATACAATTCGACCTGAGGTCTGGATCAATGTGATATGGATACTCTATAGTCATTAAAAAATCATGCTGTAAAAAAGTATTTAATGACATAAAATTTAAAGGGTTAAAATTTGAAGACTAGAGCAGATTATAAAAATACCTTATATAGGACAGGCACAGTGGCTCACGCCTATAATCCTAGCACTTTGGGAAGCTGAGGCAGGTGGATTGCCTGAGCTCAAGAGTTTGAGACCAGCCTGGGCAACATGGTGAAACCCTGTCTCTACTAAAATACAAAAAAAAATTAGCCAGGTGTGGCAGCGTGTGCCTGTAGTCCCAGCTACTTGGGAGGCTGAGGCAGGAGAATCACTTGAACCTGGGAGGCAGAGGTTGCATTGAGCTGAGATCGTGCCACTGCGCTCCAGCCTGGGCGACAGAGCGAGACTCCGTCTCAAACAAACAAACAAACAAACAAGCCCACCATACATAAATATAAACATATATATATGATCTCTATTGCTTGAACATATATGCGCATGTATGTATAAATACATTTGCAAGTACATGGACAGATGTATAGATATGTAAACTCAAGTACATGTGACTGGGAGAATATATACACCAAAATCTTACCAATGTGTTCTCTCTGAATAGTGAAATTACAGATAATTTGATGATTTTAAAAATTTTGTCTCTAATTCTCTATAACATCTATATAACTTTTGAAATTGTATAAAACCAATATGTGTAATTTTTAAAATGGTATAACGAAACTACATTAAATTGGCCCTAAATTTAGAATTGGGGATGTTGAATCTGCTGGGATGAGATTTGTTTTTACTTTAGAACAAAGGGAGTTTATGAAAGAAAACATAAAAATGTTAGCCTGGTTAAGCAAAAAGACAGTTCCTCCAAGCAGAACGTCTTAGCTACTCTAATAATCTGATACTGGGTGTGTTCCTTAGATAAAAAGTTCTATAACTATTAGAGATGTAAGCAGCCCCTTCATCTTAAGTTGGGTGGGGAGCCATGGTTAGAAAGGTTGATAAACTAAAATCCGCAGCAAATTCAGTGCAGTAACCTCAAGTAGAGCCCATGTCCTTGACTCTTGATCAGATGTTCTTCCAGTATACCACACTCTTACAATTGGTAAAGCCTTTATAAAATTCTCTTTCTATCATCAGCCTCCATTATTTGTCTACCTAGTTGAAATTTAATAACCAGCACTTCTTTTGTGGTAGTATGTGGTATTAGCAAATTATTTTCAGAGTGACTTTGATGAGCATATACTCAAACAAACATTTTGACTGATATCTGACATTGGAAGAGAACACGCTCTCTCACACACACACGTGCACAGACGAATAACTAGATATAAGAAGGGTTCAAAAAAGGACAGCTGAGAATACATGTGAGAATACCATATATTCATAAAAGTATCTTAATTTTTACCCCAAAGGCACTAAATCAAACTATATGTACTTTAGAAACTTACTATAGTTTTAATATTAAATAAAAATGATACCATCCTTCTTCATCTAAAAAATAAAGTTGTCAAAACTTCAAAGTCCTCCCAAAACAGCCATAACCTGACAATAACTAAACATGAGAATTTTTTAAGAGTTAAATAACAGATACTTTTGGCCGGGGGCGGTGGCTCACACCTGTAATCCCAGCACTTTGGGAGGTCAAGGTGGGAAGATCACTTGAGGTCAGGAGTTCAAGACCAACCTGGGCAATGTAGTGAAATCTGTCTCTACTAAAAATACAAAACTTAGCCAGGTGTGGTGGCAGGTGCCTGTAATCCCAGCTACTTGGGAGGCTGAGGCAGGAGAATTGCTTGAACCTGGGAGGCAGAGGCTGCAGTGAGCCGAGATCACGCCACTGTACTCTAGCCTGAGTGACAGAGCAAGACTCTGTCTCAAAAACAAAACAAAAAAAAAACTTTTGTTGGACCTTCAAAAATAAATATAATGGTATGATTTATTGAATTATGGAGGATGTCACTTGGAAAATTAATTACACACCCTTTCCTTTTTGTAAGGATTAACTGAAAAAAGTATTCATTAAAGACTGCATTGATTCCTCTACTTGTTTTTAGTGGGAACTCTGAATTCATCCAGGAAAATGGGATAAAATATAATCTAAACTATGTTAGAGTAAAGTACACTCACACAATCAACAAGCAAGTATTCATGGAACTTCTGTAAGACAAAATTCCTGCTCACGGACTGGTTTACACTGTGAGGTAGGAAATGGAAGCAACTGACAGCTGTAGAGCAAGACCAGAACATACAGGAAGAGGCAGAGTGGGAATGACAGAAATTCAGCTTGGAGGTGATTACTATATTTCTAGGCTAATATTGTAGGACTCTGGAACAGAGTGTGGCCAGTACAAATGGGAAATGATGTATAGATAAGATTCCAGACATACACTCTGGAAAGACATGGTAATTGTCTTAGCATGGGGGTGAAGAAAAGGAACTACGCAAAGATGATACTAAGACCTTGATTGCAAGTGACTGGAAGGATGGTGGCACCACTAACATAAGTAAAAGAAGCTGGAAAAGATTCTTTAAAAATGTCTCCTTTCTTTCTTTCTTTTTTTTTTTTTTTTTTTGTTTTGTTTTAAAGACACAGAGTCCCTTTCTGTCACCCAGGTTGGAGTACATGGTGTGAACATAGCTCACTGCAACCTTGAACTGCTGGGCTCAAGTGATCCTTCTATCTCAGCCTCCACAGAGCTAGGACTATAGGCATGTGCCACCATAGCCAACTAATTTTTAATTTTTTTTTTTTTGGAGACAGGGTCTTGCTGCATTGGCCAGACTGGTCTCAAACTCTTGGCTTCAAATGATCCTCCCACCTTTGCCTCCCAAAGTGTTAGGATTACAGGTGTGAGCCACTGTACCCTACCAAAGATAATAATTTCTGTTTCAGAAAAATTGAGTTCAAGGTGATAACAAGATCACAAGGTCAGAAAATATTACCTGGACAGGCATGTTGGCTGCAGCCAATATTCTCCTCTCTTCCCTTAAACAGTTTGAAATAACCACAGCTACATGCATTGGATTTCCATGAAATTTTCCCTGAAAAAAAAAACAATGAGCAAAAATAACTAACGTAAAGCTTAAATATATGTATCATAAGAAAATATCACCTCTTGAAAAACAACAACAATCTCCTATTAAATATGTGAAATTACTTGGGATTTGTTCCAATACTCTGTTCCATTAGAAAGTTAGAGAAACTCATACTGTAAACGTAGACCCCTAAAGAGAGCATATTTATCTCTTTGTCCTCAAAAATAACTTTTAACAATGAAAAATGGTTCTCGAGCACCTTTTTAGGAAAGATCCTGAACACACACTTAGGAGGGTCAGTTTACTTTAAGTTTTGGGCAGGTTTTTTCTTTTTTTTTTTTTTTGAGACAGAGTTTCAGCCTGTTGCCCAGGCTGGAGTGCAATGGTAGAATCTCAGCTCACCACAACCTCCACCTCCCGGGTTCAAGTGATTCTCCTGCCTCAGGCTCCCAAGTAGCTGGGACTACAGGGATGCACCACCATGCCCAGCTAATTTTGTATTTTTAGTAGAGACAGGGTTTTTCCATGTTGGTCAGGCTGGTCTCGAACTCCCGAACCCAGGTGATCCATCTGCCTCAGCCTCCCAAAGTTTGGGCAGGTTTTACATAAAAGTTACTTTCCTATAAATTATCATGAATGAGGTGGTCTCAATTTTTCACTTGTTAACTGTGTGTCATGGTTTGCTTAAAGCATTTGTTTCTGTCCCTATTTGGTACTGTTTGTGTCAACTAGCTCATAGCTGCATTAGTATACTAGAGTGAAACTATATGATACATTGTTTCAGCAACTATATTTTTATGACATCTAAGCATATACATCTTTTATTACCAAGGTTAATGATGCAGATACTGTAAATTGGCAGCCTGTGGGCCTAATTCAGCCATCAGTTACTTGGTGCAAATTAAAATACTGGAATCCCTTTGGAGAAAGTATGTACTACCCAGGGTTGACACAGTGCCTACCAGTGAGTGTCCCAAGCACTCATTTACCTTACCTGCAAGGCCTCTGTAGGTGTCTGAGTTTTCTAACCTTAATGGATAGAACTAATCTGAACAACACTATCAATTTAGTCAATAGTATTAAATTTCTTTGTTACTGGACTTTTTCCAGGGCAGGATTAACAGGAAGCACAGTAGAAAAATGCATTTATTTAGTTTCCCTCAGCCCTCCTCCCTGAAGCTGGTGTGAATATATATGAAATGACCAAAAGGTTAGCAGCAGAAAAAATAAAACAAAAATCCACAAAGTGGAAAATTAACAATAAAAAATAGACTATACAGATATAAACTAGAAGATTTTTCTAGAGAAAAAATAGGTTATCGGTTGTAAACTTTTTTGACTTTGACTTTGCTGCCACAATTTTATTAAATGATGTCTGTTAATTACTTCTATTTGTTTTATTAAATGATGTATGTTAATTACCACTTCTATTTGTAAAACAAGAGTAAACACCAACTATCTGAATTCCTGCTCTTACATATTTTACAGTCTTCCAAACTCTTTCTTTTTTCTCTTTAAATCAAAAGTCTCCAAATGAAAAAAACAAAAATAAATTGACTGAAACTCAAAAGGTAAAGAAATAAAAATGATCCTATTTATGAAGCGGGGATACCATTTTTTCCATTTCCGTGTGTCGACAATTTCAGATTCTCTCTAGTTAGAATTTGTTCCTGATGTTAATTTTCCCATGTATTATTTTTTTCATGTAACCTATATTCAACTCTCCAAGAAAAGCTATGTTTTCTCATTTTTCTCAATTTATTTTAATATTATTCCATTGTTAAAAAAAGGGCTTCTCCTAGGGCTAATTTGGAAGCTCTGCTATTCATGTAAACTTGAAAACTCTTGCCATCCAAGATTAGGATCCTTTTTAGTTCTCAGAGTTCCTCTAAGAACCCAAGAATTACCATTATTTGCCTGTTTTTCTCACAGTTGCAGGAATATTTCTATGCCGATCATTCAGATACTACCTTTCAACATTTCTCAGTTGTGTTGTACACTTTTTTCATTTTCCTTTCTTACTTGAACTTCTTCTACCTTCCTTTTCAGATTCAGTTTCCCCCATACTTTGTATGGTTAAATTACTCACTTTTTCTTCTTTGTTAAGAGCCAGGAATCACCGCTGTTTTCATCCAGGATATCTTTTCACTTTCCTTTTGCATTTTTCCTAAGTCCCTCACTTAAATGTATGAACAAAAACATCTTATGGAAAATTGATCATTATAGATTCAGTAACAAATGAGCACTTCTATTTTCCTAAGTATCAAAGACATACTCATATTTACCTTTCAGCAGTTACTAAGTACGTGAACCTCAAAATAACAATAAAACAAACCCTTAAGTGTGTGTTAGTGGGAGGAAGGAAGCAGCATGCCAGAAAAAGAGAAACTGCTCATTTTCTGTAGTGTATCAGTTTCTCATGCAAATTTATTGCAAATACCTTCTACTCTATGGCTTATCTTTTTCCTATCTTCTAGTGTCAATGAAGAGGTTTTAAATTTTAATAAATCATTTATTAAACTTTATGCTTCTTATGATTTAAGAAATCTTTCTGTAAGCTGCAGGCATGGAGATTTTTCTTTGTGGTTTTGCACCATTGATTGTAATTAACTTGGAGCTTGTTAATAATGAGAGTTTTCTTTCATTTTTTTCCACATGTCTACCAAATTCCAATAACATTTACTGAACATCTTATTCTTTTACCACTGCTCTGCTGGGCCAGCTCTGTCATAAATCAAGTGTTCCTTTGTGGGTGGGCTTGTTTCTGGACTCCATTCCATCTTATGGTTCTCTCTCTGCTTCATCAATAGATAATCTTTTTGTGTTTTTTACTACAGCTTTATAGTAAGTCTTGATGTCAAGTAGAATAGGTCTTCTTTATATTTCTATATACATTTTAGAATCAACTTGTCAAGTCACGCACACACACATATGCACACCCTGGTTGAGAATTTGAATGACACTAAATCTTTAGGTAAAATTTAGGGAGACTTGGCATCTTTATACTTGTGTTCTAATCTATTTATTTATGTCTTCTTTAATGTTTCTCTATTAAACATTATAATCTTATATGTGTTTCACTGGGTTTATTTCTGTAGATGGTATTTTTTGATACTAGAATAAATATCTTTTTCCTCATTGTTTTTGCTGTTATATAGAAATATAATTAATTTTTGTATATTGATTTTGAATCCAGCAACCTTGCTAAACTCTGATTCTAATGCTTTTGTAATATCTCTTATTAATTCTAAAATTATATCTGTATATTCTTTGGAATTTTCTGCATATACAAATCATATATCATGTGGATATTGATAGAATTTTCCTCCTTTTTAATCATCTAACTTCCATCAGGATTTCATCTTTGTCCTAAGGTGACTTATTTAAAAATGTATTTGTTAATTTCTATACATAGGGATTTTCTATTTATCTTTTTTTTACAGATTTTTAGAATAATTTAATTTTAATCAGAATACATTCTCTGAATGACTTCAATCATTTTAAATTTGTTGAGACTTGTTTTATGACCCAGCATATTAATATCTTGTAAATGTTTCATGTGAGCTTGCAACAAATATGTATTTTGCAGTTGATGGGTACAAATGTTTCATACAGGTTTATTAAACCATGTTTGTTAATTGTTTTGTTCAAATTTCTGCATCCTTGCTGATTTTTCTTTGCCTGATAGATTTTTGCAGTCATTGAAAAAGGTAAGTTAAAATCTACTCTGTGAATTTTTCTTCTTGTGCTACTGTCATACACATTTAGACTTTTATATATTAGTGGTCAATGAAATCTTTTATTACCATGCACTGACCTTTATCTCTAGTAATGCTTTTTGCCTTGAAACAAAAATACAAAGTATACCACAATGCTTTTTATCACTTAGAATTTTTATTTTTTCTTTATTGGTAAAACTCTTGATTTATTTCAACATAGATATATATATTTACTAATATATCAGTATTGTGTACATATATTAAAAGGGAAGTATATGTGTAATAAATTGGCTAATGTCTTCCTAAAACTACTTCACTTTAGAGTTCAATTTTTCTGAATCTCCTTTAAACTTAGATTTATTGGCACTCATATTTTTCCATAAAATAATGTCTTCTGGGCCATCAAGCATGACAGCAATGCATATTTCTGTAGAGTGTGCACAATTATTGTCTTCATTTTGTAAGTTTTGATGCTGGCACTTTCTTGATCTCTCCAAAATTTCTCAGTAGAAGGTTTCAGACAAGAACCAGGACTCATATTTTTTCTACATATGGTTAAATGGTTTGTTGACTGAAACATTAAAGAGTTGTAATAGTCTAGTCATACCATCATGATAAACAACCACATCACTAATAGATGAGATTCGTATTTAACTTTTCAGGCAGATGTCCATGGAATCATTGAGAACCAGAATATATGGTAGATTCTCAGATGTCTATTCCAGAAGACTTCTAATCAGTCGTCTGTCACCACAGTCATTATCCATCCACTATCGTGTTTCACTCTTAATAATACCTTTGAAAAAGTTCTTTAAAATTTTTTTTTGTTATACTTTAAGTTCTGGGATACATGTGCAGGTTTGTTACATAGGTATACATGTGCCATGATGGTTTGCTGCACTCATCAACCTGTCATCAAATTAGGTATTTCTCCTAATGCTATCCCTTCCCTAGCCCCCCATCCCCTGACAGGCCCTGGTGTGTGATGTTCCCCTACCTGTGTCCATATATTCTCATTGTTCAACTCCCACTTATGAGTGAGAACATGCTGTGTTTGGTTTTCTGTTCTTGTGTTAGTTTGCTGAGAACGATGGCTTCCAGCTTCATCCATGTCCCTGCAAAGGACATGAACTCATCCTTTTTTATGGCTGCATAGTATTCCATGGTGTATATGTGCCAAATTTTCTTTATCGAGTCTATCATTGATGAGCATCTGGGTTGGTTCCAAGTCTTTGCTATTGTGAACAGTGCCAAAATAAACATATGTGTGCATGTGTCTTTATAGTAGAATGATTTATAATCCTTTGGGTATATACCCAGTAATGGGATTGCTGCGTCAAGTGGTATTTCTGGTTCTAGATCCTTGAGGAATTGTCACACTGTCTTCCACAACGGTTGAACTAATTTACACTCCCACCAACAGTGTAAAAGTGTTCCTATTTCTCCACATCCTCTCCAGCATCTGTTGTTTCCTGACTTTTTAATGATTGTCATGCTAACTGGCGTGAGATGGTATCTTACTGTGGTTTTGATTTGCATCTCTCTGATGACCAGTGACGATGAGCATTTTTTTCACATTTGTTGGCTGCATAAATGTCTTCTTTTGGGGAAGTGTCTGTTCATATCCTTTGCCCACATAAAGTTCTTATTCTTAGACATTGTTTTACAGTTACACAAATTAAATATGGTGGTGACTTCAGCAATCAGCAGTTAGACATAAGATCATAGTGACATGCTGCTTTTGATACCCCAAATTCATAATCCTGGACTCCTTGAAGTTCCATTTGTATTGGCAGTATGATTTTAAGTCTTGCCAAGGAAAACCACTCCCTCATCCCTAGCATTACCTCTTTAATTAAACACATATTATCATTTTTCCTCACTTGCATCATGCTGGAAGTTAAGTGTACCCTGCTCAGTCAGCAGGATGTTTCTGATAAATTGATGTTGTACATCTTAATGATAATACTGTGCAATGCATGAATCATTCACTCCAGGGTCTTATTGTGCTGAGATTTCTTTCATCTATTATGAGGAATTTGGCAATTTCTCTTGCCACTGTTGCTTTGTGTATGACAGGCAATCTTTTTTGCATTAATTTCAGTAACAAAATATAATACAACTTTATCTACTTGTGAGCATCTTCCTTTCTTACATCCTATAAAGGATTTTATTGTTGCTTTCCAAGAAAACTTGGAATTTAGGGTCATCCATCTAGTGACAAATGGTTGCTTCACAAATATCAAATTTGTACCCTGCTGATTTGTTCCCGTCCCTTTCTGCATACATAATAACTATTTGTTTGAATCCTAAATTATAGTGTTATATTTTGATGACATTTTAAACAGCAATTAAGATCAACATATGTTGCACCAACAGTGCACATAATTCGATTGAAGTGACAACAACATGATAGCTTTGACCCAGTTTCACATCACAGGCAATGACAACGATGTTGTGATTGCCACATGGCAACAGCAATTAAGAGGTGTTATTGATTATAATATGCATTCTATTTCAGAGATTTAAAGATGTTAAAATGTGGAGAACAGTGTCATAGAATCCATGAACATGCTATTTATTCTTTTTGCTACTTTATGCTAAATTTCTTGGCTTTCCTTCAAATTCCCCTTCCACAGCCTTTCTATCTAATTTCCAAATTTGACTTGTCATTAAAGAGTAACTAGTTCATCTGCTCTTTTTCTTCCAAATGGTCCAAGAAGTTCCAGAGTCAGAAGTAATAGATGTGAGAAGCCCTGTTCAAAATAATCTTCTTCATACAGGCGACATGGAGCCTGAAACTTCACAATTAGGAATTCACTCCTCTGAGTTCTTTTCCCAGTGGCCCTCTTAAAAATGTAAACACATTTGGAGGGTTAATACCACATTTAACAAATTTCTTCTGTATTGTGAAGGATTTTTCAGATGATGTTCTCTGACTGTAGTGACCTGGCAACTGCAGGATGAGAATGATAGGTCCCAGGTCAAATAAAGGGAGAATTTTCTAGAGGGCCTGAAACAGGAGGCATTAGTGACCAAAGGGGATATAGGATTCTGAGGAAACACATAACCAACAACTGTCCTAGCTTGGGTTTCTTCAGAAACTGACCTTGAGACAAGGATTCCAGTGCAAGTCGTTTAAGTGGGAGTTGGTCCCACAAAACACTGTTATGGGAGTGGGCAAGTGAGACGAGGAAGAGAAGGGAGCCAGTAAGGGTGTGCTGTTAGCCATTTGCTAAGATGGGCTGAGAACCCTTGAAGTTGGTATGGAATATGTGACAGAGTTATCTACTCAAGGACTTTGGGAACTGGAGTATTTTCACATCAGCTCTTGTCATCTATCATTAGCAATGAAAAAAGATGGGATACTGGCCGTTGGATTTCTACTTGACTAAACTAAAATGATAAGGCCAAGAAGATGTGAACAGGACAGCCCCACCTCTGCTGTACCAGCTCTTCTCCTAACCCCAATTTGAGAACTTTTTGACTTCTCATTTTTTTAACTACCTACAACCATACTTCTCTCAAATGTAGATATTTATTCTTTGTGGTATCTCTGGGATATGAAGCATTTGTCTCCATTTACAGAGTAAAATATTTTCATTCACATTTTTGAATTAGAAATGTGCAACCTACTGCGTACTTCTGGTTGCCAACTAGCTCTCTCTCCCTTTGCATCACAAATACTGCTGTTGAGTCATTTTTATCTTTATTCCTCGCCAATGTCAAACACACTGGCCTGTGTGGGTATCAAACTGACTTACTCATAAATTAAGTAAATAAGCCCAAATGCCTTTCAAGTTCGCATGATTTTAGTAATCTTTGATGAAAAAAAGACAGTTTTAAAATTATTGCTAAAATAAAACAGCAATGTCTTCAGAATTTAGACATTTGGCCTAAATTAGTCCGTCTTTGATAGGTGTTTTAAGATATAGAACTTTGTGGCTGGGTGTGGTGGCTCACGCCTGTAATTCCAGCACTTTGGGAGGCTGAGACAAGCAGATCATGAGGTCAGGAGTTCGAGACCAGCCTGACCAACAAGGTGAAACCCCGTCTGTACTAAAAATACAAAAATTAGCTGGGCATGGTGGTGCGTGACTGTAATCCCAGCTACTTAGGAGGCTGAGGCAAGAGACTCGCTTGAACCCAGGAGGCAGAGGTTGCAGTGAGCCGAGATCATGCCATTGCACTCCAGCCTGGGTGACGGAGCAAGACTCCGTCTAAAAAAAAAAAAAATAGAACTTTTTTTCTGACACTTGCTTAACCTGTCTATAAGCTTATGTTCTTAGAGTTGAGCCATTAGGATATGATGAAGCCTAGTTCTAGGGATGGTTCTTTGATCTGGGCTCTGCACCTGGTACATAATTAAAATTACTTACGTCCTAAGTTTTTCACTAAAAATGAGTTATTAAGAATTGACATTACAATTAATACATGTAATTAAAACTACTAAATACAAAGTACATAAAAAAAGGTAAAGTGTATTTTTCATAAAGTTACAAGAAGGCATGGGGAGGTGGTTTTATTAAAGGAAAATTAATTTTCTCTAGTTAAAAAGTGTTTAAGGATTGTTTTAAGTTAAAATAAGGAGAAAACTGAAGGTTTAAACAAGTTGTGAAAGGTTTGAGAAAAATTAATCTTATAAAAAAATTCTATATGTGAGCAAGTTAGCTAAATTTTAAATGGACTTTTTTAGTTTTTCTATAAATTAAACATTAAAATAAAAAGCATACTGACGTAGGGCCAGAATCTAGGCCTTTGTGTTAGAATCACAGGATTTTCTTGGAGCACTGATCTACTCTTTAATAAAAAATTATAAAAATATAAAAAGTTTATGAAAATCTTACCTTATGGCTCAACTGATTAAGGTTTATTTATTCATAAGGTTTTATTAAAAATAGCTTTAGCATTAATAATATACTATACAAAGGTAAAAAAAGTAGTTTTTCTCTCGAACAAGATTTTTGTGTAATATTAGAAAATAGTAAAATATTTTTATCTTTTGAGTAAACTACCAAAAAAAAAAAATGGGAGAGAGAAAGATTTTGTTGGCCTCATGCTATCTTTATTAGATTTTATTGTTTGGGAAAGTAAGTCTCCTCTCTGCCAAAGAGTAAATGTTTCTGCTCTTTTGAAATCTTTGAATTATCATTTTGGCTAAATAAATTACTTATTTTATAGTGACTTGTGGTCCTATTTGTGATATGAAGTATTTAAAACCTTTCATATTTGACAATTCAAAATCAAATTCTAAATTCAGTCTTTTGTCCTAAAACTAACTTTTCAGAAGTCCAAGAGAGACATATTGATCTTACTTGATATGTTAAAGTCATATAGGAAACACTCCCAAATATAAAATGGTGTTTAACTTTCTTTGGGTTAAATATTTATATTTATATTATATTTATATTAATGTGTTATTAGTATGTATTCCAAATTGTATGAGATTCTTATGATTCTGATATGTCTATGTTATCAGTAGTAATTATAATTATTATGTAAAATTGTTGAAAGCCACAGAAATAACCAAATTTCCTTGGCAATTGTGTCTTTAACTGTGGATGTTCTAAAACTTTTGTCATCCACAAACAATTGTTTTATGTTGATCCTTTCAAAATTGGTTCAAAGTCATCTCAGGATTCTGACAGGTGCTCTTGAATGCAGGTTTCTGATAACTTTGGAGACAGTGCCAATGGAATAGAGAGAAAACTTCCAGGACTCTCAGGGAGAGCTGATGTGTTCATGAGAATTGCTGACCCAATATCAAGTAGAACAGAAGTTAATTGCATGGACTGAACTAATAGAAAATTTAAATAATTTTATTACTTTTTTTGTTTCAAACTTTACTGATTCTTTTTTTGTTTTTCAAAGTCAAGAAAACCTTTTTTTCATTTGAACTATTTACAGCTTTTAACAACTGAGTAAAATATATTCTTGTGAGCAAAATTTGAAACATATTTCTTTCTCCAGAATTTGGAAACTATTTGTGAGTATTCTTAATTTATGGCAATAGTTATTTTCATAAGTTCAATAATAATAATCTCTTTTCTTCTGTAAGAGGACACACTGAAGACACTGGCTATTTTACCAAGTCTTTGGTTGCAACGATATTTTCAGATATGAACAGATGGCTTTGAGGAATTGGGATTGATGTACAGAGCCCATAAAAGCCCTTTGGAAAAACTGGCCTTCTATCTTGTCCTTCACAGGGTTCTTGACCTGTGATAAGTAAAGATTGTCACTTTCTGACAGGCCCGGGAACCTCATAGGACCTCAAGAAGAGAGGAATTCACCCAATTCATACAACTATCTGCAAGCATAGATAAATCCTTGGCTGGGCTTGAGGCTTTTAAAAGGTCTAATTTGAGAGTCCTTATTTTTAAATAAAAGTTCCAGCAAAGCTAATTTTAAAAAGAGCCTGTATAGCAAATAATTACTTTCAATGCATTTTATACAAATAATCAGACCAAGTATAATTAAACTAAAACTTACTGTGCAAATAAATTACTCCTGCTATGATGTTGTCTTTAGTAAAATTGGGGGATTGGAAAGAGAAAAATTATGTTCCAAAAGAAACTGTAGTATACTTGTTATCAGATTCTAGCCTTGTCTATTCTTTTTCAGTTTTTAGTATTTGCTACAATTTAGATTGAGTTCTGAATTTTTCTCCTGGCTATATATCTCCAAACTAATATTTTCAATTTTTTTCTCCCATGTTTCTGACTTGAAATTGCTAGAAATTAGAACTGCTTTTCTTAAAGCTTCTCAAACTGAAGCTAGGCAATTTAAACCTCAGGAGAAAATAACAGCAACTGTTATTTTAACAACCTTTGTATCTGCCTGCTCATGTTTGGACTTCTCAGAAAGTTCACTTGAACATCTGGTTTGAACTACAATCCAGAAGAATCTGGATTGCAGTGGCAATCTGAAGTGCCTCAGAGGCTCTAGAAAACTAGTATAGAGACTGATTGCTCTTGACATTCACCTTTGTTTTTCTTATGTTTCTATAGAAATGCCTCTTATTAGAGATCTGATTGTCTACCTAATATAGAAGCCTAACCCATCTGCAATGTCGCCTCCTGGAATGTGACACAACTGTTTAACTGAATTGATCTATTCTCAGGACTAATATAGTGATGAAAGAAGATATGAAACAATATATTTAAATTTGCTCTTTTCTATTTATCCCAATTTTTCTTTCACTCCATTGTCTGTCTCCATTTAACAACCTCTAAACCTAAATCTCTCCAAAGCTATCAGCTTGCCTTTTAATGCGTGAAACCTGTTTTAAGTTTCAAAGTGGGGACTAAAGGAAATTAAAATATTTTACTCCCAAATATATTTCTTTGATGTGTTTTAAAATGGTTGCAGCTTGGCCAGCTAACAGAAGTGGCCTTGCAAAGCTCTTTTGTGGGAAAAATTTGCATCTGTAGAGAATCTCCATTAATGCAACCACGCTCCCTCCCCTTTCCATCCCACTACCCCATCCAGGACAGAGTAAGAGTCTGAGGCCTTTAAAAATCTGAAATGAAACATTTACCATCTACTCTGAGGGAGGCTTCATTTACATAACAAGGCCACCTTTGCTGGTCTTGTTATGACCAGCTTCTTATTATTTCCTTCTCTTTATTCTGAGTATGTAATTTTTCTTAATGGCTTCTACCTAATCTTTCCTCACCAGAATCAAAAGGTTATGTCTACGGTGAAAAAAACAAACCCACTAAATTGAAGAAGAGCTGAACTAGTTGTCTTAAAGCTGATTAAAATAGAATGGCTAGTCTAATAGGTTTTAAAAAGCAATTGACTTTCATGATAAAAACTCTGAGTATACTAGGAATAGTGAAATTTCTCAACTTGATAAAAAAAAAATGTACCAAAAAATCTACAGGTAATATACTTAATGGTCAGAAACTAGGTGCTTTTCTGCTAAGACAAAGAACAAGGCAAGGTAGGCTGAACTCACCACTCCTATTCAGCATCATATTGCAAGTAGTAGCTTAATACAATAAGGTAAGAAAAGGAAATAAATTCTATACAAATAGGGAAGGATGTAATAAAATTTTCTTTGTTCACAGGTGAATTGTCCACATGTGTCCATAGACACAGTGACTGTCTATATAGAAAATCCCAAAGAACAACAACAAAAAAAGCCTCCTGGAACTAATAAGCCATTAGAGTAAGGTTATAGACTGTAACATTAAGACACAAAAGTCAATTGCTTTCCTATTGAACAGGAACAAATCATTGGAATTTGAAATTGAAAGCACAATGCTACTCATATTAGCACAAAAAATGAAATACTTAGGTATAAATCTAACAATGTGTGGATAAGATATGTAAGGAAAATGATAAGACTAATGAAAGAAATCAAAGAAGAACTAAATAAATGAAAAGATATTTCATATTCACTTTAGGCAGAAATAAGCAGAATAAAGACTGTATTGTCAAGATGTCAGTTATTCCCCACTTATCTATAGATTCAATGGAATTATCTACAGATTCCAATCAAAATACTAGCAAGTTATTTTCTGGATAATGACTAATTTTAAAGTTTATATGGAGAGGCTAAAGAGCCAGATAGCAATGACATTGAAAGAGAAAACCAAAGTTGAAGTGACTCCACTCAACTTTGGGACTTAGTATAAACCTATAGTAATCAAGACAGTGTGGTACAGGTAAAAGAATGGACAGATAGATCAATGGAACAGAATAGACAGTTCTGAAATGGATCCACGTAAATGTACTTAACTGACTTTTGACAAAAGGGCAAATGCGACACAACAGAACAAAGGTGGTCTTTTCAACAAGTGGTGCTGGAATAGCTGGATATTCAGCTGGATATGCAAAAAGTGAATCTAGACACTGACCTTTCACCTCCCACAAAAAATAAGTGAAATTAACTCAAAGTGAACCACAGACTTAAATGTAAAATGCAAAACTATAAACGTCTTAGAAGATAACAGAAAATAATCTAGATGACCTTGGATTTAGTGATGACTTTTTAGATACAACACTAAAGGCAAAATTCATGAAACGACAGATTGATTAGTGGAAAAATTTCTGCTCTGTGAAAGACACTGTTAAGAAATGAAAATGAAAGTCACAGGCTAGGAGAGAATATTGGCAAAAAACATATCTGATAATGAATTATTATCTAAAATATTTTTAAAAAGCAAGAAAACAAACTCAATTTAAAAATGGGCCAAATACCATAATAGATGTCTCACCAAAGAAGATATATAGATGAAAAATAGGCATATGAAAAGATGCTCCACATCATACGTGGTCAGGGAAATGCATACTAAAATAACAATGAGATACTGCAATGCATCTATCAGAACAATCAAAATCCAGCACACTGATCACACCAAATGTTGATGCGGATGTGGAGCAACAGAAACTTTCATTTGTTGCTCGTGGGAGTGAAAAATAATACAGCCATTTTCAAAAACAGTTTGGCAATTTGTTATAAAACTAAACATACTCTTGTAATATGATTCAGCAATTGCACCCCTTGGTATTTATCTAAAGGAGATGAAAACTCATTTCTACATGAAAACCTACACATGGATGTTTATAGCAGCTTCATTTATAATTGCTGAAATTTGAAGCAACCAAGATATCCTCAAATAGGTGAATAGATACACTGCAGTCCATCTAGACGATAGAATATTATTCAGCACCAATAAGAAATGAGCTATCAAGTCAGGAAAAGATATGGATGAAATTTACATGCATATTACCAAGTAAAAGCAGCCAACGTGAAAAGGCTACATATTGTGTGATTCCAACTATATGACATTATGGAAAAGTCAAACTATGGAGACAATAAAAAAGTCAGTGGTTGCCAGGAGTTAGAAGAAAGAGAGGGAGTGGATGATGAATAGGTGGAGAACAGGGGATATCTAGGGCAATGAAACTATTCTGTATAACACTATGATACTGGATACATGATATTACACATTTGATAAAACACATAGAACATATAGTGAGCCCTAATGTAAATTATGGGACTTTAGTTAATAATAATATAATATTGTAATAATATAAAATTGTAACAAGTACATCACACTAATGTAAGATATAGGAGAAACTGGTGAGGGGTGTGAGAAGGAGACTAAGGGAGTATATGGGAAAGTATTCTCTGTACTTTTTGCTCAATTTTTCTGTAAACCAAAGATTGCTCTAAAAAACAAATCCTTTTTATTTTCTGAAATTGTCTTACTAAAAAGTTTCAGTTCTCATATGCCCTCCTTATGCTATTCCTCTCACCAGAAATGAATGAATTCGAATGAATGAAGTTGCTCGCCTCCTCACTCAAAGTTAGCTTTAAATTCTCTCATCGTCGCAAAGGTTTTCTTGATAAAAGAAAGGTACAGTATAGGCTGTTGATGGATCTAAATTAACAATGCTCTGTTATTATTTATAATAATAATAATAATACATCTATCTTAAACTAGCTAAAAATTAGCTGCAGGTATATATAGCTTGTCTTACCTTATTTATTTATTTTTAAACTACTACTTGGTTTGTTTGTTTGAGACAGAGTCTTGCTTCTGTTGCCCAGACTGGAGTGCAGTGGCGCGATCTCCGCCCACTGCAACCTCTGCCTCCTGAGTTCATGCCATTCTCCTGCCTCAGCCTCCCGAGCAGCTGGGACTAGAGGCACCCGCCACCATGCCCGGCTAATTTTTTGTATTTTTAGTAGAGACAGGGTTTCACCGTGTTAGCCTGACACCGTGTTAGCCTGTTCACCAAGACAGGGGATGGTCTCGATCCCCTGACCTCGTGATCCACCCACCTTGGCCTCCCAAAGTGCTAGGATTACAGGCGTGAGCCACCATACCCGGCCTTAAACTACTTCTTAAAGGTATCAAGTATGTCTTCTACAAGGTCTGAGTACATTTCCTGCAGAATGATCTATGTCTACGAAGACTTAACCCTTCTAGACAATCACTCTGAAAAGCAGCTGGAGAGCCCTTTGTACAAAGTCAGAGGACCTGGGTTGGTGGCTCAGTAACCTTTACTCTGTGATAAGAACAGATATCTCGTCATCATTAGAAAGTGTTTAGACAAGATTATAAGGACAAGAAAATGAAATAGTAAACGTAAATATTGGTAAAGGGGGTATGCACATATCTCTCTTGCTGATGATAAAATTATATTTCTAGAAAAAAAGAGACTCATACAAATTCTAGAATGAATACACAAGATGACATGATTTTCTCTACATTGGCAATAACCATCTAGAGCTAGAAATAAAAAATAAGAAATAGAAAATAGATTCAAAATAAGAAAAATAATTTAAAAAACAGGAACGAATTTAACAAAGAAGATACAGGTCTTACATGAATTAAATTAAACTAGGGTCACACTGAAAACTTTAAAATCTGAGAAGACACATTAAAAACATAAATTCTAAATGTGAGAGACTTGTTATTATAAAAATATTAATTGTCTCAAAATGAGTATGTGTGTTTAATGCAATTAAAGTTAGAGTCCTAACTTTTGGAGGGTTTGAGGTTGAAGGAAAGAGTCAATGAAGTGATCTTAAAGTTCATATGTGACAGAAAATGTCTGACAACAGCTATGATAGTCACAAAGGCTAATTTCTTACTGCTTGAAATCTGTCAGGGAATTTTCTAACTGCTCTGTTTAGTTTCATTTAATGAACTCTCAAAACTGTTTGTGATAAATGCTGTCATCCTGAGTATACAGCTAGGTAAACTGAGATAAAGAACTGTTAAGTAACTTTAAGCCGGTATTCACTTTGACTCCAGAGTGTTGACTTACTTTTAACCAATTAACCATCAAGTTCATTGTCTCTAAGCTGAAGGGAGGAGAACTTGTCTTATAATATATTGAAATATACCATAAGGTCATTGTATCCAATAGTAATGACATATAACTAGATTAGCAGAGCATAATAGAGAGTTGTGGAATAAAATATTAAATAAGAAAATTAATGTATGAAAAGATGGTTTTTCAGTTCAGTAAAAAAGTGCTTATTTTTTAAAATCTTGCTTGTATAATTGTCAATCCAGAAGTAAAAGTTGGATCTTTATATAAAGAATTCCATGTAGAAGCCCGGGCGCTGTGGCTCATGCCTGTAATCCCAGCACTTTGGGAGGTTGAGGGGGGCAGATCACGAGGTTGGGAGTTAGAGACCAGTCTAACCAACATGGTGAAACCCTGTCTCTACTAAAAATACAAAAATTAGCCAGGCATGGTGGCATGCGCCTGTAATCCCAGCTACTGAGGAGGCTGATGCAGGAAACTTGCTTGAACCCGGGAGGTGGAGGTTGCAGTGAGCTGAGATCATGCCACTGCACTCCAGCCTGGGTGACAGAGCAAGACTCTGTCTCAAAAATAATGAAATTTCATTATTCATGTCTCTGCTTTCCAAATTTTACGTAACAGATATCCCTTCATTTTAATGGTAGGAAATGGTCCATAGTGTGAATGTGCTACAGTTAAAAAAAAAAAAAAGAATTCTAAGTAGATTTTTAAAGATTTTAACTTTTAAAAACTCTTAGAGGTTCCAAGATGGCTGAATAGGAACAGCTCCAGTCTGCAGCTCCCAGTGTGATTGATGCAGAAGACAGAGATTTCTGCATTTCCAATGGAGGTACCTGGTTCATCTCATTGGGACTGGTTGGACAGTGGGTTCAGCCCACGGAGGGTGAGCCAAAGCAGGGCAGGGCATTGCCTCACCCAGGAAGTGCGAAGGGTCGGGGGATTTCACTTTCCTAGCCAAGGGAAGCTGTGACAGACTGTACCTGGAAAATTGGGACACTCCCACCCAAATACTGCACTTTTCCAATGGTTTTAGCAACTGGCACACTGGGAGATTATATCCCACACGTGGCTCGGTGGGTCCCATGCCCATGGAGCCTTGCTCACTGCTAGTGCAGCAGTCTGAGATCCACCCGCAAGGCAGCAGCATGGCAGGGGAAGGAGCATCTGCCATTGCTGAGGCTTGAGAGGTAAACAAAGCAGCTGGGGAAGTTTGAACTGGGCGGATCCCACAACAGATCTGCAAGGCCTGCTGCCTCTGTAGACCCCATCTCTGGGGGCAGGGCGTAGATGAACAAAAGGCAGCAGAAACTTCTGCAGACTTGAACAACCCTGTCTGACAGCTCTGAAGAGAGCAGTGGTTCTCCCAGCACAGTGTTTGAGCTCTGAGAATGGACAGACTGCCTCCTCAAGTGGATCCCTGACCCCTGTGTAGCCTAACCGGGAGACACCTCCCAGTAGGGGCTGACTGACACCTCATACAGGTGGGTGCCCCTCTGGGATGAAGCTTCCAGAGGAAGGATCAGGCAGCAATATTTGTTGTTCTGCAATATTTGCTGTTCTGCAATATTTGCTGTTCTGCAGCCTCCACTGGTGATACCCAGGCAAACAGGGTCTGGAGTGGACCTCCAGCAAAATCCAACAGACTTGCAGCTGAGGGACCTGACTGTGAGAAGGAAAACTAACAAACAGAAAGGAATAGCATCAACATCAACAAAAAGGATATCCACATCAAAACCCCATCTATAGGTCACCAGCATCAAAGATCAAAGTAGATAAAACCACAAAGCCGGGGAGAAACAAGAGCAGAAAAGCTGAGAATTCTAAAAATCAGAGTGCCTCTTCTCCTCCAAGGGATCACAGCTCCTTGCCAGCAACAGAACAAAGCTGGACGGAGAAATGACTTTGACGAGCTGACAGAAGTAGGCTTCAGAAGGTCAGTAATAACAAACTTCTCCGAGCTAAAGGAGGATGTTCGAACCCATCGTGAGGAAGCTAAAAACCTTGAAAAAAGATTAGACGAATGGCTAACTTGAATGAAGTATAGAGAAGACCTTAAATGATCCGATGTTGCTGAAAACCATGGCATGGGAACCATGTGAGGCATGCACAAGCTTCAATAGCCAATTCAATCAAGTGGAAGAAAGGGTAACCGTGATTGAAGATCAAATTAATGAAATAAAGCAAGAAGAGAAGTTTAGAGAAAAAAGAGTAAAAAGAAAAGAACAAAGCCTCCAAGAAATATGGGACTATGTGAAAAGACCAAATCTACATTTGATTGGTGTGCCTGAAAGTGACAGGGAGAATGGAACCAAGTTGGAAAACACTCTTCAGGATATTATCCGGGAGAACTTTCCCAACCTAGGGAGGCAGGCCTACATTAAAATTCAGGAAATACAGAGAACGCCACAAAGATACTCCTTGAGAAGACCAAATCCAAGACACATAATTATCAGATTCACCAAAGTTGAAATGAAGGATAAATTGTTAAGGGCAGCCAGAGAGAAAGGTTGGGTTACCCACAAAGGGAAGCCCATCAGACTAACAGCGTATCTCTCAGCAGAAACTCTACAAGCCAGAAGAGAGTGGGGGCCAATACTCAACATTCCTAAAGAAAAGAATTTTCAAACCAGAATTTCATATCCAGCCAAACTAAGCTTCATAAGTGAAGGAGAAATAAAATCCTTTACAGACAAGCAAATGCTGAAAGATTTTGTCACTACCAGACCTGCCTTAACAAGAGCTCCTGAAGGAAGCACTAAAAATGGGAGGGAACAACCGGTACCAGCCAATGCAAAAACATGCCAAATTGTGAAGACCATTGATGCTAGGAAGAAACTGCATCAACTAATGGGCAAAATAACAAGCCAGCATCATAATGACAGGATCAAACTCACACATAACAACATTAACCTTAAATGTAAATGGACTGAATGCCACAGTTAAAAGACACAGACTGGCAAATTGGATAAAGAGTCAAGACCCATCAGTGTGCTATATTCAGGAGACCCATCTCATGTGCAGAGACACATACAGGCTCAAAATAAAGGGATGGAGGAAGATCTACCAAGCAAATGGAAAGCAAAAAAAAAAAAAAAAAAAAAGTAGGGGTTGCAATCCTAGTCTCTGCTAAAACAGACTTCAAATCAACAAAGATCAAAAGAGACAAAGAAGGCCATCACATAATGGTAAAGGGATCAATTCAACAAGAAGAGCTAACTATCCTAAACATATATGCACCCAATATAGGAGCACCCAGATTCATAAAGCAAGTCCTGAGAGACCTACAGAGACTTAGACTCCCACACAATAATAACTTTATTTTTAAAGTTGGAGACTTTAACACCCCACTGTCAATATTAGACAGATCAACGAGACAGGTTAACAAGGATATCCAGGAACTGAACTCAGCTCTGCAACAAGCAGACCTAACAGACATCTACAGAACTCTCCACCCCAAACCAACAGAATATACATTCTTCTCAGCACCACATCGCACTTATTCCAAAATTGACCACATAGTTGGAAGTAAAACACTCCTCAGCAAATGTAAAAGAACAGAAATCACAACAAACTATCTCTCAGACCACAGCGCAATCAAATTAGAACTCAGGATTAAGAAACTCACTCAAAACCGCACAACTACATGGAAACTGAACAACATGCTCCTGAATGGACACTGGGTAAATAATGAAATGAAGGCAGAAATAAAGATGTTCTTTGAAACCAATGAGAACAAAGACACAACATACCAGAATCTCTGGGACACATTTAAAGCAGTGTGTAGAGGGAAATTTATAGCACTAAATGCTCACAAGATAAAGCAGGAAAGATCTAAAATCGATACCCTAACATCACAATTAAAAGAACTAGAGAAGCAAGAGCAAACAAATTCAAAAGCTAGCAGAAGGCAAGAAATAACTAAGATCAGAGCAGAACTGAAAGAGATAGAGACACACACAAAAAAATCCTTCAAAAAGTCAATGAATCCAGGAGCTGGTTTTTTGAAAAGATCAACAAAATTGATAGATTGCTAGCACGACAAATATAAAAGAAAAGAGAGAAGAATCATACAGATGCAATAAAAAATGATAAAGGGGATATCACCACCAATACCACAGAAATACAAACTACCATCAGAGAATACTATAAACACCTCTACACAAATGAACTAGAAAATCTAGAAGAAATGGATAAATTCCTTGACACATACACCCTGCCAAGACTAAACCAGGAAGAAGTTGAATCCCTGAATAGACCAATAACAGGCTCTGAAATCAAGGAAATAATTAATAGCCTACCAACCAAAAAAAGCCCAGGACCAGAGGGATTCATAGCCAAATTCTACCAGAGGTACAAAGAGGAGCTGGTACCATTCCTTCTGAAACTATTCCAATCAATAGAAAGAGAGGGAATCCTCCCTAATTCATTTTATGAGGCCAGCATCATCCTGATACCAAAGCCTGGCAGAGACACAACAAAAAAAGAGAATTTTAGACCAATATTTCTGATGAACATTGATGCGAAAATCCTCAATAAACTACTGGCAAACTGAATCCAGCAGCACATCAAAAAGCTTATCCACCACGATCAAGTTGGCTTCATCCCTGGGATGCAAGGCTGGTTCAACATATGCAAATCGATAAACATAATCCATCACACAAACAGAACCAGTGACAAAAACCACATGATTATCTCAACAGATGCAGAGAAGGCCTTTCACAAAATTCCACAGCCCTTCATGTGAAAAACTCTCAATAAACTAGGTATTGATGGAATGTATCTCAAAATAATAAGAGCTATTTATGAAAAACCTACAGCCAATATCATACTAAACGGGCAAAAACTGGAAGCATTCCCTTTGAAAACCAGCACGAGACAAGAATGCCCTCTCTCACCACTCCTATTCAACACAGTGTTGGAAGTTCTGGCCAGGGCAATCAGGCAAGATAACGAAATTAAGGGGATTCAATTAGGAAAAAAGGAAGTCAAATTGTCCCTGTTTGCAGATAACATGATTGTATATTTAGAAAACCCCATCGTCTCAGCCCAAAACCTCCTTAAGCTGATAAGCAACTTCAGCAAAGTCTCAGGATACAAAATCAATGTGCAAAAATCACAAGCATTCTTATACACCAATAACAGACAAACAGAGAGCCAAATCATGAGTGAACTCCCATTCCCAATTGCTACAAAGAGAATAAAATATCTAGGAATCCAACTTACAAGGGATGTGAAGGACCTCTTCAAGGAAAAACACAAACCACTGCTCGACGAAATAAAAGAGAACACAAACAAATGGAAGAACATTCCATGCTCATGGATAGGAAGAATCAATATCGTGAAAATGGCCATACTGCCCAATATAATTTATAGATTCAATGCCATCCCCATCAAGCTACCAAAGACTTTTTTCACAGAATTGGAAAAACTACTTTGAAGTTTTTATGGAACCAAAAAAGAGCCCGCATTGCCAAGTCAATCCTAAACAAAAAGAACAAAGCTGGAGGCATCATGCTACCTGACTTCAAACTATACTACAAGGCTACAGTAACCAAAACAGCATGGTACTGGTACCAAAACAGAGATATAGACCAATGGAACAGAACAGAGGCCTCAGAAATAACACCACACATCTACAACCATCTGATCTTTGACAAACCTGAGAAAAACAAGAAATGGGGAAAGGATTCCCTATTTAATAAATGGTGCTGGGAAAACTGGCTAGCCATATGTAGAAAACTAAAGCTGGATCCCTTCCTTACACCTTACACAAAAATTAATTCAAGATGGATTAAAGACTTAAATGTTAGACCTAAAACCATAAAAACCCTAGAAGAAAACCTAGGCAATACTATTCAGGACATAGGCATGAGCAAGTACTTCATGACTCAAACACCAAAAGCAATGGCAACAAAAGCCAAAATAGACAAATGGGATCTAATTAAACTACAGGCTTCAGCACAGCAAAAGACACTACCATCAGAGTGAACAGGCAATGGGAGAAAAGTTTTGCAATCTACCCATCTGACAAAGGGCTAATATCCAGAATCTACAAAGAACTTAAACAAATTTACAAGAAAAAAAAACCAACCAACCTATCAAAAAGTGGGCAAAGGATATGAACAGACACTTCTCAAAAGAAGACATTTATGCAGCCAACAGACACATGAAAAAATGCTCATTATCACTAGTTGTCAGAGAAATCCAAATCAAAACCACAATGAGATACCATCTCACACCAGTTAGAATTGCAATCATTAAAAAGTCAGGAAACAACAGATGCTGGAGAGGATGTGGAGAAATAGGAACACTTTTACACTGTTTGTGGGAGTGTAAACTAGTTCAACCATTGTGGAAGACAGTGTGGCGATTCCTCAAGGATCTAGAACTAGAAATACCATTTGACCCAGCGATCCCATTACTGGGTATACATCCAAAGGATTATAAATCATTCTACTATAAAGACACATGCACACGTGTGTTTACTGTGGCACTATTCACAATAGCAAAAACTTGGAACCAACCCAAATGTCCATCAATGATAGACTGGATTAAGAAAATGTGGCACATATATACCATGGAATACTATGCAGCCATAAAAAAGGATGAGTTCATGTCCTTTGCAGGGACATGGATGAAGCTGGAAACCCTCATTCTGAGCAAACCAGCACAAGGACAGAAAACCAAACACCACATGTTCTCATAGGTGGGAACTGAACAATGAGAACACTTGGACACAGGGCGGGGAACATCACACATGGGTGCCAGTCTTGGGGTGGGGGCCGGGGGAGGGATAGCATTAGGAGAAATACCTAATGTAAATGACGAGTTAATGGGTGCAGCAAACAAACATGGCACATGTTTACCTATGTAACAAACCTGCACGTTGTGCACATGTACCCTAGAACTTAAAGTATAATTTAAAAAATAAATCTTAGAATAGAATTTAGGAAAACAAAATATCTAAGGATCGAGGAGATCTTTTAAGCCAGGATAGAATCCCTAGAAACTATACAAAAAAGATGCACTTTCACTACATTTAAATATTTTTGTGTGGAAAAAGATGTCATAAAGCCTAAAGACATATTATAGACTTAGGAGAACATTAGTAATTCATAAAAAATAATTATTAATATATAAAATATTCTTTTAAGTAATATTTTTAATGTAGATAAGAGCCCTTTGAAATTGATTTAAAATGCCTGATAGAAGGAAGTGAATGGGAAATTCACAAAAGAATACATCCAAATGACCAATAAATGTGGGAAAGGATGCCCCATCTCCCAAATAGTTAGGAAAAAAGCAAATTTAAAATAAAGACAGAGATAGTATTTCCCAAAAAGTCAGGTTGACAAAAATAAAAAAGAATGATAATATCTATTGTTAATGAAGATATGGGGATGAGGGTCCTAGTACACTTTGCTGATGGAACTGTGAATTTTACAACCTATTAGGAAAGAAATCTCAAAATATCAGAATTTAAAATGCTTATATTTTGACTAGCAAGTCCATATCTAGGAATCCATCCAATAAAAATAAAAGCACTGGCCCATAATAATATATGTACAAGATCGTTTGTTTCAATCCTGTTTATAGTGGAGAACCAAAAGTAAAGTAATTTCTCATCTAACAGGGATGGTTCAATAAACTGTAACACATTTCCTACCATTAAAATGGAGGGATTTCTGTTACGTAAAATTTGGAAAGCAGAGATATGAATAATAAAATTTCATTTTTGTAAATGACAAAATATTTCATCATTTACAAAATTTCATAAACAACACACATGTACACATTATATTTTTAAAAATATCCACAAATTATATCTTTTCCATTTTTTTCCATTTTTATTTAATTAGGTAAACATAGATACACATATGGAAAGGTTCACACTTGACTGTTAATACGGATGTCTTTGAAGGTAGTGGTGTGGATGGAGGTAAGGAAAAAAGAAGTGGGATAAAAAGAAGTTTGTAATTAAAAAGCTACATGTATATTATGATCTACTTTATGGAAAATTACATGAGTGTGTATGCAGTAAAAGTATGAAAAGTTGGTGACCAAAATGTTAATAGTGGTTATCTTATTTCAGTGGAATTTCAGGGGATTTTTTTTCTTTCTTCTTAGACTTTTCATTATCATTTGACTTTTTACAAAGATTTGCATTATTTAAGCAATCAGAAAGAAATTATAAAGCTATTTTCATCATAACAAAAATTCCATTGGTAAAAAATTTTTAATTAATTTACATAATGTGCAAAAATTAGAAAATTAGAACTCCTAAAGCAAGAAGTGGAAAAATTATTCCAATCTGAAGAAATAAAACCATTCTCTGATGACTGCTGACATTTACGAAGCAACTCTCAAAGTGTCCCTGTACATTTTCCATGGAACAAAAATCTGAAGTCTATTTGAACTATGTGGCGGAAGTATTAATACCGTCCAACTACTGAGAGAAATGGAAACTGAAGGGATTGCTAATAGCTCATAAACAATAGGTTAGCGCCTAAATGACCCGTAAGTCAACTGTGGGCATGAGGATGGCCCAGAACCACTTCCAAAACTGTGAATCCTGGATTTGACTTGCAGGTACACAGAGTCATACCGCAAAGTAGTCTTTGGGCTGGTCTGAAATGCAAATCACTGTCATGTTTATATTTAAAATGACCTTTTCTTTCAGGGCCACTCTGGAAAAGATGCTAACACCTACAGGTGAGATTTGTTCCCCAAGCATCAGAGCCTTTTCTGCTTACTGGTTTTGGCTTCCATGACTATTTCTACCTCCAGCTTCCATCAAAATGTATTTGTCTCATCCCCTCAGTACCTTGCTCATTTGGAGCTAATTAGTCAGATATATCAACCTCTTTCTCCTATCATCTTGGATAAAAATCTTATTTATATATTTGATTATATAAATATGTAATTTTTTATATTCACATATAAATTTTTATATTCATATTATATAAAATATATGTGACTTTATATATTTTATAACCTCTGGGCTTGATAATGGACTTGACACCCTGAATCAGCAGCATGTCAACAGGCTTTTGTGGTGACATGGTTTACCCAGAAAAATGGACTGGAAAGTCCTCAGGACTGGAGGTCCGAAGTCAAGGGTTTTAGAACATGTACTGTCATTAACTATGACATTTTTTTTTAAGCCACTTTTACCTCTTTTAGCTTTGATTTCCGCTCCTGTCAAATCTCTACCCTGCCTTTCTCTCCTAAGGGGTGAGAAACAAGTGGGATGTTCATAAGATCATAATCATTAAATAAAGGTCAATTATATTTTTCTCTGATTGCAGAAGTAAAAATGTTCTTTGCAGAAAAAATTTTAAATGCAAAATCCCTAAGATTGATAAAAATAACTGAGAAAAAATCACCCACAATCACAAGATCTGGAGATAACCTATGTTAACATTTTTATATGGACCCATTTGGTTTATTATCTCTGTGTGCATTTTTATAAACACTTATGTACACTTTAAAAATAAAATTCAGAGCATACTCAATGTATCATTATATATCTGCTTTTTCATTTAATTGGTACTTAATACTTCAATGTCATTAAAAATTGTTCGACAACACTATTTTATTTTATTTTGTTTAAAAGGAATAAAAGAATGGCCACTCCATAAGCCAACAATATTTTAGCCCTAGTCTAATTTAATAAATTATCCACTGTTGATGTTTAGATTACTTATAATTTTTTTGCCATCAAAATGCAATGACATATTCTTGGTTAAACCAACCTCATTAAATTATAGCATTAACATCTCATTCATTTATGGTTTTCATATTTGATGTCAGAAAACTGAGAAATGTGTTAAAGTGTCCTACTACTGGTCATTTTTTTTTGTATTTATAATTTTTACTTTATATGTTGAGTTAATATTACTTGGTACATACTGACCCATGAGTGTTCAATTGAAATTGTCACTTTATAGTATTACAATATTTGTTCTGGTTATTGATTTTGGGCTGGAATTTGACATTATCTAACAACCTCATAGTTATGAGCATTAACTGAGATATGACATGTCCTTAGGACTAAATTAATGTCAGCTATTGTATCTCATTTCTATTTTATTATTATGTCATTATTACATAACATATAGTGACCATATTTTCTTTTTGTCTTCATTAGTTTGATATATCTTTGCCCAACCTTTTTTTTTTTTTTGAACTCCTCTAATACCTCATTTTAGGTGGTTAGTTTTAAACAGAATGTGGTTGAATTCTGTATTAATTTTAACCCATTTATGCCTGAGGTTGCAATTTTTTGAATTTTGGCAATCAGACATTGGCGATGACCTTTAGCAGCAGGATATAAATAACTCCCACATGCTTACCGTTCCAATAATGGAACACTAGGCATAAATGGGCTATGTGAGAATTTTCTTATTTTTAACAAGAGCACTTAATCCACTCACATGCATTGCTATATTTAATTTAGTTTTACTTCGTCATTTGTTTTATTATTATTGTCTTTGCTTGTGGTTTGCTATATAGTCTATTCCTCTTTTGCTCTTCTCTACTATTTTGGAAGGTATTTATATAGTTGTTCATGCTTATAGCAATTACCATTGAATTTATTGAAATTATTTTTGCACCCAGTGGTTCACAACCTTGTTTTTACAACAACTGCCAGGTAGATAACCTCACATTCACTACAAGCTCCTCCCGCTGTGGGCTACTGTGCTAATAGAATGAGCTCTGCTTTATGCACAGTTCCCACTTGCACTATCTCCAATTTCACCGTTTTTCACTTGCACCAATCACAATTCACAATGAATGCATGAAACTGCCATTGAAACCTAATTTTTGTTGTCTGGAGTAAAAGTTAAGCTTTTGAAATTTCCATGTCAAGATAAGGCATTGAACATACTTTAATTGAATCTCTCAAGTCGACAGTGACAGGCTTTCTTTGTTAACTCAGGAAAGTCTTCCAAAATATACTTTCAGTTGTCATTTTTGTTCCTTCCATTCGCTTTTGTGTCCATCAATTATCTGTGTGTTGGCGCTTCTGTGTCTCATTTCCATATACTATTTTCTTTCATATCACTACATGATGTGCTTTAACTGTGACATCCATGTATCATCCATGTTCCATGGTATCAACTATGCCCAACATGGATTTAATTCTACTCCTGTTTCTTTCTTTCTCACCATAGAATCCTTTCCTATCCTAGTCACAACCTCTCTCTTTTCACATCATTCTTTAAAATTTTTCATTTTAACCCATTTGCTCCTTTTAGTTTTCTGCTCCTATTTTAAACACACAGTTTCCTGGAAATCCTTCATAAGATGGAGTAGATCATTTTCAGAAGTATGTTGTTCTTCTAATTTTTAAGCTATGTTTGCCAGTCTCTTGTTACGTGGAATTTTTTTAGGTCCCAGGCATGTGTCTTTAGGTAATGTTTTCGTTAGAGGAAAGTGGGGTTGACTTCCTGACTTAGTTTTACTTGCCTGATATTGATGTAGATTTCACTCATGTTCTGGCACTTAAATTCCCAGTATTCTTAGGCTTTAATGCTGTGTGTGTTTGCCTTTTTGTCTTCTTATGTATTGTATCTAAAAGTCTGGAGAAGAAATTTTTATATCCAATTATAAACCTGAAGTCCTTATTACCAAAGTCAAGAGCATGAATTCCAGGCACTGTGGCAGAAAAAGGATATCTTCAGGGAGCTAAATCTCTTATCAGAATCCATAAAAGCAAAATTTAAAAGTCCAAATTCTCTTAATCATAGAGTTGGTCCTATTTCAAGGAGAAGCATAATTTAATTTTTAAAAAATGGTAGTCATTATTATGGTTACCAAGAAAAACAAATTAGATTTTAATATATGGTGTCCTCTTCATTTTTATGAGAATTAAATAAAAAGAATATACAAGTACTTTCCCTATTTCAACATACACTACAGTTTGTGGTTTTCTATATTTCCCTTTTTCATATTATTTTAATTCTTTGACTTTTAAAAAGTCTCATTGAGCTACTAATATGTTTAATGTCTATTATTCTCTATTTTAACTTGAAGGAAATTGCTCAGACAATGGGACATCTACAGTTTTTTCCCTAGCTTATCTACATTTATCATCACCCTGGTCTTTAAAAATAGATGTAGCTTCATTTGCACATTTCTGATGAGCAACCAAGGTTTGAGACTATGAGTAATAGGTTGCTAAGTGTTCTAGGTATCAAGGCCTTTGTGATAGCTTTTTGATGTACAATACTGAAGAAATAACCATATAATCCCCGTTTTGTGAAAAAATATATCTATTCATCTCTAATACTTTTAAAAAGACAAGAAAAAATATACTAAAGTATCAACAGTGGTTGCAAATCTGGATGATAGAATTATGGATAAATATTTTTTTCTTTTTGTCCTTCTTCATTTTCCAAATTTCTTGTAATTAATTTGCATTACTCGTATAATTTTTAAAAACACTCTTTTTTAACTGAACAAAGCTTTGATAATAAAGAAGTTAAACTAATGAATTAGTTTTTCCCACGTTTAGTTCTCACTAACATTTATTTTCTAGGAGAAGATGAGGTAATATTGTAGATAAAAAGCTTTAGAATCAGTGTTCATTTTTTGTTCAATTACCAAAAATATTAAATTCACAATAGGCATATGTGAAGAAGATTTTGCCACACAGACTCACACTGTGTTTTTAAATTTGAAGATTTAATAGACCAGAAAACTGCCATAGAAGTCTTTGAAGCTGAAATAAAATTGTCAACTTTTGATTTTGCTAAATAAGTATATATTAAACAAAGGTCCATAACCACCATACACATCATCATCATTTTATAAAACATAAAACACTCCTCCCCATATGATTTGAAAGGATATATATTGTCAAAGAATAAAGAATGATCCTTTTTAAGTGAATTTTGACTTTGCAAAGATTCTCTCTATTACTCTTTTATTTTGCTGCCAACTGGTAAAAACTTTATTAAGGATGGGTCCTGGCTGGTGTTTGAGACCTTCTGGACTAAGACTGAGACCACCTGGTGCTTGAGCAGAAAAAAGTCCCAATGGCCCATCTTATCTGGCCCCACAGAGACAGGGTAACTGTTGGAATAGGGGCAGCTGTTTAAAAAGGAAAGGTATAATCAGAGTTGGCATTATTTTCAGGGAGAAGACCTGCTATACCCAAGGCTTTTTAGATTCATCACAGGTTCTGTGGATAAAAATACAAAATAAAAGACATATTTAAATCCCCATATAATAAATAACAGATCGTGGGAAAATAGTTTTCAAAGTCTAACACTGTGATAGATAACTAGCTGGAATCCAACTCTTCTCAGCCCTTGTACCACTACCCTCCTTTGTAGCCTGGCTTGTCACCATCTTCCTCGTTCCCTGCTTTTGCCCTTGCTCACCAGAAGGTTACTCTCGACATGGCAGCCAGGGTGATCCTGTTGAAATCCAAGATGAATCATGCCATTCCTCTACCCAAAACCTTCCAATGGTTTCTCATTTCAAAATAAAAGCCAAAGCCTTTACATTGTTCTACCCACACCAAATTCATGAAGGGATGACACATACAGTATGCAACCTATGCATGTTTGCTTGTTCTTTTTAAAAAGGTGGTCTTTACAGCTATAGACTCCTCTCTCCTGATTATGAGTACATCAGATTATCTTAAACAGTATTATTTGTCTTTTACATTATATTGTCTTTCAGAGTACTAAAATCCATATCCACTGTATAAAATACATAAAACACAGCAAAAGCATAAGTAGAAAAATAAAAAGCCAGTCTTCATTTTACCCACTAAAGATAAGCATTGGTAACATTTTAATATATTTCCTTCCAGTTTTAAAAATTTAAAATCAGGATAAAGTTTGTATTCCGTAGTTTTCACTTAATGTATTTCCACATCATTAGTCTTCAAAAACACAATGCTGAATAAATGCATGGTACTGAATTATCTGGCTTGGTCAGATGAACCTATGAAGTCATTTCTCTGTCATGGACAGTTAGGTAGTTCCTGATTTCTAAGTATAGTATTTAATTATCCTCGCCGATGGATATGAACAGAAAATAAGTAACCCCAAGTTCTGTAGCGTGTTGGCATCAGCACAGGGGCCTTGTGGAGGATCTGAGATTGTGGGTGCCTCACTGGGATTTGCTGTGAAGACGACAGGGGAAAGAACAGGGGCTGAAGAGGGACCTTGCGGTGGCTTTTCTGTTACTAAGGAATTTTGGTCAGGTCATTACCGCCTCAACTGAATCATCAGTAATATTAAGAGTTGAATTAAATGTCATTAGAATTCCTTCTGTCTTAATTTTTCTGTTCTGTTGTCAGCCTATCTCATGCTAAAAATAAATTAGCCATCCATCAGAATACAGACGTTACAAAAGAAACCGTAACCCTTGGGATCTCATTTGTGCTTTTGTGGCTTTTTTGGCAAATAAATCACTAGGTACTTGGAAGTTTTCGAACTTGGCAGAAGACAAATCAAAACACATGCCTAATTCTGTTTAAATGTCATGGTGTAGTGTCTGCTTAGAAAAAAAAAAAATTAGGCTGGGCACGGTGGCTCATGCCTGTAATTCCAGCACTTTGGAATGCTGAGGTGAGTAGATCACCTGAGGTCAGGAGTTCGAGTCTGGCCAACATGGTGAAATTTCGTCTCTACTAAAAATACAAAAAATTAGCCGGGCATGGTGGCGCATGCCTGTAGTTCCAGCTACTTGGGAGGCTGAGGCAGGAGAATCGCTTGAACCTGGGAGGCGGAGGTTGCAGATGGTGCCACTGCACTCCAGCCTGGGCAACAGAGTGAGACTCCATCTCAAAAATAAAATAAAATAAAATAAAATAAAATAAAATAAAATAAAATAAAATAAAAAAATGTACTCAATTTGAATAGCTCTCTGGGGAAAAATGTGCATGAGTCAATAAATCATTTTAGAAAAGTGAACATACAGCCTTCAGGGACAGAGGAAGACTGCACAATCCTGTAAAAGTGCGACCTATTAGAATTAGGGCAGATCCTGTTGTTAGGAATCTTATAGTATGTGGAGAAAACCTGTTTTCATAAGGTAATATTTCTGTAATACTCTAGGTGAGAAGGATACTGTAAAGTAAATTGAGCAAGAATGTTGCTGTCTGGGGAGGTGAGATATTGTATGTTTGGTGATACATTTGGATTGTCAGTCAAGTGATATTTGGACTTGATAGACACATGTATGAAATTCAAGTACTCTACACATTAATGTCAGCAGTAGAAACGTATGGTTGCGTGAAATGAAATATAGATGTTTCTTACACAGTGTCCAGTGAGATTAGTAAGATGAAAAATGGTTAAAAGCTTCAGGGTTTGAGGTGTCTTGTTTTGTGAGGTCTTTGGTATGATAGTAGTCATTTTATCCCCAGGGTCAAACCTAGCATGCTGACCTCAATATGTACTTGAAGCATGTTTACTGACTGAAATCCAGAGTCCATCTTTATTTCTTCCTTACAATTTTCCTGCCTGTTAACAATCTTAAAGAAAAATATTCATAAAATAATATTTATTGAGCACTTTCTGAGTGTCAGGCACCACACTAAGCCCTTAATTGAATTGTCATTTGGTCCCCACAACAGCCCTATAGTAATGGGCATAATACTATTACTATCCCCATTTTACACAGAAGATAAAGAGAGCAAGGTTCAGGGGAGGCTGGGTTTATGTAACTTGCCCAAAATCATGTTGCTAATAAATCTGAGGCAGGGTTTTAACCCCAGGTATCTGATCTGCAGACCCATGTACAGTTAAACATTATGCTATTACCCTTAAATTCTGTGTCCATCTTTTGGTTTTGATATAGTGTTTTGTTTGCAGGGTTAGCAAATATGGCATCAGTTTACAGGCCAAGTGAAAACATTCAGGACATAATTTATTTTTTCAACCCAGATTACTACCATACCTTCCTGATGTCCTAACGTATGGTCACAGGAAGAGAATCTCGATGATAGTTTTAGTTTTTCAGCAAGTATTTATTATGTGAAGAAGTCCTAACATTTCTATAGGATGAAGGGCCCAAAGTTTCTACAGAACATTTCTTTCATTGATGCCCATATTTTACAAAATGGAGTAATTTTCATGATCTCTGAAAACTATTACTATAATCCTTGAAGCACACCAAGAATGAAAGAAAGACATTATCCATTGTTGGCCGGGTGCGGGGGCTCACGTCTGTAATCCCAGCACTTTGGGAGGCCTAGGCAGGTGGATCACCTGAGGTCAGGAGTTCAAGACCAGCCAGGTCAACATGGCGAAACCCCATCTCTACTAAAAATAGAAAAATTTGCCAGACATGGTAGGGGGCATCTGTAATCCCAGCTACTTGGGATGTTGAGAGAGGAGAATCTGTTGAACCCGGGAGGTAGAGGTTACAGTGAGCCGAGATCGCGCCACTACGCTCCAGCCTGGGTGACAGATTGAAACTCTATCTCAAAAAAAAAAAAAAGACGTTATCATTGTTTACCTTACAGAGAAGTAACAGAAAATAAGAGAACTTAGTGAGAAAAAAGTAAACATTATAACTATAAACTCGATAGTGACAGTCTTGTTCATTAAAGATGAACATCCTTTTGAAAACAGATTCTTTCACTTGCACATATGATGCGTTGAGAAACAGATTCAGAAACTGACTGTGAAGTGTTCAGGACACATAAGTCAAATATGAAATGAAGAGGAGGTGGTGGTGGGGGAAGAAGAAAAGGGACAGGTGAAACATTGCTTATTTCACTTCAGCACTTCATGCATGCAAGTTATACAGAGCTTAAAAGCACATGGATTTTTCTTACTTAGAAAAGGAAACCTTTTGGTCAACATCAGCAAAACGGTGATGAATAGGTTAAAAGGAGAAAACAAGTGCATGCTCTGGGACCGTGATTCTGTGGTTGGGCCTGACGGATTTAAACCAGCTAAAAGGTCAGAGCCAAAATAAGTGCTATTCCCTAATGGAAACCTCCCTAAATTTCTAAAACACTGTGTACATGCCCTTCAAAATTTGATAAAGATTCACTAACAAAACAGTTTTTCTTAATTGAATTTTCCATGTCTACTACACTTTCTGAAAAATAAAACTGTTTGTGTGACAAACCTTTTTTCCACTTGGCAAAAACAGAAACCTCTTGGTTTCTACTGGAAAAATTACAAATTATTAGCTTTATTTACTTTCCTATTTATCAAAGGCACTTGCCAACTATCTGAATTGCAATGCACTATTAAGTGTATCTGCTACTGAGAAGAGAAGCATTTTAGATGTTTGCTGAGTGCTTTCACTGATTTCCTGTGGGTCGCAGGGCATCACTAGGAGGCAGGGGGAATTATCTCCATTTCTACAAGCGAAAAACAGAGGCCAAAAGGAAATTCTATTCATTTTGATGAAAAATCTCTCAACTTTTCAAAGAAACTTATAAAATATAATGACAGGTTTTTTGTTTTTTTGTTTTGTTTTGTTTTTTGTTTTTTTTTTAAAGACAAGTGGGGAAGCCAGAGTGATGAGTTCCATTTGTATAGCTAAGAAGAGAATGTCTCCTTCAGGCATTCACTCAGCAAATATCTACTGAACACCTACTATATCCAAGGCTCTGTGTTCGGTTTGTCTATTCCCACTCTTATCTCATGTAGTCTCCCTTCAAATAATTCAGAAACATAGATGCTATGAATTCACCAGTTCACACACGGGAAAATTGAGGATTTGTGAAATGAGGTGGCTTTGTTGGGGTCATATGCCTTGTTAAAGGCTGACCTGGAACTCAAACCAGGTCAAAGCCCCTCCAGAAGGCTTTCAGTAGTGTAGGGAGAAGTTTAAACATTTTAATGATCCTTCCTTAATGTTTTAGCTTGCATTAGATTTCTCTTATTCCAGTGGTACTTAGAATGTTTTCATTCTATTATTTCCCATGTCTATCCCTCAAAATGAATCCCACTGTTGGTTTTATGTGATCATTTTTTAACTCAACATGGTCAATTTTCTAAGCACTTCAAGTCTCCAAGGGTCCCATGATGGGGCTCCCTGGCAACTGCGTTGGGCAACTCACAACTGCAGGGTACTTGGTTTACTAATTACCTCCTTTGAGGGAATATCAACGCTCTAGCTAGTCTAAACAGTCCCTTAAGGCTGTTAGGTTTCTCAGGGGCCCCCATTCATTAAGAAAGGCCACAATATGCAAACTCCTGGTTTCCAATATGAGTTGTCACCTCCCACCTAGGATCCAACCACTGCACCTTCCACAGGGCCCTGCATCAGATGCTGGCCGCACAGCAGCCTCAACCACTTGAGGAAACACTACTTCATGTCCCTATGGAAACATGACCACAAAACCATTCCTCAGTCTGCACAAACATAGATTTGTGTTGATGTCAGTGCTAAGAAGAAAAGGTCTTCTTCAGGCCTTTATTCAACAATATTCAGGTTTCAGCTATGTGTCTGGCTCTGTGATCGGTGTTGGGAGGCATATGAAAGTTCCCAGGGAGGCTAAAGTCTTCAAAATAAGGGACATGGGAGGAGCTAGCACTGGGGAATAACATTTGTAAATGTCTTCTATATGCCTTGTGCTCGCACATATCATCTCATTCAAAGCCTACTGTAGCCCTAAGATAGCTATTATTCCTATTTTACGGGCAGGGCAACGGGCTGAGGGAAGCCAGACTTTAGCCTATCTGACATCCACGGGTATCTCTAACACACCATTTGGAGCTGGGTGTCATACTAATTCCAATCTGAAAGTCTGAAAAAGACTTTTCTTTTGTCTTTAAAGTGCTTTTTGTTTCGTGGTATACATGTATCCAAGATGGGGAATTTATTGGCCACTTATAACTATATTGCCAAGGAGAAAATGCATGAATTTCAGTTGATACAACTGAAGTACCGTATCACTGAGTTTCTAAAATTTATAGCACTACATTGAATTATATTTTATTTTTAAATTTTTGTTTGTTTGTTTGTTTGTTTTGAGATCAAGCCTCCCTTTGTCATCCAGGCTGGAGTGCAGTGGCGCAGTCTCGTCTCACTGCAACCTCTGCCTCCTGGGTTCAAGCGATTCCCCTGCCTCAGCCTCCTGAGTTGCCGGGATTACAGGTGGGTGACACCAGGCCCAGCGAATTTTTCTGTATTTTTAGTAGAGACAAGGTTTCACCATGTTGCCCAGGCTGGTCTTGAACTCCTGAGCTCAGGTGATCCACTTGCTTCGGCCTCCCAAAGTGCTAGGATTACAGGCATGAGCCACCACGGCCAGTGAATTATATTTTAAATATAAAATTTCAAATGTAGAATATTACATATAAAAAGCAAAAATATAGATTTTATATGCATGCATGCAAGAGTCAGGTTTCAAAATTAATTTAAGATGGGAGTGATGTCATATCTGGGGTACAATGCCTTATCCTTTTCCTCTCCTCTACTTAACTTCTTATCCCATTCTTTTTCAATTTAGAGATATAGTTAACATTTTAGGAAGACACGCATAACAAGTTTTAAAGTAAATATAAATTAAGAAGCAGAATATTAACAATTTAAGAATATAATTTGCTTTTTCAGTTCTTGAATATTTCGGAGTATAACTTTTTTTCAAATGATCACAAATAAACAAGCTGTAGTATATCCTTACAATGGAACACTACTCAGTAACAAACAGAAATGAACACTTGATTCATGCAAAAATGTGGATGAATCTTGAAATAATTATGCAGAGTGAAAGAAGCCTGTTAAAAAGAAGTGCATGGGGCCGAGTGTGATGGCTCATGCCTGTAATCCCAACACTTCGGGAGGCTGAGGCATGAAGATCTTTTGAAGCCAGGAGTTAGAGACCAGCCTGGGCAACATAGTAAGACCCTATCTCTATGAAAATTAAAAATAAATAAAAAATTAACCAGGAATGGTGGTGCTCGCCTGTAGTGCCAGCTCTCAAGAGGCTGAGTGGGAGGAGTGCTTGAACCCAGGAGTTTGAGGCTGCAGTGAGCTCTGATTGCATTACTGCATTCAAGCCTGAGCAACAGGGAAAGACCCTATCTGTTAGAAAAAAAGAAAGAAGTGCATACTGTATGATTCTAATTGGATTGAACTCTAGAAAATGCACCCTAATCTATGGTAAACAAGAGCAGATCAACGGCTGCCTGGGGCTGGCAGGCAGAGCACGGAGAGGTAGGAGGGAGGGATTAGGAAGGGACATGAGGAAACTTTCAAGGGTGCTGGATATTTTTATTATCTTGATTGTGATAATGGTTTCATGGGTATACACTTATGTCAAAACTTGTCAGATTGTACACTTTAAATATATATATATTGTATGTCATTATACCTCTGTAAGGTTGTTAGAAATTATCATAAACTACATGTTTTTGGAGAAATAAAAAGACAAAATTTGGAGAAATTACCTACATGTATGTAACATTTGGGGTGTAGACTCTGGATTCAAAGAAAACCAAATCATATCCAAATTGTCTCATTTCCTAGCTATGTGACCTTGGGCAACAGCGTGACCTTTCCAAGCCTCAGTTCCCTCATCTGTAAAATGGAAGAAATAACATTACATACCTGCCAGGACTGTTGTGAGGATATAATGAGGTAATGAAAGTAGCACTGTGTACCAGTGTATCTAGTAGTAAATGGTCATCATTGTTCTAAGCCACATATATGCAAATGGATGAATACATATGGGTATATGTATGCATATATATTTTTTACTAAAACATGCCCTGTGGCACAATCTATATGTAGTATAGGATAGTGATGAAACCAAAAGAAGCAATGAATCAATCTAAGAAAAAAGAAGCTTTTGTTATTACTGTTATTACTTTCCCAAGTACGACCTCATTTTTGACAACTTTGTGAGGTGTTATTATTACTCCATTTCTGCAGTGAGGAACACTGAAGCCTAGGGAGGGGAAGGTCGCCCAGTTACAAATGGTAGATGTGGAAGCAGAACAATGACGCTCTGTCTTCAAGTCTAGAGCTCTTTGGACAAACTACAGAAGGAAAATTCAGGATAATTTCTTGAAAGCAATAATTATTCTGTGACTCAGAATTAAACATACAACGTTCAGTCCTATAATAGAGCAAATATATTAAGAAAAAGAATCTTTTAGCCCTGCACTGTACTACCAGTTCACTTTGCTCCCTAGCAGGAAGGGCATTCCCATAGCTCTCTGCTGTTCTTGCCCATCTGGGAATACTCACACGAGTAGGGCAAGTGGGCCCATCAGTTGTGCTGGTCTAAGCTCCCCATGTCTCATTGCTTTCCTGCCTCTGTGTCTTTGCCTACATGGTGTTGCCCACTTGTAACACCTGCTCACACCTTTGCTTATGAAGATCCTGCCCATACAATTACAGCCAGTGCTGGCAGACATTACTGGTGCCACTCATTCATTTGTTCCACAAATTTGTACTGAACAGCAATTATTGCCAGGCACTGATCTCACTGCTGTGAGTAATCACACCGAACAAGCATTATCTCTCCTATTTTTTCCTTCTTTGCATCTGAACTTGTCTCTTAGTACCTATATTACAGTTGTTCCTTTGATCTTGAGAGCTCCAACAGGGTTATAGTTCAGAGCTTGGGACACAGGAGAAAGCACTTTTTCAAATTTATTGGATTGAAGAGAAGGAAAAGTGCTGAATTTGACAGAATGAAACAGCATTGGATATAAATATGCTCAGAAACTTATACAAGGTAGTCAAACTTGAAGAAGGCTGAATTGGTTTAAGAGATTCAAGGAAACTTTTGGCTTCACAGGGAGATGTAAGAAGGCAATTAGGTACCATTAGGGCCAAATTTGTCTTTTGTCATCATGCGGAAGAAAGATTAAAAAGGTTAAAGATGAAATTTAGAGAGTGTTCCGAGTTGGAGTTTCATCAAAAGGAGCAGGGAAATAGGATAGAGAAAAAATAATTACGGAAACCAGTATAAAGAAAATCTGTGAAAATTCCTTATTTTTTAAAAGTACACTTTTTGTACAGGGAGTACTCCCAAGAGTAGCAGAGAACATTACAGAAATGTTACAGAAATAGAGAAAGTGATTTATATAAAGAACATGTTTTCATATGTATCATTTTTGATATGCCTCTCCCTTCTGCTCAACCACCACAGACAGGAGGTTCCCCTAGAGTTTATGGCTGATCAAATCTGATGTTTAAAATACATTGTTTCTGAAGAAAACTGTGGTCTGATCTAAGATGTGATATACAGGAAGCTGCTGTTATAATTTAATCTGGGCCATAATTGTTTTACAACTTAGGTAACTTTTTAGACTTAGTGTATCTACCTGAATTGTGGTAGAGACAGGAATAATTTTCAGTGAACGTAATGAAAAGCTCAATCCTTAAGTGTTATAGTATTCAATACTCAACTGCTAAAATAATTTTAAAGTTGGCCAAGGCATAAAATTTATAGCCTGAAGTCTTGCCAAAATCACGGTAATGAGACCATAAATCAATAGAATGTCCCTAAAAATAAATTTTGCTGGTTATTTGTTGCATACATATTATTATTAAGGTTCCTTGCATATCTAAAATATTATTTTCCTTATGCATATGGTATATAATAAATGGATACTGTGGTACATTTTGTGTGCAGTATAGAATAGTGGTGAAAGCAAAAGAAGAAACGATATATTTAAAAATAAGCATTTCAGTATCGTTTTTCTTACTGTTCTATTCTCACCTCCTCCGTTAAGTTTAACAGGAAGTCACAACTCTCAGTTGCATAACTTGTGTTTTCCATTCTCTGCATATTTTTCAGCTGAGCACTTATTAGAAATATGAAGTCACTTCAAGTGACAACACCATCATGACACCTCCTATCAAAAGTGACGTCACTTTTGTCTATAATCAAAGCACTGGGGCTCTCCTACCAAATCATTTCACTTGCCATAGGGCTACTGCTGTAGATCATGCTTCTTTACGGGCTGCAGAGCTGGGGGCTGCCTTTGGAGTGGAGAGACAGCAATTACAAACGTTGAAGAGGATGGAGTTCTGCTTTCAGTTCAGCTCAGCAGCCACATAATGTATTGTTGAAGCAGTGGGAAGGTATGTTCCTACCCTCGCAGGCAAAATTTCACAGACTTTTATGTGTTGTCATTATTGCCATTGTTATTTTTTTGTTTCCAGAACTGATGTACTGAATCGCATATTAGTTTATGTGATAAAAAAGGTAAATTTGTTTTTTCCCTCTATATTTGGTATTTTGATTTTTTTTACAACAAGTATGAAAGTGTGTTACTTTTATAAACAGAAAAAAGTATCTGTTTTTCAATTCTACCAACACTTATGGAGGGTCTGCTATATGCCACACACTGTGCTGAGTATTGGGAATCCAAAGTTGAAAGAGATAATTCCACCTCCAGGTCATTTCATCAAAAACCCATTCACCAAGAACCCATTTGTCAAGGTGATTCCTGGTCCTTTGTTCTCAAAAACTCACAAGCTAAAAGAAAACACAGACATGTAAGCAGTCATGAGATGTCTGCTTCATTGGTGATGAACAAAGCTATTGTTCAAGGCTCAGAGAGGAAAATAATTCTTTGGAGGTTAGGAATGGATCCAATGAAATAAAGCAACCTTGGTGTCTCACCCTAGGAGACATAGCTTCATAAGAGGGTTGTGGGTTGGATTCCATCACCCACTTGTCCTTCTGTCTGGTTCATTTGTGCAAGACATAACCTGTCAACCACGCTTCAATGCCTTGGAGAACTCTACTGTTTTGAAAACATCTGCTTTGGTCTTGATGCTATCTTATCAGATTCTGCAAAAGCTGACCAGCCATTTCCGTTGTGTCTCATCAGGTCCTTAGTCACCTATGACAATTGGACCGAATGCTCCTCCCACAAGCAAAATCACCATAGCTTGTTTCCAATGAGAATCTTAGGTTACATTAAGTATCTGGGTGATTCAGCTGGTACCTGACCTCAGTCCTCAGAAATACTGACTTTCTGTCAATGCATAGACAGTGAAGAATAAATTTTGTATTTTCCTGTATATGTTATGCCAGGATTATATTCATCAATAAACTTCAATTTGGGAGGTGGAGAAGAGTCCAAAAATGTACTCTTATTCTAAATACTAGGTCCTCTTTCTGACTATTCAAGTAGGGCTACTTACAGAAGGCCAGATACAACTATATCTATTCTACATTACTGCTTACTTCCTGCAGGAGTAAGGTATTAGTCATATGGTACGTTTGGTTGAAATGAACATTATGACCACAGAAAAAACTTAGAATGTGTTGGATTGTCAGAAAAACTTCATTTGCTTGAATTGTGCTCTGATCATTACATGTAATGCTTTGGTAAGGGCCGTGATGGACAAAGTCAATGGTACTCTTCCATTCCCAATGTGAAGCTAAGATCACATATGTACCCTTTGTTCACTGATGCTGACAAGAGGGAATTGGTTTGATAATACAGTGCTTTTACACCTATGATACGACACCACCTTCTCTGCAGAATCATATCACCTGTACATTTCATCCTAAATTAATGCCCTTGTCAGCTGGTCTTGTGGCTGTGCAATTACTTTGCAAGCTAAAATTTAGATAAAGAAGAATCAGCCTAGTTATAATAAAATAGCCCAAGGAAAGTTGAGAAATGCTAATTCAAGTTAGAAAGAAATACCCGAGTAGCCTAGAAAATAATCTTCTAATAAAATCAGTGTAGATTTACAATAAGTTAAAAGGAATAACCTTATAGATTTAGAATTTTTTTAAAAGCATATTGCATGAAATTTAGACAAAGGTGGCATGCTTTGGGAACAGTCCATCCCACTTAACTTTCTCGGTTAAAGCAGGACACCACTGAAGGCTGCTTGAAGACTCAGCTCCAGTATAATTACTTGCAATTACTTAATTACTGTCCTCTTTGGTTCATCACATACCTCATGGGCAGGAGACACCTCTGTCTTACTGCCTGTTGTATCCCAACATCAGAAGTGTTCCTGGCAGAGAAACTCCCCAACATAACTTGTTGAATGAATAAATGACTGAAAGTAAATTTACTCAAATGTCTCAGAAATGACAAGATGCTTGAGGTGGACAGTAAATAAATCTTTGGGAATCCATCGCTTCCACTAAGAAAGCAACTCAAATATCCCTCCCGTTGGAGTGGCAAAGAATAATGAAATATACGTGAGATCTCCATGTGATTCTTTTTGCATTACTTTGAGCAGAGTCTCAATCTTGGCTACATCTTACAATCACCTGGGGAGCTTTACAAAATCCAATAGGAACAGAATCTCTGGAGTGGGGCTGCGCATGGCTAATTTTCAAATGCGTCATTAGGGATTCTAATAAAGCAGGCAATGTTGAGAACACTGAGTGTGGGGTATTCTTTCCCAAACTTGTCTGATTATTAGAATTACCTGAGCTGCTCAGTCCCACAACAAATCAAAAATGGTATCAAGGGATTTTCATCTTTGCCAGTTTGGAAGATAAAAAGTGCTCTTATTTTAGCAGAGAAATACAAGTTTCTAATAGCTTAAGGCTGTTCTGACTTCAAATTTCAAAGACTTGCCATTGCATCTAATTTAGTGCCAACACAAATGTAATTTATTGCATGATTATCTTCCAGAACATCCTCGGGCATTTCTTCTTGTCCTAAAATAATACTTCTACAACTCCCATTAGACTCTATCTTTATTACTGTAAGTCGATTCTCATCTATCTAAAGTAATTGCAGCATGTGATTAAGTGTCAGGATGAGTTGTTTGGACACTAAGTGCTGTGGGAGTGCAGAGGAGAGAAAACTCGATGTGGATTTTAATGACACATAGAGAAGGACATGGGCTGCAACTTGAAGGATGGTTGGGGGAGTAGGAAATTGCATCCTGGGCAGAGGGCATTGCAAGCAATGAGTAGAGTCCATTCTAAGAATACAAAATACCCACATCCTAAATCCACCATTGCTTATTTTTCTTCCGATGCCTGGATGCATCCCTCCTTTGTGAACTCCCTGAATCCTACCTCTCCGAGCCACATTCCCAAATTCCACCTTTGACCTATTCAGTGAGAATTGGAAATGGGGGCTGGAAATCTACACTTTTAACAAGTTCCCCAAGTGATTTTTGTAATGAAACACAAACTGAGAAGGATGTATCTATCTACACTGTTCAAGAGGAAGATAGATGGGACACAGTATCCTCCAAAGAGAACCAAATGCAACAAACCAATGCTTCTATCAAAATAAATCAGACCTGGCGTTTTTCATCTATCAAACTGGCAAAGATTAAAACACTTTATACCACTCAGGTTGATGATGGGATGAGATTTTACGCACTGCTGGTGGGAATGTGAATTGGCACGTTACTAAAGGACAATTTGGCAATTCTTATAAAAAGCCTTAATATTTTTCACACCCTTTGACATAGCAATTTCACTTTTAGAAATTTATCCTAAGGCTGTGGTCTCAACCTTGGCAGTTTATCAGAATCACTTGTGAAGCTTTATGAACTGCAGATTTCTGGGTCACATTCCTTTGAGATTCTGGGATTGAAGTCTGGGAATCTGTTGAATCTGTTTGTTTGTCTTTTAATACTAATATAATTGGGGCCTATTTTTTAAAAGTTCAAGTAATAGAAAAATCAAAAATTGGTGAGATCTTCATCTTTCACTTCCTCCCTTGATTCCCTGCAGGTAATCATACTAGACATTGTTTTGTGTTTTTTCATTTGATAACATAATATAGTCATTATTCCATTTCAGTGTGTTCAGATATAGTTTTTTAATAGTGCTATAAGTTGCATGGAGATACTTCAATTTATTTAATCAATGTGGACATTTAAGAATAGACTTTTTAAGATCATTTTTGCATTTTTATTATGAATAATAATACAATGATCTTTCTTGAATGTATCCTTTATCTATGTGAGAATTTCTGTAGGATAATTATCTAGAAATGGAATTGCTTTGTCACATTAAACTTGGATTGTTATGATCGTTTTTTGAGTTGGGGTCTCACTCTGTAGACCAGGCTAGAGTGCAGTGGCTTGATCATAGCTCACTGCAACCTCAAACTCTTGGGCTCAGGTGATGCTCCCACCTCAGCTTCTCACGGAGCTGGAAGTAAATGTGCATGCCACCACGCCTGGCTAAGTTTTTCTAATTTTTGTTTTTGGAAATATGAGGTATCACTATGTTGCCCAGGCTGGCCTTGAACTCCTGGCCTCAAGTAATCCTCCTATCTTGGCCTCCCAAAGTGCTGGGATGACAGGTTTGAGCCACGATGCCCAGCCGAACACAACTGGTTTCGATGCACAGAGTTAAGACCTATGGTTCTGACAAAATAATCACAAATATGAAAGAAATTTTAACAACAGGTATGTGTACTTCACCTGTGTATACTGGTGAAAAACTAAAAAATTAATAAACGTCCAATTAGTAGGTGAATTAAAATATGCTAAAAAGGGTCCCGAAAGATGGGACACCCTTGGGGTCATTCTTTGCCCTTTGACTTCTTGCTGGTTGATCAGAATATAGGAGAGGAGAATGAGTTGTTTTAGATATCAATTATGGCACTTTAAAATAATTTAAAGTACATGTGAGGCTTTTAATTTCATTGTGCTTATAAAGATAGAATGGAGTAAGAATGGAAAAGGAATGCCCATTTCCAGAGGGCTAGTTAAATTATGGTACATTCATAAGACATGAAAGACTTACCTAAGAGCACTGTAAAGCATTGCTAAGAGAAATTGAAGACCTGAATAAATGAAAAGATGTTTTGTGTTTAAGAATTGGAAGATTCAAAATTATTAAGATGTCATTTTTTCCCCAAAATTATCTATAGATTTAGTGTAATCCCAATGAAAATCCCTGCAGGTTTATTTGTTGAAATTGTCAAGCTACTACTAATATTTATATGAAAATTCCAAGGATCAAGAAAAATCGAGGCAATTTTGAAGAAGAACAAGGTTTCTAGACTTTTACTATCATATATCAAGACTACAAATCTATGGTAGTTATCTATAATGTGGTATAGGTGCAGGGAGAGACAAATAGACTAACATACTAGAGACTCACATAAATAAAAGTCCCCAGATTCATGTCAAAAACACCACTGCAGTGCAATGAGGAAGGGATGATCATTTCAAGAAATGGCTCTGGGTCAATTAGATAACCACATGGATCACTTATTAGCCTTTTGGCTAAGGTCAAGTGTAGTATCCACATGGAAAAAGCCTACTTTACCCCTATCTCGTTCCAGATATAAAAGGCATCCAATGGATCATAGTCCTAAATGTAAAAGACTAAAACACTAAAGGTCCCAGAAGAATACCTAAAAGAATGTTATGATCTAAGGCAAGCAAAGTTTCTTTAAAAAAAGACACAAAGAACGGTAACATTTTAAAAAATTGAAAAATTGAGCCTCAATTAAAACTAAGAACTGTTGTTCATCAAAAGACACCATGTAGAGGAGACTGAAAAGGTAAGGCACAGTGCAGAAGACATTAGCAATACATATATCTGACAAAGACCCACTTGGAATATGTAAAGAATTAAAAATTAGTAAAACAGAGACAGACAAAACAATTTTAAATGATCAAAAAGCCTAGGCAACATACGGAGACTCTGCCTCTACAAAAATAAAAATAGAAAAATAAAAAAATTAACCAGGTATGGTGGCATGCTAGTGAGCCGTGATTGAGCCACTGCACTCTAGCATGGGTGACAGAGCAAAACCTTGTCTCAACCAATCAACAGGCAAAGGAATTCAAGAGGTACTTTAAAAAAAGAGGATATTTCTGAGGGTTCTGTTCTGTTACATTGGTCTATATCTCTGTTTTGGTACCACACATCTACAACCATCTGATGTTTGACAAACCTGAGAAAAACAAGAAAAGGGGAAAGGATTCCCTATTTAATAAATGGCACTGGGAAAACTGGCTAGCCATATGTAGAAAGCGGAAACTGGATCCCTTCCTTACACCTTATATAAAAATTAATTCAAGATGGATTACTTAAATGTTAGACCTAAAACCATAAAAACCCTAGAAGAAAACCTACACAATACCATTCAGGACATAGGCATGGGCAAGGACTTCATGTCTAAAACACCAAAAGCAATGGCAACAAAAGCCAAAATTGACAAATGGGATCTCATTAAACTAAAGAGCTTCTGCACAGCAAAAGAAACTACCATCAGAGTGAACAGGCAACCTACAGAGTGGGAGAAAATTTTTGCAATCTACTCATCTGACAAAGGGCTAATATCCAGAATCTACAAAGAACTCAAACAAACTTACAAGAAAAAAACAAACAACCCCATCAAAAAGTGGGCGAAGGATATGAACAGACACTTCTCAAAAGAAGACATTTATGCAGCCAACAGACACGTGAAAAAATGCTCATCATCACTGGCCATCAGAGAAATGTAAATCAAAACTACAATGAGATACCATCTCACACCAGTTAGAATGGCAATCATTAAAAAGTCAGGAAACAACAGGTGCTGGAGAGGATATGAAGAAATAGGAACACTTTTACACTGTTGGTGGGAGTGTAAACTAGTTCAACCATTGTGGAAGACAGTGTGGCAATTCCTCAAGGATCTAGAACTAGAAATACCATTTGACCCAGCCATCCCATTACTGGGTATATACCCAAAGGATTATAAATCATGCTGCTGTAAAGACACATGCACACGTATGTTTACTGTGGCACTATTCACAATAGCAAAAACTTGGAACCAACCCAAATGTCCATCAATGATAGACTGGATTAAGAAAATGTGGCACATATACACCATGGAATACTATGCAGCCATAAAAAGGATGAGTTCATGTCCTTTGTAGGGACATGGATGAAGCTGGAAACCATCATTCTCAGCAAATTATCGCAAGGACAAAAAACCAAACACCGCATGTTCTCACTCATAGGTGGGAATCGAAAAATGAGAACACTTGGACACAGGAAGGGGAACATCACACACCAGGGCCTGTTGTGGGGTGGGGGGAAGGGGGAGGGGGGAGGGAAAGCATTAGGAGATATACCTAATGTAAATGACGAGTTAACGGGTGCAGCACACCAACATGGCACATGTATACATATGTAACAAACCTGCATGTTGTGCACATGTACCCTAGAACTTAACGTATAATACTAATAAAAAAGAGGATAATAGTGCTTGCTTCAGCAGCACATATACAAAAATTGGAAAGATACAGAGTAGATTAGCATGGCCCCTGATCAAGAATGACACACAAATTTGTAAAGCATTCCATATTTTTTTTGTTTGTAACTCAAAGGGGAAGTGCTTGAGGGGATGGAAATACCTTATTCTCCATGATGTGCTTATTTCACATTGCATGCCTGTATCAAAACATCTCATGTACCCCACAAATATATACACCAACTATGTACCTACAAAAATTTAAAAAAATAAAGAGGATATCAAAATGGCCATCAAGCATAAAATTCTCAACATTATTAATCATCAGGATAATGGAAATTAAAATTACAATGATTTACCACTAGACACACCCTGAATTCATAAAAATGAAAAAAAAAAAAAAGACTGGCAATAACATGTGTTGACTAGGAAGTAGAGCAACTGAACTCTCATATACTTCTGTGACAGTGTTAATTACCACAACCACCATGGAAAGTTGTGTGGCAGCAACTCCTAAATCCACACATCTTAATGCCCTATTACCCAGCCATTGTACCTCTGGGAATATGCTCAAAAGAAATGAGTGCTTATGCCTACTACTAAAAGTTACAAACAAAAATGTTCCTGAGTTTCATTCATAATAAGCAAAAACTGGAAATAGTCTAAGTATCCACCCACAGAAGAATGAATAAATAAATTGTACTATAGTTATACAATGGAATACTAAGCTGTAATTAAAAACAAAACAAAACAAAGAAAAATACACATTAAACAGCATGGATAAATCTCATAACACAGAGTGAAAAAAGTCTAACTCCAGAAAATTATTCTGTGAAATTTCACTCACATGAAGTTCAAGATAGTCAAAACAAATCTACAGTGATGTAAGAATAGTGGTTACCTTTGTGACTGGTGTTGACTAGGAAAAGCATGGGAGAGACTTCTACATCTGGAACTGGTGGTAGTTATATGGATGTATATTAAAAAAATTCATTGAGCTATACAATTAAACTTTGTGTGTTTTACCATATGCTTATTTTGCATCAATAAAAGCATCTTTAAAAAGTGATGCACAAAAGTGATGCACTTTGCTCTAAGTGCCTTGTATTAAAATATGACATAATATTTGACCTCAGTCTACACCTCTTTCAGTTTGACTGTATAATCTTCTCATGAAACAGAGTGTGCAGTGAAAAGAAATGGCTCTCCTACGCAATTTCTAAGTGAATCTCGACCACTTTGTCATTGTACTGTGTTTTGTTTGAGGAACTTCAAGATCTTCTGTATTCCTGGAGTCCAGAGTGTCAGAGCTCCTGACTTAGCTCCTGGGGAGTTGGGGATGGTTCAGAAAGACCACCTCCCCCGCTCCCTAGGTGAAGGCTAGTTCTAGGTGTGTCTTGGACTCCCTTTCACTTTAGTCCTTTCTCCTCTCCAGAGTGGGTACATTTTCTCTCAGCTTCCAGAGGTTTAGTGTCTCCCTCCTTCTGCTAAAAGGTTTCCTCTACCCTTCCTTCTTCTGGTCCCATCCAGCCTGACCTTCTCTCACATGTACCATATTCTCGAAATACAGATGCTTCTCCACTCATGAGGGGGCTACGTCCCAATAAACCCATCATCAGTTGAAAATATTCTAAATTGAAAATGTGTTTAATACACCTAACTTACTGAACACCATACCTTAAACATGCTCAAAACACTTACACTAGCCTCGAATTGGGCAAAATCGTCTAACACAAAACCTATTAGGTAATAAAGTGTTGAATATCTCACATAATGTATTGAATATAGTACACTGTAGAATATTGGTTGTTCATCCTCATGTTTGCTTAGCTGGCTGGGAGCAGGGGCTCGCTGCGACTGACCAGCATCGTGAGAGTATTGTACTGCGTTATTATTGCTAGCCCCGGAAAAGATCAAAATTCAAAATTTGAAGTATGGTTCCTACTGGGTGTGTATTGCTTTTGTACCATCATAAAGTTGAAAAATTGTAAGCCAAACCATCCTAAGTTGAAGACCATCTGTACACTTCTTTGCAAAACCAATTCCTTCCATCCTTAGAAACTGCTGATTTCAGCAAGGAAAATCTTAAAATCTAAATTGCTCTTATGAACTCTAAACTGAATTTGCAATAATGACATGACATTTGATCCATTTAGTTAGGAATATTCATTGCAATAAGGCAATATTCATATTTTCAATGTTAACTCAACTTCTCATTTATTAAAAAAGATACTGAGGCCGGGCACAGTGGCTCACACGTGTAATCCCAGCACCTTGGGACGCGGAGGCTGGCGGATTGCGAGGTCAAGAGATGGAGACCATCCTGGCCAACATGGTGAAACCCCGTCTCTACTAAAAATACAAAAATTAGCTGGGGGTGCTGGTGCATGCCTGTAGTCCCAGCTACTCGGGAGGCTGAGGCAGGAGAATCACTTGAACCCAGGAGAAGGAGGTTGCAGTGAGCCGAGATAGCACCACTGCACTCCAGCCTGGCGACAGAGTGAGACGCCGTCTCAAAAAAAAAAAAAAAAAAAAAAGACACTGAGCCCTTGCTATATGCTGGGCTCTGTGTTAAGCAGTGGAAAACAAAGATGAATGCACTCAAAGAGCTCACAGTCTTATGCAGGAGGCAGGCAAATATGTAGACACATTAGTTCCAGTTATTTCCCATTATAATAACTTCCTACTGTAAATCACGTAGAGTTTATCAAACTCATCTTGTTGTCCCACCTCCCTCCCTAAACCTAATCTCCATTGTGCATCAATATCTGTGTCTATCTATGTCAATAACCCAGGATAAAACCCTCAGCCATCTCTTATTTTTCACTTTCTCACATTTACTCATTACATGTCAATTCTTTCACCAAATTCTCTCACAAGTCCAGAACATATTCTTCATTCCTATGCCACTTCCTAGATCAGAATCCTAATTTCCTTTTCCTTGCACTATGACAATAATGTTCAAACAGGTCTCCATGCCTCCAGTTGCACCACTGCTATTCTATACTCCACAGTGTTGCCAGAGAAGTCTCTGTCTCTATAGTTCTATGTCTCCACCTCTAGGAAGACTTCTTATTTGTTAGGAATACAAATGTAAGAATCCGAGGGAAAAGATTTGGTGAGTTGATGATTTGCTTAGCTACAGAGAGCCAATGAAATATTAATTATTTCTAACATAAATCTTGACATATAAATAATGGAAACCTGGTAAGCTGTGAAAGGCAGCTGTTTTTTTAAAAGTTTGATATGGTACAGATTATCTTCCCATTCCCGTATCTTTCTACTGAGGCAGAGGTCACAGATTAAACGATAGAAATCAGGCAGGTTCTTGATGTCACAGGCATTTACGAGGTTCTCATTTTTTAGGCGCCAACACAGATCTTGGCTACCTGCGTAACTTTACACCTCATTGTGCACTTAAAAGCCCACTGGAGGTGAGATCACTATGTTCTTGACAGAAGTAGCCAATCAGAGCATATGGTAATAGACAACTGGAAATTGACTATCTACTGAGCCATTGGCTGTGGATCCTCATTATTTATTATTATTATTATTATTATTATTATTGAGACAGGGCCTTGCTCTGTCACCCAGGCTGGAGTGCAGTGGTGCAATCGTAACTTGCTGTAACCTCAAACTCCAGGGCTTAAGTTATCCTACCACCTCAGCCACCCAAGTAGGTAGTACTACAGGTGTACGCACGCTACCATGCCCAACTAATTTTTTGTAGAGATAGGGTCTCACTATGTTGCCCAGTCTGGTCTTGAACTCCTGGCCTCAAGCAATCCTCCCACCTCAGCCTCCCAAAGTGCTGAGATTACAGACATGAGTCACCATGCCGGGCCTGGATCCTCATTATTGAAAGGGAGTGCGGGGAGAGTTAGATTTAAGTTGAGCAAATCTTTTGTCCCCAGGTCATCTCTAGGAAAGGCAGTAATGAAAGGTCAGAGGGTGCCTGGTGACTTGATGAAAAAACCAACATCCTCCCTGAGTCATGAACTTCTTGTTGGTAAATTAAAATGGATACATTTGAAGTTATTTGT